>NC_000004.12:45314409-45623833 GCF_000001405.40 Homo sapiens | reverse complement strand
ACTGAATACTCACTTTCTTGCTATGTTGCAATTGTCCATAATAACAATTTTATAATGAAAGTCAGTATTCACAGTAAGTTCACTGTGGAAGGTAGATGTGTTTACCTGATGGTATAAATAAATAGATGCTGTTATTTCTTATGTATGTGTATATGTGATCATGGTTTCAAATATTTCTCGTATAAAATCATCAATACACCAGTTACAGCTAAAAGCTCATGACTTCAACTACTAACTTTCTAACACCCTCAAGTGCTTGTGAGTTGAAGATGCTGTTTATCTTTTACAGGTGTAGTTTGTATTTTGTAGATGAGTACCCATGGTAATCTTCAGAACTTAATGCCCTATAAATGGGAATACAGTAAATTTCATGCACTAAATGTTATGTGTTTGTCATGTTCCATGTTAGCCTCACAGCCTTCATAGAGATACATCCATGCATTAATTTATTTTCATTTTGTCTATTCCACATCATTTTACAAACTGTATGAGATTACTTTTATAAAACATAAAACTGGTCATATTAGCTCTACATACAAAATTGCAGTGGCTTACCATTAAGGGTGTAGGACCAGACATTCAACTTTATCTCTGAGATATAATTACAACAATTCTCCAATGAAGCCTAGATAATCCTAACACCTTTAATTTTACTTGTGGTTATCTATTACATCTATCACCCTCTCTATCTTGTTACGAACTGATAATAAATATTTTTCATATTTGCTTACCTTCAGAGAAATAAGGAAGGGAATATTAAAAAAATAAACATTTGCCAATAAATAAATAGAAACAAAAACTGAAAGTCAGATGATTACAAAATAATAAACTATTATTTCCGAGTGCCGACTAAATCTCAAAGTTAGTAATGATAAAATACAAAAATAGGCTGTTTTCATGCAATTGTCTTCTAATGGAGGGAAACAAAATATTAAAACAACAACAAAAAGCAAGTAACACCAAAGCCAGGTAGTAATAAATGCAATGATTGGACAGAATGGAAGTGTGGCTACATGACTGCTAAACTACTTTCACCAGGAAAGGTCTTTTTGCAGAGGTTAGCTCTAAACTAACATGAGAATTACAAGGAGTCAGAAATTTAGAGGCCTGAGAAAAGATTATAACAGGCAGCCAGAAAAGCTAGTGCAAGCACCTTGGAGTAAAAGGACCATAGCCTATTCAAGATAAACAAAGAACTTACCCATTTTTTAACTCTGGTAAGATTGCTGTATGTCTTTGTGCCTTAGTTTCATCTCTGTAATGGGCCTTACAATGTTGCCTCTCTCATAAGACTGTTAGAATGCTTTACAAAACATGAAAATAAGTTAACATTTGTCACATATTTAAAGCAGAGCAAGGTATATATTAAGATATAAATAAATGTTAGTAAAAATCTTGACTAGATTAATAAGTATAAAAAGATGATAGAAAAATAGAAATAGATAAAAAAATTGGCATTAGTTTTCTACTGCTGCTGCAGGAAATTACCACTGATTTTGTGGCTTAAAATGAAACAAATTTATTGTCATGTAGTCCTGGAGGTCAGAAACCTGAAATGGATCTTACAGAGTGAAAATCAATGTGTTGGCAAAACTAAAACCTCTCTGGGTGCTCTAGGGAAGAATCTGATCCTTGACATTTCCAGGCTCTAAAGGTTACTCATATTTCATAGCTTGTGGCTGAATCACTCTGACTTTTTTTTTGTAGCCTCATATCCTTCTCTGACTGTGACTCTCCTGCCCGCCTACTATCATGACTATTATGAATACATTGGGTGATCTAGACAACCCAGTATAATCTCCCCATCTCGTGAACTTTAATTAATATATGCCAAGTCACTGTGGGTGGTGAATATTATTCTTTCTACCACAGATTTTGTGTGTATGTGTATATATATGTACATATACAAATATATATAGGTGTGTATACACACACATGCACACAAATCTGTACACACACACAGATTTGATAACAGAAAATTATTTAACATGGGAAATTAAACATTAGCAATAAAAGGATGGAAAAAGTAATTTATGTGTTAGCTAAAAACAACCAAGAGAAGAAATCCTGTCAGTTTAGTTTTGGTCATGTTATGATTAAAATGCATACTAAATATGTAAGTTAATGTAGATAACTAGTTAAACATTTGAGTTTGGAACTCAGAGGTAATGGTCTAGGCCTGAAATCTAAACCTGATTGTTGTCAGTATATGAACAGTATTTAAAAGCTTTTGTCTGAACAATAACACCAAGTGTATGAGTAAGTGTAGAGAAATATGGGGAAAGATCTCAAGAATAAGACCCTGGACCTTTCAACTTTTTGAGGTCAGTGACCAGTCATTGTAACTGAGAAGGAGAGATCAGAATAAATCCAGTAGAGTATGGTATCTTGGAAGTCAATGAAAAATAAATGTACATCAAATAAAAGGAAGTGGCTGACTACACCAAATTGTTCAGATTGACCAAATAAGTTACGCATGTTAAATTTACCATTGTATTTGTTAATTTGGAGGGTTTTTTTTTTTTTTTGTCTTATAAAGAGCTCTTTTGTGAAATGATAGGATTCAGAAAGTAGGCGAGAGAGGATTTGACTTGAGTGAGCATAGATCATCTTTGGAAAAAGTTTGCTATTCAGGGAAACAGAAACAGGCCATGTGAGATAAAAAGATATTTGTGTTTTACAAAAGAAAAGAACTTTGACAATACCGTACTTTTGCTGATAGGAATGATTTAGTAGATACTGAAATTTTGATTATAGCAGTCAGGGGAGACTTGCAAGAACTATCACCCTAAATAAGCCTGGGGAAAGGGTACCTAGTGTCCAAGCAGACAGGTTGACAAATACCAGGCATGATATTTCATCATAGTAGCAGGAATGAAGGCAGAATTTGTGGATATGAATGCAAGTAGGTGAGGTAAATTGCTCTTTGAGATTTCATTTCCATTACATGTATACTTTTTAAAGTAGAAAGCAAGGTTGCCAGTTGAGTGTCAAAATCAGAAAAGGATAGTAAAAAATCCAAGAAGAGAATAAAAAAGTAGAATAGTTTGCCTATATAAAGTTAATCATTATGATTTTAAAATAAGACCAATTAATGTGATTATGGATTATTCTCCAACCACTGTCAGCTATTGTGTGGGTTCAGGCACAAAATAGGTAGAAGAAGATATGAATAGGATTCTGGTTTTGCCAGGTAATATTCATAAAACAATTAAGAACAAGAGTGTTTCATTCATTATCATGAACCAGGGAATCTTAGTTTTATAAAAAGGAAAGGAGGATGAAGGATGGGAGAGAATAACAATGTGGTAGGTTCAGTGTATTATACATCTCAATGTGGCTTACATAATATAGGAATTGATGTATGGAAGGTGTGAGGTGGAAAGTTATAATGGTTAAAAAATGTAAACATAGGACAAATTACGTACACTGATGATGAAATTAAATCTGTATTTATATAGAGAACGGAAGAAGAATGATCTGGAAGCAGCTATGAGGAGAAAGGAAGATTTTAAACCCCAGTGCAGGCCTGGTGGTATGAAGGGTACAGAAAAGACAAACAAAGCTGTGACATGGGAATGTTATATAAGCATTGTCCTTAGGGGACTGAGAGATTTTAATATAATAACTATTGATGCTAATCTTTAAGATGATGGTACGGTAGCCAGTACTTTCAAATAAGATCTCTTAACCCCATTAATTTTGTGCCACTTGTGAATATAATGTTACAAGCAATAAACTTAAGGCAGTCTAACATACTGGCAAGATTTTAGGCTCTGGAGGAGGAGCAGGCTGAATATGGTTTTCATTATTTTATATGACAAATGCATGACCTTGGACAAGTTGCTTAATGTTATTATGACATTATGATTTAGATAAACAGGCTTTAGAGCCTGAAGTTTTAAAGGTGCATCTATATATCTCCTCAAAGTTCTTTTTATAGTTCCTTAGTCACCTTGATACTTGGGAGGCATAAGGGGAAGATTTCCTTATTTTGGGGATTGAAATGGGGGACCAAAGTGTCTCATGAAAGTAACTTTGAAATACTCAGGCAATCACATATCTTAACAATGGCAGTGAGATCAGGCTTCTCTGAGAATATCCTTTTAGAAAGACAGAACTGAATATTTTGAGAACACAAAGACTCCATGTCCCCTGGTGAGATTATTTCAGCACACTTCACACATTTGATAGGAAAATCCTCATAGCAAAGATTCTGTGAGATGAGCCACAGCAATGGCTTCAAATCTATTTTTCTGGTCATCTTAGGGGTCAAAAGCAAGTGCTGAATTGTTCACATCAACAACATACCAAGTATGGAAAAATAACAAAGCCATTAATTAGAGAACATTCTTGCTTTAGCCAGGAAAAAAATTGAACTTGGTGGCCTTAGAGGTACTGAGGCATAATTCCAATTTTCTGCGTATATTTTTATGTTTATTTACTTTTTCCTTTTTTGTGGATTTATTCTCTGCTACTCTTTAATAGACACACTCTGAGTGTGTCTACTATTGTAATGTATCTCAAATTGTTTTAAGACAGAGCAAAAAATGAATTGATATATTTCACTATTCCTAATTGAATAAGAAAAGTATAGTATTACAACCACAAACACAAAACAATTAAGAGTGCTAGAAAGATTTTTTGTTTGTTTTTATTCAATGTAGAATATAGTCACTCAAAATATTAATACCTATTGTGCCTATAAAAGTATGTCTGAGTCCATAAGCCAAAAAGAAATGCCTTCTTTAAGGAATTTAAGGCATGTAACTCCGAATTTTAGTAAACAATTACAATTTCCCCTGGAGTTAAATAACTGGATTTCTATTATTTCACCTACGTTTAATGTTCCTATCCACTTAATTACCTAAGCCAAAAATTGTCTGCTGTTCTACTCTGAAAATAAATTTGGCAAGAGTAAAATTAATGCAAACCCATAGCAATTTTTCATCTTAAAAGCTGTTACCTTTCTCCATCACCACAATAACTGCTTCATTTTAAGCTCACACTTGGATCATTAAAAATACCCCAGAAGTGGATTTTTTTTGCCACCTTGTCCCCTGACTTCTGATGACTACACTGTTCATAGAGAGTTATAAAACATAAATCAATCCTCTGTTTAGAACATGCTGGTTGTTTTTGAGCTAAGTTATGCAAGATGCTGCAGGTTTTGGGTTTTACCATAGTTTGCATTTTATATTTTATAATGTTGTCTGTGTTTTTCCAATATATATCACAGCCACACATATTGTATTTCTGGAATTTCCTTCCCTTTTTATTCTCATTTTTCTAAAACACACATCATTGGTCAAATTAACTCTTCCAACCTCAGCCTGGCATCATTTTCAGCTGGAAGCTTTCTTTCTTTGAGTAAATAAATTAGATGTATATTCTCTATTACCATATCTTAAACACAGCAAAATAAACTTAGCAGTTTATCTCCACCACAAAGTCTCAAGTAAATCTAGCTCAACACTTATAGAAAGCTTTCAGGCAGAAAGAAGAAGATAGATAAAGTAGGAAAAAAAAATAAACACAGTGAATTCAGGACCTGAACCTTAAGGCTGCATTGTGAATATGGACAGAGCACGGACCTAATATTTTACACAGGCTATGGTGATTTTTCATATTTTTAAATAATGACTTTTTGTATAAAAGTGATGTTCACCATAGACTTACAATAACTTTCAGCAACTGCAACATTTATTCAGTGAGTTTTGCCATTTTATATCAATAGTCATCTTATTTTATGTGCTAAAATGCTATTTAAATATATAACAGCCTGGGTGTGGTGGCTTATGTCTGTAATCCCAGCACTTTGGGGTACCAAGGTGGGAGAATCGCTTCAGGCGAAGTTGGAGACCAGCCTGGCCAAGAGAACAAGACCTCATGTCTACGAAAAAAAATAAAAAATAGCCAATAATGGTGGCACATGCCTGTGGTCACAGCTACTTGGGAAACTGAGGTGGGAGGGCTGTAGTGAGCCATTATTGCACCACTGCACCCCAGATTGGGTGACAGAGCAAGGTCCTGTCTCTAAAATTTACATATATATATGTATATATGTGAGTGTGTGTATAATTTTGGTAATTTTATACATACATGGTTGTATACATGGTTTATGGCTTTTTATGTACATTAGGTTATATATATGGTTATATTTCACAGAAAAAATAACTGTTTCTCTGTGAAAATATGAAAATATCCCTCCAATGTTATTTTTCATAGTTTTCCAATTTTAGCAAAATTTAGTTTCTTTTCAATTTGTACTATTCTTTTAACGTAAAAGTGAATAAAATATATTTTTAAAATAGGTTTTCTTTGAATAATAGAAACTATTTGATATGTAACTAAAATTAAGGAATTCACTTGTTCCTTATTGCTAATTTTAAAATTACTGATTAGATACTCTTTTTCTGAAAAGTGGGTATCTAATCATAATATTTTATTACTCTTGTCTGATTTATTTTTTCTTCATAGACTTGCTAATAATTTTTATTATAAAAATCAGCTTTCTAGGCTGGGCGTGGTGGCTCATGCCTGTAATGCCAGCACTTTGGGAGGCCGAGGCGGGCGGGTCATGAGATCAGGAGATTAGAGAGCAGCCAACATGGTGAAAACCCATCTCAACTAAAATACAACAACAACAACAAAAAAATTAGCCGGGCATGGTGGCGCATGTCTGGAGTCCCAGCTACTTGGAAGGCTGAGGCAAGAGAATCGCTTGAACCCGGGAGGCAGAGGTTTCAGTGAGCCGAGATCGCACCACGGCACTCCAGCCTGGGCGAGAGAGCAAGATTTCATCTCAATAACAACAAAAATCAGCTTTTTAATAGTTTCATTTTACATAACTCCAAAATGAATATTCAACATTTTCTAGTGATCAGGAGGTACTTTTTGTTCTTTGGCATGTCTATTGAACAAGAATATGCAAAAATAGAAGGTTTGCTCTTTTTTTCTTTTTACCTGATCTCCTCCTACCCCAGGGAAACTGGAAAGAATAACTAAGGGTATGTTTTCTAATAATGAAATAGCAATGAACATTCAGGTAGTGTAACTTATGCAGCTTTTCAAATCAATTATTGTTGCGTTCCTGTGCCCTAAGCCTCAAAAGACTAATGATACTGAACAGAAAACGTCGGCAGATATTTACCCACACACACATACATGCACACACACACACACACACACACACATGCTTGATAGATAGAATGAAATGGATTCAAACCATAATTTTGTAGCTATTCCTTCATTAATGAATCCATTTCAAAAATACGTATTATATGTGTAATATGTCTGGCAAATGAATAATTATAGAGAGACAAAAATCTCTGCCTCTACCTAAATTACATTCTGGTGCAGATGGTATTTATTAACCACATATTTATGTGTGTAAATATATTTAAAGACTGTATTAAGCGCTATGTAGGAAAAGAGTAGAGTACCATGAATGCAAATAAAGGGACTTGACCTAGCCAAGGCAATCAGGGAAAGTTTCCCTGACGGAATGATGTGAGGTTAAGGCCTAAAAGGAAGACGACAAAAAAATAGCAGATGAGTAGGGGCATATTAAGTAGATGAAAAAATACAGTGTCTGGAGACTAAAGGAAAGGCCAGTTTGGTCATGACATTCTTATGCTATGTTGAATATCTTTTTTTTTTTTTCTGGGAGCAATAGTAAAATATGATCTGATATTTATTCATTGTTGGCTGCCCATGGTCTGTTTTCCATAATTCTGGCAACTGCCACAGTTTTCATTTATGAATCCCTATCATTAATCCACAAGGCTCAATTCCCTTGACCTAAGGGTATGTGATACTATGCAAAGCCACTACTCATCTGCTATTTTTTGTCATCTCCCCTTTTAGGCCTTGACTTAATATTGTTCCCTCAGGGGAAACTTTCCCCGATTGCCTGGACTAGGTCATGTCCCTTGATTTGCATTCATGGCACTCTACTCTTTTCCTACAAAGTGCTTGATACAAACTTTAAATATATTTATGCACATAAATATTTGGTTAATAAATACCATCTGCACCAGAATGTAATTTAATTAGAGGCAGAGGTTTTGTCTCTATATAATTATTCCTGGACTTTAATATACTGGACTTTAAAATATATTGGTCAAGGTAGATTTTGACCCTGTGCAGCTGTATGGATAGTTATTATTTAATAATTGTGGAACAATAGATACAATATATATGGAATAGATTTTGAATTGAGTTTTAAGTGTGTTGTAAGTGGAGTTGCTATAATAAAACTATATATATATATATATATATATATACACACACACACATATATATACATTTTGAAGTTACTATACTATAAGATAAATAAAGTCAGAGAATAGAATGAGAAAAACAAATCTAACATTCAGGAGCCACAACATTTAAGGACAATAGAGGGAAAATGTATATTACAACAAAAAAGAATGAGAAAAAATTCTATCACTGCTTGTAAGTTGCTAAGTTTGGCAGAAGGAGGTTGGAAAACCCTTTTCTGATATTTCTATTTCCTTCTTAAAGGAGGAATCAAAGACATCTGCTGAAAGTGAAAAGGTTAGGTATTTGAAGAGAATGGAGAAATTGGAAATAATCTATAGAAATATATAAAACAATTCATCAATATCTTAAGCTAAACCTACTAGAAACTTGTATGTGCTTCATATGTTTTCATTTCTATGAAGTGACAAAAATAGGCAAATCTATAGAGTACCTATATTATGGTTGCTTAGATTAGGAGTTACGAGATTGTCTGTGTGAGAGAATAGGGAGTAACAGCTAATGGGTAATTTTTTAAGGGAGATAACAATATTTTAAAATGAGATTGTGATGATGCTTACTCAAACCTGTGAATATAATTGGAAACATAGAATTTCACAATTTACATAGATGAAAGTATGATACATGAGTTGTATCTCAATAAAGCTCTTCGAAACTAAACAAAATAAACTAACGCAGGGGTGCGAATATAATCAATGTTCAGTAAATGTTTATGTATTCAGTGCTGCAGAATCAACAACTCCACATAATGGTACATTGTAATTATAAGTTATTTCTACTTGCTTTTTGAATAACACAGTCTCATATTAACCTACTATAAGATGTTAAATTGTTTATTCAAGCAAACATCTGACTCTTTGTTTTACATAAAGTACATCATCAATGCTTATTTTATGTATTGCCTTTAAGGATGTGAAAATATCCTAATATACAAAATTAAATAAATGTGTGCTTATTACTGCACCAAGTCCTATATGGTGGGGGGAAGGCTGGGAAAAAAAAAGTCAAGATAATGTTCTTGAACTGAAGAAGAGTGTATTTAAAACAGAAAAGCTATATATAAAACGGGAACAAATTTAACAATATTTAATAATAAATCGTTAAATTAAATTAAATCTGGCCTGAGGCTCCAGTTCATAGGGACTCTGAGTCCCTATGTAAGGAACTGCATCTAACTCAGTACATAAACTAACTAAAAACCTAACTGAGGAGTATACTTTTGTAACAAATAGCTGTCTCAGCCAATAACACCAGCTAAGCTTTAATCAATCATAGGCAGCCAACTGATCAGACCATGTTCAAATAAGGCAAACCCCCAAGCTGTAACCAATCAGGCTGTTTCTGTAACTCACTTCCATCTTCTTTCCACAAATGTTGCCTGCCTATTGCAAAACAGAGCTCTATGAACCTCTTCTGGTTCCGAGGGTTGTCTGATTCATGAGTAGTTCTTTGCTATAATATTCTTGTATCGGTTAGAACCCCAAGAGCATGCCAACAGACAACACGAGGCGGTGTGGAGCAACATGCTGTTTTGATGAGCACCTAGGTGCCCCAAGTGAGGATAGGGCAAAGGTTTTATAGTCTCCTGTAAACAGGAAGTGTCCTAGTCTGACATAACTGCTACATTGTACCTGGATGGCCTCTTTCTAGATCTTCAGATCTTCAGGGGTACGTGTCTTCCGGCCAGGGTGGTGTCTTTCAGCTGCCTGTCTTCCTGCTGCTTCTTCTTGCTGACGCTCGCTGCTGATGCAAGTGGTCTTGCACCTTGGGACTGGGCCTGAGAAAGGAGGAATTATTCTTCTCCTTAAGCTTTCAGACCCCAGGGAGAATCTTACATTCCTGTCTATTTGGTTATAGAAAAAAGGGAAAAGGGGCGACTTTCTCAATAACTACTTCAGGGGTAACATTGGGGTGGAGTAGGCACCTTGGAGAAAGAAAAACTTAATTTTTGTTGTATTCTTGAGAGACGGGTTTGTATCTATCATGCCGTTGTAGCACGAGCATCATCTGGATTGTCTGCTGATTAAGTGTAGGTTCAACAAGAGTTGTAATGGCTTTTATTATCAGTGGGATAATACGGGAGAAACAGGAGGAGCTCAGTGATTACTGTCCCTACCAGCATTTTAAATCCTCCTAAATTGGAGAACCACCCTCCTAGAAGGTTTGTTGGGTCCTATCCCTTCCAGGTTTGGACTGGTAAATGAGCTACTTTTCTGATGTTTGAAGTGATTTCCGGAACCACTTTTCCACTATCGTCTAACTTTAGGACAGCAATCAAAGACATTAAACATACCACAGACTCCACCCTCTTCTGCTAATAAGTAGTCTAGTGCTAACCTGTTTTGATAAATTGCTGCACGCGTTTGGTTTTGTTATTGTGTGACCATTTCTACGGCTGAGGCGGTTTGGTTAGTGATTATCTCTAGAACAGCCTGTAGTCTAATTATTCTATTTAGCATATATATAGGAGTGCAATAACCCCATGAACCATCCTCAGCTGAAGTGGCAGGACTGTTCTACTCGATGATCCATTGTGGAGGTCATTCATCCCCTTGCCATCTTTGGCTTCCTCTTACCTTTAAGGATCATTTTTCTTTGTTTAGGTTATTACATACAGGGACTCCAAGGGTGTTACCCGCTGTTAATGTTTTGGAGGAAGGGGTAGCCTTGGGGGTGAGCTTTACCCTGGTGTGATGGACCCAGTTAGGGAGTCCTTGGACTCTCTCTGCAGTTGGCGTGCTGAGTATCACAGTGTAGGGGCCTGTCCATTTCAGTTGTAGCCTTTGGGTGAGGGTCGGGCAGATAAACATGTCTGTGCCTGCAAAAAAGTTATGTTGAGAGGACAAGGAGGTGTCAACAGGGATAGGCATGGCCTCATCTCCTACTTCACGAATGAAAAACTGTGTCTGGATTAAGGAGGAGAGGTAATTCCTGAGTGGCTCAGAGTCTGGTAAGGGTGGAGGCCCCAAGACAAAAGTTCTGCCATACATGATTACAAAGGGACTATAAAAAAAGTATGGCTTTGGTGTTGCATGGAGTGTCATGAGGGTGAAAGGGAGATTTTTTGTCTACAACTGGTGGGTTTCTAGAGCCAGCTTGGTGAGTTGGGCTTTAAGGACAGGGTTCCTTTTTTCAACTTTGCCTGAAGATTGAGGCCTGTGGGGTGTGTGGAGAACCTACTTTATTCTTGAGGGTGTAGAGACACCTTGGGTAATTTGGCTGATGAAGGCGGGCCCATTATGGGACTGGATGGATGTTGGGAGTCTGAAACTGGTAATTACATGCATGATGAGAGTTTGTGTGATGATATTTGCACCTTCTAAAGTTTGTTGGGAACGCTTCTACCTACCCGGAGAAAGCACAGACAAAGACTAGAAGATAGCAGAGCCATTTATCAGGAGGCAAGCGAGTGAAGTCTACTTGCCAATCTTGACCAGGTATCTGGCCCCAGGCTTGGTGAGTAGGAAAAGGTGGCAGCTGGAGGGAGTGCTGGGGTGAAACTGAGTGGCAGATAGAGCAGGACTGGGTGATTTCTCAAACATGGCTGGAAAGGTAAGGACAAGTGGAATAGGGCAGAGAAGTTGCAAGAGAGGTTTTTAACCAACATGGAAAGAGTTGTAGAACCTTTGGAGGTGAGGAAGGCCTTGAGAGTGAGGAAGAATGAAGCGCCCTTCCTTGGCATACCATGGTCCTTGCTTTTGAAGGTTTTGGGCTTGGAAGTCCTCCTTTTCTTCTGAGGAGTAAAGAGGTGAGAACAAGGACAGGGACAGAAACTGGCTTTGCACAGGTTGTAGGGCTACTTGCTTGGCTACCTGATCTTCTAGTGCATTTCTAGCTGATATAGGATTGTCTGGCATTTGGTGGCCCCTGCAATGAATGATGGCAACCTTCTGTGAGAGTCTAGTAGCTTGGAGGAGCTTTCTGATGAGGGAGCCATTTATGACAGGGAGTGTTTTTTTGTAGTTAGGAAACTGGTTTTTTCCAGATAGACGAGTGTGAGTGTACTATATGGAATACATAATGAGAACCTGAATATATGTTAATTTGTTGTCTGGCTGCTAGAGTGAGAGCTCGAGTGAAAGCAACGAGTTCAGCTTTTTGGGAGGTGGTACCTAGAGGGAGCAGATTGGCTTCAATAGTGTGTGTTGGGGGTGACACTATAGCATAACCAGCATGCGAGCATCCTTGATGTAGAAAGGAGCTGCCATCTATAAACCAAATAAAGGAGGCATCTGGAAGGGGTTGGTCTGTTAGGTTTGGAAAAGGTATAAGAAAGGTTTGAAGAGTGTTCACACAGAAGTGTGTAGGGTGTTGGGTGGTTGTAGCTTCAGGTAAGAGCATGGCCGGGTTTACATGGGAGCTGGTTAGCATGGTGATTTGGAGGCAGGCAGGCCATCTGAGAACTGTGGTTTCAAGCTGTTTGGAGAGGTAGGTGATAACCTGGAGGTTGGACCCCTTAGACTGGGTTGGAGCACCTAGTGCAACTCCACGCTGTTTGTTGGTATAGAGGGAGAAAAGCTTGGTGAGGTCTGGGAGAGTGAGGATGGGGGCTGAGATGAGATCCTTTTGGAGAAGACAGAAAGGTTGGGTAATAGGCTGTGCAGGTTTTAAAGGCTCATAGAGAGAGCATTTAGCAGCTTGGTATAATAGTTTGGCAAGTAGAGTGAAGGAGGGAACCCAGAGCCTAAAACATCCCACTAGTCCTAAAAGAGAGAATTTCTTGCTTAGTCTCTGGAGGCAGGAGGGACTGGTGGAGGGATATGTGGTTGGCTGTGAGCCCTCGGGTTCACAGGGTAAGAGCTAGACCTAGACAGTGACTGAGGTGGTGCATATCTGTGCTTTCTTGGGGGAGACCCAATACTCTCTTTCTGCCCAGAAGTTAAAAGAGAGAGATAGTATGGGTGTTGCAGTCTCTTTGAGAAGGGCTACACAGGAGATCATTAACACATCGAAGAAGAGTGGATGGTGTTAGGGATAAAGTACAGAGGTCGCAAGCAAAGACCTGTCTAAAAATGTGGGTGATGCCTCTGAAACCTTGAGTTAGTATGCACCAGGTGAGCTGACATGAAAGGTGGGTGTCGGGGTTTTCCCACATAAAGGCAAAGAGGTTTCGGGAATTAGGGTGTAAAGGAATTGTGAAGAAAGCATCCTTTAAGTTTAGAACAGAAAAATGGGTGGTATTGGAGGGAACTGCAGAAAGTAAAGTATATGGGTTAGGAACTTCTAGACAGCTTGGTTAATGAGCCTGAGGTTCTGGACTAAGCGACAAGTTCCATCTGGCTTTTTAACAGGTAGAACTGGTGTGTTAAAAATGGGAGTTTTTTGGGCGGAGTAGGTGACTGGTGAGGAGGCAAGAAACGATAGGCTGTAGGCCTATGAGAGCTGCTTGGGGGATGGAATACCGCTTCTGTGATAGGAACTGGGTGGGCTCTTTAAGGATAATGTGGACGGGGAGTGTGGTGTTCTGTGACTGAAGGTGTGGAAGTATCCTAAACAGAGGGGTTAACTACGGATGGGGGAACAGGAAAAGTTGCATGTTTTAAGGTGGGAGGTTGGAGGGGTAGAAGAAAGTTAGAAGCCCCAGAGGGGTCTGGGTTGATGCGTTGGGTACTATGGGGAACGTGGAAGTGGAGAATAGTGTGGGGTTTTGGAAGGATGTCTCTGCCTAGGAGTGGAGTTGGACATGAGGGCAGGACTAAGAAAGAGTGAGTGAAGGAAAAGGTGTGAAGGGAGCAGAAGTGTGGAGGGGGGACTTGGGGTTTCGAGTCTTGTCCATCAATTCCCACAACAGAGACTTGGGAGGACTGGGTGGGTCCTGAAAAATTAGGTAAAGCAGAGTAGGTTGGTCTGGTATTAATGAAAAAACATACTGGCCTACCTGCCACCATCAGGGTTACCCTTGGCTTGGATGAAGCAATGATACTTGCCGGGGCATCTGTTCCAGGGCACTGTCAGTCTTCAGTGGCAAGGCCGATGAGATCTCAGTAGGAAGTTTTCGCTGGCTTGGGAAGGGATGGGGGCAGTCCTTGCAGGGGCTGCTCACAGTCCAACTTCCAGTGAGGTCCTCCACAGAGGGAGCACAGCCTGGTGGGCTTACCCGGGTTTGGGCATTGTCTGGACCAGTGGCCTTCACTGCCACACTTGAAATACGTGCCAGATGGAGGTGGATTTCTAGGAGGCTTCCGCGTGGAGCTGCAGCCCTGTGGGCCTGCAGGGCCCCTGATGGTGTAGGCAAGCATTTGAAACTCTGTCTGTTTTTGCCTCTTTCTTTCCTCATTATGATTGTTAAAGACTTTGAAGGCTAAATTAAGAAGGTCTCGTTTTGGGGTTTGAGGGCCGTTGTCAAGCTTCTGAAGCTTGTGCTGAATATCGGGGGTGGATTGGGAAATGAATCAAAGGTTTAAGGTGGTGGTTCATTCTGGGCTGACTGGTTCTAGGTTCGTATACTTTCTCATGACTTCAGTTAAATGAGAGAGAAAAAGCGCTGCGTTTTCATCAGGACCTTGGGTGATTTCTGAAAGTTTTTCATAGTTTACTGCTTTATGGGTACGCTTTTTGAGTCCTGCTAGGAGACACACAATCATGTGGTCTCGACGGTGGCCTCCAGAGGCCCCATCTTGATAGTCCTGGTGGGGGTCCTATTTGGGGACTGCCTCTATGCTAGTAGGCTGGGCAGGGGCCTGGTGATGAATGGTATCAACATGTGCCTGAGCTAGGGTCCACTTACAGTCTCAGTCTTCTATGGTGTGGATGGAAGAGAGGATTATGTAGAGGTCATGCCAGGTTAGTTCATAAGACTTGGTAAGGTACTGAAATTCCCTAATTTAAAAGGTAAGGTCTTCTGGAAATGAACCGAGTCTTTTGTTAATTTGAGAGAGATCAGTGAGGGAGAAGGAAACATGACTGCTAACAATACCTTCAGCTCCTGCTACTTCCCAAAGGGGACATTCTGGCACTGGCCCTGAAGTAAGGGTGGGTCATGGGGCCAAAGATGGCACCTGAGCGAGTATGGGTGGGAGAGAAGGAGAAACCTGGAAGTGGTTCCTGCTGCAGGTTTGAAGGGGGAAGTGGGTTGAGTTAACAGGCAGTGGAGAATACATAGGGGTGTAAGGTGGCAGGATGGGTTTACAAGCCTCAGGAGAGGGCAGTGTGGGAGGAGAATGGGTACAGGCAATACTAGAATTGTCCTGAGGAGGGGACAGTGTAGGAAAAGAAGTGGATACAGTTGACTGGGAAGATGGCAGCTGAGAAGATGGTGGCTGGGAAAATGGCAGCTGGGAAGGTGGCGGCTGAGAAGATGGTATCTGGGAAGATGGTGGCTGATACGATAAAGAGGAGGCTTTGGGGGGTTAAAGAAGATGGTTGAGAGGGAGAGGTAAGTGCTGGGAGGGGTGGGCAACAGTCTGCTGGATCTAACGAGGAAAAGGAGGTAGGGTCCGGAGGAGAAAGAGAGGAGAAAGGATCAGGGCAGTAAGAATGGAGGAGAAGAATTTGAACAGGTGAGCAAGAATTGCAGAGGTCAGGTTGTGATCTGAGTGCAAAAAGGCCTCGACATAAGGAATTTCTCCCCATTTCTTCAGTCTTCGGCAATAATTGCTTAAATCAGTTAAAATTGTAAAGTCGAATGTTCCATTTGCAGGCCATTTGGACCCATTATCTAGTTTGTATTGTGGCCAGACTGAATTGCAAAAAAAGACAAGGAGCTTAGGGTGGATAATTTGCCTGAAGCCTAAGGTTTGCAGGTTTTTTATGAGGCAGTCTAGAGGGCAGTTTTTTGGAATGGAGGACTAGGAGTTTCCCATAACAGAAGGTAGGCTCAGAAGAATAGGGAAAAGGAGACCGTCCTGGACGGCCAGAGGGAGATGATAAAAGGAGCAATTGTAACTGCTGCCTTTTTCATTCCTGGAATGGGATCAAATGGCTTAGAGGCTAAGAACAAATGATCAGCGAGTGCATGGCACACCCTGGAACCTTCTTGGACCAATGTTAGATTTTTGGACCAGAGAAACCAACAGAGGCCATGTGGAATTTTCCCTGTTAACCGGGCTCCTGGGGAAACTTAACAGTAGGCGAAGTCAGTGACCGACATGTATGCATGCAATGGCGACTGGAGGCTGAGGAGCTTCCTTTATCGGGCTGCTGTGGCCTGCTCTCCAGGGTGGAGGGGTAGGTCCATGAGGGACGCAGACCTGAGCCCCTCCCAGGTTTTGGCGTGAGATGTAAGGCTCTTGTATTAGTTCGAATCCTGAGAGTGTGCCAACAGAAAACACAAGGTGGTGTGGAGCAACATGCTGTTTTAATGAGTGCCTGGGCGCAGGCAGGCTGAGGCCTAAAATGGAGTCAGCCCCAGGTGAGGACCAGGCCAAAGTTTTACAGTCTCCTGTAAACAGGAAGTGTCCTGGTCTGACATAACTGCTACGTTGTACAAGGACAGCCTCTGTCTCAATCTTCAGGGGTACCTGTCTTCTGGCCAGGGTAGGTGTCTTGGGCCGGCTCTCTTCCTGCTTCTTCTATCTTGCTGACGCAAGTGGCCTTGTGCCTTGGGACTGGGCCTGTGAAGGGAAGAGTTATTCATCTCCTTAAGCTTTCTGGCCGGGGGGAGAATCTTACATTTGCTAAATTAAATGGTTTTAAATTTAATTTGTCTAAAGTTTTTTCTTTTAATGTAATATAGCATTGAATGTTTGGTTCAGAGAGAGCACGCTATAGAGCTCCAAAAATATTGTGAGTTTTGTTGTGCTCCATTGGAAGGTATTCAAAACTCAGTGTGCTTCCTTATGCCCTGCAAGAAAACAAAACAAAACTAAACTAAACTAAACAAAACGTAGATAGTCAGTTTCACTCATCCTGGCTTTTTATTTTTCAATTTTTGAGACAAGATCTCACTCTGTTGCCCAGGCTCGAGTGGGGTGGTGCAATTATATTTCACTGCAGCCTCTAACTCCTGAACACAAGTCATCATCCCACTTCATTTTCCTAGGTAGCTAGGATTGCAGGAATGAGCAATCGCATCTGGTCACCAACTCTTTACGTGACTGCTTCTCCAAAAGTTTGTTTGGATGTTGACACTGATGATGCTACAGGTGCACGAAAAGGTTATAAAATGTTCCCATAATAAGACTTACATGGGATGCAGAGCTGACTTCCCAAACAGGTGTGAAAAGGATTTGAGAGATCCAGGTAAAAAGTGATTTGGAGTTTTTAAATATTTAAAGGGCAGAGCTGGAATGAGGATTCCTACAGGGGCCTGAACTTACATGATTTGAACTTCTTGCCAGTGCAAAAGGAGAGAGAACCTGGACTTTCTCATCCACTTACCCAGATGTAAGGCACAAGGAGAAGAGGAACTGTGCTTGAAAACCATGAGCAGTCAAACACCACAAAATGGAGTCAGCCACTTCATTACACCTCTGATGTACAATAACCAAATTATTTTCCATGGTGCCCGAACTCTCTACTTAAAGGTGAGAGACATGAACAGTCCACATGATCCCAGGATGTGGAAATAGAAGTGGTGGCAATCAACTTTGAGAAAGTGCCTGACAGCTCTAAAGGAAGACCTTGGTAGGAATTCTGGAGGCACTATTTCAGCAAATGGGACTGAAGAGGGTAGAGTCTTTGATATTTCTGAAGTCATACATTTTGAATTGATATAGAAATTTACTGATAATCCCTGAATATGTTTTAAAAGTTGGAGAGTGAAATGATTGAAGACATCAAAAGCCAAGGCTTTACATTAGTTATTTATTCTTTATAGTAGGTATACAGATAAAGAAAGAGATCAGTAATTTGGTTTGAGTATAACTTGCTTCAGGAAAAAAAAATGGTTAAAACTTATTAGTACTTTCTATCTGGAAGAAGACTTGTCCTAGGTCTTAACTGACAAGAGGATTTTGTTCCAAATTTCCCCTAAACTTGTCAACAAATCTTTTTTGAACTATAGGCATGACAAAATGAGGTAAATATGGAAAAGGTTAATAGAAAGGCAAAACTATTTCTGATAATGTTAAAATAGAAGTTTAACTTGTACATTTTAAAACTTTCCTTCAAGTTTACATTTATTTCAACAATGGCTTCTTAAAATTAGCTTAACTTTAATTGATTTGAATATCAGTACTTATTTTATAACCTCACAGAAGCAGTAATTAAGCTTTGGAGTTTTCACAGGTAATGTGTAAAAACGATGACTATATTGGATACCAATCAATTGCTATAGGGACACCAATCAATAGTTTCCAACATCTTTTGGAGATCCAAGTAGAGTCATATTCATAGCATATTTTGTAAAACAAACAAACAAACAAACAAACAAACAGGTCATTTCATCCTACTGGACACCAATATTGATTGATTCAATGATACTAACTTTCAGGAGTATTGATGGGAATTTGGATTCACAGGGGCTTTCTTTCTCTTGCTGTTGGTGGAATGTTAAGCAGAAATCAGGACTGCCATTGCTGCATACATTAAGCTACCATAAGAGAAGCCAGCCTGAAATAAAAAGCCCCTATGTTAAGGAGAAACGAATCAGAGAATCCATGAAATTAGTGATAGCACACTAATCACACCATGTTTTTGGTGACTTGCAACCGGTAGTTGTTGTCCCTTGTTCAACGATACAGAAAGAGTTGATTATATCACTTGCTGAGGGTGGCTAAAACATTAGAAGACCAAGGTGAAAAAAAAAAGAAATGCTAAAGTGGTTCAGTTTGTTGCAGCCGACAGTGAAAAACATTATACTTGCTTTCAAACTACTTCTGTAGAAGCACAGAGAGAAGAAAAATCAATCCTTCCTAAAACAGATACTCTTTTTTTGAGATTGTCAATTAATCATACTCAAAACTGTGAATATAATAAAGCAGAGACTTGTAAGGTTAGAAAAACTGAGTTTTTAATCATTACAGATCCAAAGCATAAAGTGGGAGAAAAAGAAAATATATATAAAAAATAATATTTTACTGGTTTTATTTCAGTAATAATGAAGATTTTAAAAAGTGGTTTAATTTTATTATTAGTATTTAGGATATCTTCATTTTGTTTTTATACTTTGAAATTTTATTCAATGTGTATGAAATTTAATAAAATATTAAAAAATAAAATTTTCATGCCCAATTATGTATAGAATATGACAGTAAACCATGTAAGCAAAAGATATTCATACAGAAAATTTGGAAAGACATATTCCAATATGCATGTGTGACTGTGCCTATTTATGTTTATGTGATACGTATATGTTTGTAAATGTTTTACTGATTTTTGAAACTATATTTATGAATATATCTTTCCCTCATAATCATAAAAACCATACAGTCTCCAGACCGTACTTAGGAAAATATTTAAATATTTCCTTTTTAATGGATCTTGTTGATTTTACTTATTTATTCTCCTATTTTTAATTATTTCTAATTTAGTTGACTTAATGGTAATAACCATAATAGCAAATACAGCATATTCAAAGTTAATAATTATTAATAATGCTTTCTGGCAGGTTTTTATAGAAAACATATTAAGGTTGTCAAGTGAATTAATTTTTCCCTCAAAAGTGGTTTTTGGAGCACAGAGAAAACAATAGGTGTTTATTTCCTCATATGAATATTTTAAGCTACTCAATTCATTAAAATCATGAATGCAAAATGTAGTTTTCCTTAAGTGTTTTACGTTCATGTTCTAAATGTATTTACATTTTTAATTTAAAAAATTAAAAGAAATAATGTAGAGATCTTAAACTATTAGATCAATAAGTTGAAATGATTACAATTTTTGAAATATTTGGTTCATTTTACAACTTAATTAAATTCCCTTAAACACTTAAGGGAATTTGGATATTAAATACATTTGGATATTAAATGTATTTAGTGTTTGTTTTTTAAATGACTATCAAGGCAGTTACTAATCAAAATAATTTTCCTAGCAACTTAATTATTCTCGTGAATTAATACTGATGTTACGGTTCTAGAAAATCAAGTGCTGTCAAACATTTGGTACTATTAAAATTTACTGTATTCTTTTATATCTTGTAAATGAAATCACATGTCTAAAATGATGCATCTTTAATTGTAATAAAAAGGCCAAATATTACATAACAGATATCACAAATATTTTAAACATCTAATAAGTACAGATTGTCCCAGGAATTAAAAATATATCTTTAAACTTGCCACAGATGTCAATATCATGGAATAATTCTAATTCAATTTGGATTTAGAAAAACAATTAGTTGCAAAAAAAATAAAATAAGTTTTTCGTTTGCTTATCTGTTGTTTGTTTCATTTTGTTTTCATTTCATGCCTGTTAAAGTTATAAGTATGTTTCAATCTCAAATGGATTTCATTTTATGGTGCAGGGATTCAAATTTAGGCCCATGTGTCAAATCCAACCAAGAAAATGGTTTTGTACTCCCCACAAGATAAGGTTTCTAAAATTTTTCAGTAATTGGGAAACACTTTTATAGCATTAAAAAATCATATGCAATTTAAATTTTAGCATTCATAAATAAAGTTTCAGTAAACATCTCTGCATGTGTTGCCTGTTACTGATTGGAATTACAATAGCAGAGTTGAGTAGTTGTGACAAAGAATGAATGGCTTGCAAAGGTGAAAGTAGTTGCTATATGACTATTTGTAGAAAATATTCCGACCACTGGGCTTCTGATTAGAAATTTCAGCCTGAGATGAGAAGCTGGGAATTATTCTTTTCATCCCAGAAATAAAAATGCTAAGCCCATTTTCTTTGTCATTGATGAAGAGGGGTTTGTTTTAAAAGACTCAACCTGTGAGTTTTTTAACAAGATATTTCCATTTTAAAGCCCAGCTTGGATTAAAAACAAACAAAACAGACAAAAATACTTGGATTTCCATTTAGGTAGTTTCACATCTAGATACAAATCATGTGTTTACTGGTTTATTCTCATATCTGCGATATCCCCTCATGTACTAATCCTCAGGGATTAATACCCTTATCAAGGAGACCCAACGAAGCTTTTTCGTTTCTTCCATCATGTGAGGACACGGCAGGAAGTCGCTATCTATGATCCAGAAAGTTGGCCCTCACCAGATACCAAATCTGACTTGATCTTGGACTTTCCAGCCTCCATAACAAAATAAATGTCTGTTGTTTATAAGCTACCTTGTTTAAGGAATTTTGTAATACCACCCAAATGTACTAAGACAGTATCTAAAGAACCAAGTTAAAGTGACTTTTTGCTGTATCAGAGGTGAAATACTTTGTAATTTTTCGGCATTTGGAAGAAAATTAATACAAACAGTCCGGGCACGGTGGCTCACGCCTGTAATCCCAGCACTTTGGGAGGCAGAGGTAAGCGGATCACCTGAGGTCGGGAGTTTGAGACCAACCTAGACAACATGGTGAAATCCCGTCTCTACTAAAAATACAAAAATTTGCCAGGTGTGGTGGTGGGCGCCTGTAATCCCAGCTACTCAGAAAGCTGAGGCAGGAGAATCGCTTGAACCCAGGAGGCAGAGGTTGCAGTGAGCCAAGATCATGCAGTGGCTGCACTCCAGCCTGGCAACAGAGTGAAACTCCGTCTCAAAAAAAAAAAAAAAAATTAATTAAGCACAAAAACATTAAGTTATGTGGGTTATATTAAATGATTGAAACAGCACTTTTTTTTCTTTAATCATAAGTGTGCAAACTGTTTTTCTTCTGAATGAAATTTGAGAAAAGAAAACATGGAAAATCCTGAAATGGTGTCAGGCTTCTATTTCTCTTACCGGATAAAAGGTAATCTATTTTATCACCTTCTTCTATTGTATGAAAAATATTACGTAAGTAAAATAAAAGTTTCCTCTATAATTTGATCATGAAATGGCGGAGTCAACTTTGTGCATGTTTGTGCTCCTTTTGTTGATTTTTGAAGTTGAATTTGCTCTTTAGAACCTGTTAAAATCGTTTGGGAAAATATTTTTATCTTCAGACTGTTTTCAAGTGAACGAAAGGTATAAAGCAGTTTCCTGAAAGATAGAAGCCGACCATAGTGAAATAAGAATTGAACCTCTCTAGGTTTCCTCCAGCTTTTTGTAATGATATATAACCTCTTTCTGCCTGTGCATACAATGGCAAAGGTAAAACCAGGGAACAGATATATACTCCACCAGTGTCCCCAGGTGATCTGACATTCATTTCTCTGATGCTCTGTAGATGGGCTCTTCTGATAGTGGTAACCAGGCTGTCCTGAACTCAGAAAGATCTCCACGGGGCCACTTGTCTTATTTTCATTTCCCTAAGTTACTCTCTTCCTTCCCTAGAGGCAGATAAGGTGCACAGTTCCTGAGATAATTGCAAACATAGATGTCAGAAAAATGTGGAAAGCAGTGATCATCATAGACAGGACAGGGGAAAGAGTGTGTCCACCTTGTTCAACTAGCCCCATCTTCTCCACATTTGTGGTGGCTTCCAGCAAGTGCTTTGTGGAGGACCCTTGCTCTTCTGATGACTTTCTTATTCACCTCTTTCTGCCTGGGGGCTACTGTGGATCCGTTAAATCTTTTTTCTCTGTTTCCCTGGAATCCTACGTCTTTCTCTTTGCCTTTGTACTACATTGTTAGTCATGGAATTCCATCCACTTATTTTCTCTTTGCTTTATTTTTTTTGAAGGTAAAATTTACAGAATATATGGTTAATGATTTTAAACTGTACAATTCAGTGATATTTAGTGTCTAATTTAGTATTTAATATATTCACAATGTTGTTCAACCACTAGCTCTCTCTCTAGTTCTAAAACCTTTTTATCACTTCATAAAAACATCCAGAGCACATTTTGCAATCAATTCCCACTCAATCCTTTTCCCATTCCCTGGTAGCCTCTAACTTGCTTTTGTCTCTATGGATTTGCCTATTCAGAATACATTATGTAAAAGGAAACATACAATATGTGACCTCATGTCTCTGTTCCCTTTTTACTAACATAATATTTTCCAAGTTCATCTAGTTGTAGCGTGATTGGTATTTTGTTTCTTTTTATGACACAATAATATTACATTGTATGCACATAGCACAATATGTTTACCCATTCACATACTGATGTTCATTAGAGTTGTTGCCTTTTGGCTATATGAATGAGAGTCATTATAAAAATACATGTACACATTTCTATGTGGATATATATTTTTATTTCTCTTGGTATATACCTCAAAGTATTGGGTTATATAGTAATTCTATGTTTAAATTTTTGAGAATCAACCAAACTGTTTTCCACAAATCCTGCATCATTGTACATTCCCATCTGCAAAGTACAAGGATTCGTATTTCTTCACATACTCATCAACACTTATTATTTTTCATTTTCTTCCTTAAAGCCAACCAGTGAGTGTACAGTGCTAGCTCATAGTTTTGATTTTCATTTTCTTAAAGACCAATAACATTGAATATCTATTCATGTACTTGTTGGCCAATAATATATTGTTCTCATCTTGACTAGAATGCTTATGCAAGATCTTTGACCACTTTTAAGCTGGGTTGTTTGGTTTTTTGTTGTTGTTGTTGAGTTTTAAGAGTCTTTTATGTATTCCATTAAATCCTTATCAGATAATGATTTGAAAATATTTCTTCCATACTGCAATTTGCCTTTTCGCATTCTTGATTATATCCTTTGATGTACAAAAGGTTTTTTTTAATTTTGTGAAGTCCAATATGTCTTTGTTTTCTTTTGTTCTTCTTGCTTTTGGTTCCAAATCAAAGAATCCATTGCCAAATCTGAGATCATGAAGATTTGCCCCTATGTTTTATATAAAAGTTTTATAGCTTTTGCCTTTATATTTTGACTGTTCATTTTGAGTAAGTTTTGGTGTGTATAGTTAGGTACAATGAGGTCTGTAATGGTGTCACTTGGCTAGGCTATGGTGATCAGTTGTTTAACACATACCTGTTGTGCAGGTATGTTTTAGATGTGATTAGCACAATAAATAGCCTTTAATTAACGCATATTACCCTCCATAATGTGGATGGACCTGAAGCAATCAGTTCAAGGCCTTTAACTAAAGATTAGGTTTTCTGATAACAACAGAAGATATTCTGCCTCAAGACTGAAATACAGGAATTCGTATTATGTTTTCAGTCTGTTGAACTGGTCTGTGAATTGAGTAAATTTCACATTCAACTCTGCCTGAATCTCCAACCTTTTGCCCTGCCCTAAAAATTTCAGAATTCTCAGCCCCTACAGTTGTGTGAGTTTTTTGCATTTGATTATCCATAATGTTGATGTTCAGTAAATCTTCAGCTTTCCACCAACTGTAGCAACTGAAAGCATTGGCTCTAGAGTTAGACTGCCTAGGTTCAAATCCAGATTCTTTCATTTACTAGCTTGTGATCTTGGAAAAAATATTTAACTCCTCCCTGCCTCAGTTTTATAATCTATAAAATAAGTATCTATATGAATGTGATATTATGAGGGATAAATTCATTTATAAATGAGTATTTATAAATCCCTTATTGCAACGTCCATAATAATTAATATATGTTTTAAATAAAAAAATTCATTTTCTTTTTTTAAAAGAGAATAAGAGTTTCTAGAATTAATTATTAACCAGTTGCTGATATAATTTATTTATTAAATTATTTCTATTTCCTTTTGAGTTATGAAAACTTATTGGTGGATATACAAAATGCATCAACACACAGATGAAATGGTATAAATAAAATTTGTTTGATGAGTAATAGTTAGACTTGGAGAAAAATGTGCACATGTGTTAACACACGTACATACATGTATATGCATATACACAGACACATATACATATGCATATACACAGACACATATAAATGCAATACATACATATAGAATATGTATTCTATACATACATATAGAATATGTTTTGGTACACATGCACCTTCATATAAGACTTTATAAAAATGCATCCAATTTTCATAAGAGAGATTATCTCTATTTGATATTGGGTGAAATTTAATATATTTTTCAAGGTTTTGCCTTTTTAAAATGCTTTACAATCAACACGCAGTGAGTTTAAAATCAATAAAGATAAGAGAGTATATTGATAACCAGATTATTGCAAAGTCTTCATGAGAGGCAGTAGGGTTTTGCTTCGCTTTTTAAAAGATACCTGCTCTATCACATTCCTAGAAGAAAAAATGACAAAGTTGCTTGTTTTTAACTTTATGTACTCCCATTCTCACTATTTTAATGTGACTATACTGTAAAACTAAGCTAATACTGTTCATTTTAAAAATGTAGATGTACATTCTTAAAATTCTGTTGCAAACTTTAAAAAACATTATTGTGAACAAAGAAATAAGGCCTTATCTAGTACTTAACTAGTTAATAACAAATCTGTGTAGTACTTGCTTAGAAACCAAACTTTTAAGTAGAGAACTACGAATTAAGGTGTCCCAGTGATGAGATTTTCTGACGTTGAAAGAAGAGCCGTGTTATGTGTTCACTAGCATAAACATATAGCAAGACTCTGCCTCTAAAATAATTTTTTCAATAAATAAAAAACTAAAAAGAAAGTTTTTTGTGCTAAAACAGAAAGAAGACTAAGTGTTGGCAGCAGGAAAGAAAATAGAGTGCCCAATAGTTATCTTCCTGATGAAATAACTTTGCATAAAATTGTGATTGATCAAAACATATTGAAAGATAGTATTTTAAAAGTTACATTAAAATACATTTCATTTAGTATCCCATAATTAGCAATATACCTCAAGAAAAATAAAAACTAATTTCTAAATGCCTCTGACAAAATCTGAAGCTTGGTATTTAATATTGAACATTTTAATAATTTTTTTGCTTTTTTGTATCTTAATAGACTGTCATTATGTTTAATGTAATCTTTTTTTTCTTTCACTAGCTCTGTTCTCTGAGATCAGAATTTTCTGTATTGCTGAAAATACTCAGTTTTTTTTAATTAACAACAAATGACTAAGTAAAGCATCTTTACATAGAAAGTGGCAGTGCTAAAATTATTTTTTAATGTTTGAATAACAGAAATGTTTCTTTCAAATATGAAGAAACTATCTTCCACCATTACTTATCTAGATCTTCAGCACATTTCATGATGAAAGAGCTATTTACAATGAACTTATCAACTGTGTTGGGAAAATGTTTCATAATTGTTCTCTAAGTAGATGTAAGTCTATGTAATTTCATGGCAACTAAATCATCAGAGTTTTAAAAGTCCCATATATGTTAATGGAGTTTTGTGGAAGAAGCATCATTGCCTTTGAGCTCTACAAAAATTGAGATGAAGATGACAACAGATTCTGTTGAAAAATAAATAAATAAATAATACCACCAGGTTAAGTCTACTAATATGACAAAAATAGCCATCATAAAACCTTCATAATATAAACACTATAAATAACAGATATACTAAAAACAGACACGGAATTAATTTCATAGCTGAATTTGTAAGACAGAATAGAAAACATCCAAGTACCAGGAATACAGACTGCATCAAATGTTTAGGGGTAAATGTGTAGGTTGGCAATGTGGCAGTACTGAGGATGAAACAATAATTTGGCTGAAACAGTAATTTATTTTCTCACAGTTCAGGAGGCTAGAAATCCAAGATCAATGGGCTTTCAGGATTATATTCTGGTGAGGCTTTTGTTAAAGAAAAAAATATTCAGTGATACGTGCTAAAGCATGGTAAGGGAGCCATTATTCAGGACCATCGTGATAGGGATAGAGACTACTGCAAAGTGATTTTTGCAGTGGGGGAGACAGATTGAGCTGAACTCCAAATGTAACATGATCAAATGATAATTTATTGCCGAGGATCAAGGTGGAGGTCAGCAAGTGGAAAATTATTTAGGAATATAATAACATCTGATTAAGGGGAATTTTGAGTAAACTGACGTAGCAGGATTCTTGCTAAAAGTGGATTTTTCAAGAAACTGCACAGATAGGTCTATGGGAAGACTTAGGAGCCCAAGTAAAGCTTAGTCAAGCAAAGAATGATCATTGCTTATTTTCCTTATTTGTAGAGGGCTGTCTTCTGGCTGTGTCCTCACATGACCATTCATCTGTGCGTGCATAGAGAGAAAGAAAGAGAGGGGTGAGGTAGGGAGGGAGAGATCTGGTGTATGTTTTTCTTCTTAAAAGGACACGAAATCTATTAGGTTAGATCACCTTTTGACCTCATTCAACTTTAATTACCTCTCTGAAGACCTGACTTCCAAATGCAGTTTCATTAGCAGTTACAGCATCAACATATGATTTGTGGGAGACACATTTTAGCGCTTAACAATGTGATGACACTTTACGTAGAAACTTCTTGATGCCCATCCACTGTAGACTGAATTTTAAAAAATGTGGTACACCATGGAATACTATGCAGCTATAAAACATGAGGTGGTATCCTTTGCAGCAACGATGGATGGAGCCAGAGGCCATTATCCTAAGCAAATTAACAAACAGAAAACCAAATACCACATGTTCTCATGCATAAGTGGGTGCAAAACATTGAGTACACATGAACACAAAGAAGGGAACAATAGACACTGGGGCTTTTTTGAGGGTCGAGGGTGGAAGAAGTGTGATTGAAAAACAATCTATTGGGAATTATGCTGATTACCTGGGTAACAAAATTATCTGTACACCAGAACCCTGTGAACAGGCAATTTACCCATATAACAAACCTGTACAAGTATCCCTGAACCTAAAATAAAAGCTGAAGGCAAACGAAAAAGAAGAGCAAAGCAAGTGCTATGAAGAAAGACCTGGGCAAATATAAAAACCTGCTCTGCCACCACTGGTAACAATGTTGAATTCTGAAAGAGCACTCACATCAGGCTCTGAGCCACAAACAAAAAAAATGATGCAAAGATTAAAAAACTTTGAAATATGTTTTTGATTAAGAAGACCAACTCCCTGTTGATAGTATTATCAAATCTGGTACCCCTTACCAGGATAGCAATAGCTAGTGAAATCCAAGTACTACCTTGTTGAATCTAAAATATTATAAAAAGTAAAGGCAAGATGCCATTTCTGCTATATTTCACCAATTTTTTGTTGCTCATGTTTTCAAAGATTTAATGACTGGCCACATTACCTTTCTAAGAATTAAAAAATAATAATTAAAAACAGAATCCAAACGTAGTCTTACACAAATATGTTCAATTAATTTTTGAAAAAATTCCCTAGATAATTCAATTGGAAAAAGACAGTCCATCAAAATGTGTGCTGAAATAAATGTATATAGATGTAAAAAAAATCTCAAACTATAGTTACACAGTACATAATAATTTACTCAAATTAGATAATAATAATATGCAAAATAACTTTATTCACTGTTCCAAGAACACATAAATCTTTATAAGCTTGTAGAGGGCAAAGATTACTGGAATAGGACATAAGTATCATTTATCATAAAATGATAAAATTGACTTCAGCAATGTTATAATTCTTGCTTTTTATAAGACAGTATGAAATCAATTTTAAAAACAATCTAACAATAAGGAGAAAGTATTTGCAATATATGTGGCATAACATGTCTGTTCACATTATATAAAGAACTCTCACAAGTCAGTATTAAGTAAAGAAGCAACATAGTATGCGCAAGAGATTTCAGAAATCACTTCACAAAAACAATATATAAGTGGATAATAAGCACATTCACTGGAATTATATCATCATTATTCAGGAAATTGAAATTTTAAAATCCAGTGAGATACCATTTCACACTCACTAAAATAACTTAATTTAAAATTGCAATCCAACTCTAACTGTTGAAAAAGATGTATAGCAACTGTATTCTCACAGTTTGCTCATAGAGATATAACTACTTTGAAAAACAGTTTCTTTTAAAGATAAATATATATTTATAATATGTCTCAGTGATTTCACTCCTTAGTATTTATACGAGAATCAAAATTATATGTCTACAGAAAAACATTTTTATAAATGTTCATAGCCTCTTTATTTGTAACAGCTCCAAAGCAGAAGCAACTCGAATATTCATCACAGGTGAATAAATTTTAAAAATATGGGATAGCCAAACAAGGAAATATTATTGAGCAATAAAAACAGTGAACTACTGATGTGTGTGATCGTAGAAATGAATCTCAAAAATATTAGACAGAATGAAGAACATAAGAAAAATACACACTGTATAATTCTGGTTAATGAAATTTTGAACACCCAAAAATCATCTTTATCCACAGAAAGAATGTAAGTAACCTTCTGCTGTCATTGTGAGAAAAATAAGGGGTTACTCGCCAGGCGCGGTGGCTCAAGCCTGTAATCCCAGCACTTTGGGAAGCCAAGGCGGGCAGATCACGAGGTCAGGAGATCGAGACCATCCTGGCTAACATGGTGAAACCCCGTCTCTACTAAAAATGCAAAAATAATTAGCCAGGCACGGTGGCGGGCGCCTGTAGTCCCAGCTACTTGGGAGGCTGAGGCAGGAGAATGGCGTGAACCCGGGAGGCAGAGCTTGCTGTGAGCTGAAATCGTGCCACTGGACTCCAGCCTGGGCGACAGAGCAAGACCCTATCTCAAAAAAAAAAAAAAAAGGCTCCAAGTCCCTTTGATATTGGTATTTCTGGCTCTGCTCTCTTCTGTGGTCAGCATCCTATTGAGGACAACTGTTCTCATTGTGGGAAAATAACTTGATGAAAATTGATAACACAGTTGCTCTGGGGGTTAATTCTATGTATCAGCTTGACTGAGCTAACGGATGCCCAGAAATCTGGTAAAATATTATTTTTGGTGTATTTATGAAGATGTTTCTGGATGAGATTAGCATTTTAACTGGTAGACTAAATAAAGAGTGTCCTCGCCAATGTGAGTGGGCATCATGCAATTCAGGGCCAGAATAGATAAAAAAAGGCTGAAGCAGGGTGAATTTGCTTTCCCTCCTGTGGATAGGACATCCGTTCTCCTGCCCTTGAATGTGAGTTCCTTTGGTTCTCAGGCCTTCAGACTTGGACTAAATCGTACCACTGTCTTTGGAGTTAGACTAGATCATACCATGGCAGACTGTGGGAATTCTGGGCCTCCATAATCTCATCAGCCAATGTTTATAATAAACAGTTTTGTATATAGATATTCATCTATGTATTTTATTGGTTCCATTTCTCTGGAGAACTCTAATACAGTGGCCAAAGAAACATCAAGCCAGAAATAATGACGTTATTTAAGGTTGTTGGGTCATGTATTCAACATGATCAGTAACTTTCCTGGTGGATAGACCCTGGAGAAAGTGGTTGAGTCACCTTTCCCTCCACCACAAGAATTGGTAATGAAATTGTGCACATCAAAGGAAATACTGGTGCTAAACATAGTCACATGTTTTAGCAACTGCATTCCATAGACGTACTTTTTCTTATTGGTACAATTTCAAAAATGCCCAGTCCTGTAGAGAATATATGTATACTCTCCTCAGAACCTAAACTTACCTTAGAAGGTCTGAGGTTACTACATTCAGCCTCAAAGCCAGAATGACTGGGTGATATGTAATAGTGTCCCAGTGTTTGATGAATTTAACTAAACAGCATTAGTTATTGTCTATAATCCCAGCACTTTGGGAAGCTGAGATGGGAGGATTGCTTGAACCAAGGAGTTTGAGACCAGCCTGGGCAACTGCATTTTGTAAAAAATACAAAAATTAGCAGGGTATGGTGGTATGTGCCTGTGGTCCCAACTACTTGGGAGGTTGAGGTGCGAGGATCACCTCAGCCCAGGAGGTCGAGGCTGAAGTGAGCTCTTATCACACCACTGTACTCCAGCCTGGGTGACAGAGTGAGATTCTATGCCAAAAAACTACAAAAACAACAAAAATTAGTTATTCATCTCAAAAACAGTACCTGTTTAATGATGGAGAGAGAAGAAAATAACTTTAATAAAATGAATATCTTTTGGAAAACTGAATACTGAAATACATTCAATGTTTGTTATTCTATACTACTTAGTACATTCTCTAATAAATAAAAGCAAGAAATTTTTATACTTACAATAATTGAAGAGCCTCTGTAAACCACTGGCAACCCCTGTTACTTCTTTCGAGGAGGATAACTATTTTCCAATGCCATTTATGGGTAGGGTAACAATCAAATTTATCATCCAAACTGTTTTTTTTTTTTCTCAAAATAAATAGGAAAGGGGAGCTATTTAAATGTCTTTGGGAAAACAAGGGTAAATGTGATTGTCTCTAACCAGTCACAATATACAGTAACCCCATATAGGGTCCTAATTCTAGTTTCTGTGAAAATCTTTCTTTATAGCTGGAACTAGATAATATAATTAATGAAGCCTTCATGTGGTTCTTGCATTTTCTAATTTCCCTTAATTCATTGCGATTTATGATCATTACTCTTCCAGCTGTGTCAATTATACTATGACTATCTCAATCACTGTCTTAAACCTTCCTTGTTGAGTATTTTCTGTTTCCTTCATTGTTACCTGGAATGTATCTTCATGTATCATTCAAAAACATTTATAGGCTGGGTGTGGTGGCTCACGCCTGTAATCCCAGCACTTTGGGAGGCTGAGGCAGGCAGATCATGAGGTCAGGTGTTTCAGCCCAGCCTGACCAACACGGTGAAATCCCATCTCTACTAAAAATACAAAAATTAGCCAGGCATGGTGGCACATGCCTGTAATCCCAGCTACTCAGGAAGCTGAGGCAGGAGAATCGCTTGAACTTGGGAGGCGGAGGTTGCAGTGAGCTGAGGTTGTGCCACTGCACTCCAGCCTGGGTGATAGAGTGAGACTCTGTTTCAAAAAATAAATAAATAAATTATAATCTCATGCTTTTTATTTCTACAAGTTATTTTTCCTTTTATTCTACTTTTTTCATCTGTGGTCTAGGTTTATTTTGTTTTGCCTTTTCATTCTTTTAGTGAATATACTTATTTCTTTGAATATTGTGAGTAAAGATTGCTCAACAATCTAACAAATACCTTTTTTTTTTTTTTTTTTTTTTTTTGAGACAGAGGCTCACTCTCTCAACTAGGATGAACTGCAGTGGTGCAATCACAGCTCACTGCGGCCTTGACCTCCCAGGCTCCAGTGATCCTCCTACTTCAGCCTCCAGAGTACCAGGGACTACAGGTGTGCACCACCACACCTGGCTAATTTTTTGTATTTTTTAGTAGAGAAGGGGTTTTGCCATGTTGCCCAGGCTCATCTTGGTCTCCTAGGCTCAAGTGATCCACCCATCTCGGCTTCCCAAAGTTCTGAGATTACAGGAGTGAGCCATCACACCTGACCAATACTTTTCTTAATACCATTTTTGATTTAATAATTTTTATTTGATTATTTTACCTTTGCATTAAGAAAAAGTTGAGTCAATCACCGTATTTATCTGCAATCTTATTTTTTCCACTGTTCTTCACTTACACCTTGGCTCATTAGTAAACCTAAATGGACACAGTACTCAATGATGATTCTTTTACCTTGTCTTCTTTTTGGCTAGATTTATATTTCTAATAAGAGATTATTCTATATTCCAAGACTTCTAACTAATTTAAAAATATTTGTTTATTTTATTCAACTTTCCTGACAAGATAATTCTTGACTTAAACTGTATTCTTCTGAAGTCTTTACAGATGCATGTACAATTCTTCTTCGTGATTCATTATTTTGAGAAGACTATGGTATACCCTTTTTTTTTTTGTAAGGTACTTTTTATTACATTTGTCTAAGTGGTATTTTTTTTCTCTTCCTGTCTTAGAATCTGTTATCTCATAAGGCTACATTTCAGGTTGCAATTTAAATGTTCCAGTAGTGAACTGTCTTAGGTGACTCTTGCTCAATCATTATTTCTTACTACATGGCATGCCAGTGTGGTTTGGTTTCAAGAGCATTTTAGCTTCATTCATATTCTCTTCCAATACTCTATTCAGGTACTGGCCCACTTCTGATAAAACTTGTTTTTGATAATACTTGTTTCAGAACCCTTGTTTTAATCCAGCTAACCATCACAAATATACATTTCCGTCTTTCGTTCTTTAGTATCAGTAGACTTCATCAATGACACCTTGATTCAACCAAGATAATCTTCATTTTAAATTTAAAATATTGTGGATTATTTTAGCCTTGTTCTCTGCTTTTCCAAAGGCTCTGAATTTCTTATGCACATTTATCTTGATCAGTTCTGGGTTTCAAGGAGGAAACTTCTTAAAACACACACACACATACACACGCACGCACGCACACATGCAAATAATCCTTTATCCAGGATTGTTGTGTCTCATCTGAGCTTTTTTCTCATAACAACTAACATACCATTTGAGGGCAGCACAAAAAAAAATGAATGGCTTGCATAATTTCTGCAAGTACACATACAGTGACACTTTCTTTTTTTTTTTTTTAATTATACTTTAAGTTTTAGGGTACATGTGGACAACGTGCATGTGTTATGAAGTGATACTTTCTTACTCAAATTTAAGAGATTTGGGGAATAGTGTTAGCAATGTATACAATACTTATCTTAAATGGTTAGCCAGACATTTGTCTTAATTAATATACAAATATATTTTGAGGTCTTTCTATAATTCCAAGTACCTACAGTATTTTTTAATACAGATAAATATGCAAATTAGGAATATTGGGAACTCATTTAGCCTTTGTTGCAAAGTCTCAGCTTCGCAGTACATTTTTTCTGTGATTCTCCCTTCATGTATGTGGTCTTACTTATTTTTAAAAATTCTGACTTTTTAATGATCACCATTCATTCTAACTGGCTTGAGATGGTATCCCATTGTGGTTTTGATTTGCATTTCTCTAATGACTAGTGATGATGAGCTTTTTCTCACACGTTTGTTCAAAAGAAGACATTTATGCAGCCAACATACCTTTGCCCACTTTTTGATGGGGTTGTTTTTTTCTTGTAAATTTGTTTAAGTTCCCTGTAGATTCTGGATATTAGCCCTTTGCCAGATGGACAGATTGCAAAAATTTTCTGCCATTCTATAGGTTGCCTGTTCACTCTAATGATGGTTTCTTTCACTGTGCAGAAGCTGTTTAGTTTAATTAGATCCCATTTGTCAATTTTGGCTTCTGTTGCAATTGTTTTTGGCTTTTTCATCATGAAGTCTTTGCCCATGTCTATGTCCTGAATGGTATTGCCTAGGTTTTCTTTGAGGGTTTTTATGGTTTTAGGTCTTATGTTTAAGTCTTCAATCCATCTTGAGTTAATTTTTGTATAAAGTATAAGGAAGAGTTCCAGTTTCAGTTTTCCATATGTGACTAGCCAGTTTTCCCAACACCATTTATTACTTGTTTCCCCATTACTTGTTTTTATCAGGTTTGTCAAAGATCACTTGGTTGCAGATGTGTGGCGTTATTTCTGAGGCCTCTGTTCTGTTTCATTAGTCTATATATCTGTTTTGGTACCAGTACCATGCTGTTTTGGTTACTGCAGCCTTAGTATAGTTTGAAGTCGGGTAGTGTGATGCCTCCAGCTTTGTTCTTTTTGCTTAGGATTGTCTTGGCTATATGGGCTCTTTTTTTTGGTTCCACATTAAATTTAAAGTAATTTTTTCTAATTCTGTGAAGAAAGTCAGTAATAGCTTGATGGGGATAGCATTGAATCTATAAATTACTTTGGGCAGTATGGCCATTTTCATGGTACTGATTCTTCCCATCCATGAGCACGGAATGTTTTTCCGTTTGTTTGTGTCCTTTCTTATTTCCTTGAGCAGTGGTTTGTAGTTCTCCTTGAAGAGGTCCTTCACTACTCTTGTAAGTTGCATTCCTAGGTATTTTATTCTCTTTGTAGCAATTGTGAATGGGAGTTCACTCATGATTTGGCTTTCTGTTTCTCTGTTATTGGTGTATAAGAATGCTTGTGACTTTTGCACATTGACTTTGTATCCTGAGACTTTGCTGAAGTTGCTTATCAGTGTAAGGAGATTTTGGGCTGAGACGATGGGATTTTCTAAGTATACAATCATGTCATCTGCAAATAGAGACAATTTGACTTCCTCTCTTCCTATTTGAATATGCTTTATTTCTTTCTCTTGCCTGATTGCCCTGACAAAACTTCAAATACTATGTTGAATAGGAGTGGTGACAGAGGTCATCCTTGTTTTGTGCTGGTTTTCAAAGGGAATGCTTCCAGCTTTTGCCTGTTCAGTTTGATACTGGCTGTGTGTTTGTCATAAATAGCTCTTATTATTTTGAGATATGTTCCATCAATACCTAGTTTATTGAGAGTTTTCAGCGTGAAAGGGTGTTGAATTTTATTGAAGGCCTTTTCTGCATTTATTGAGATAATTAAGTGTTTTTTTGTCATTGATTCTGTTCATGTGATGGATTACATTCATTAATTTGCATATGTTGGACCAGCCTTGCATCCCAGGGATGAAGCCGCCTTGATCGTGGTGGATAAGCTTTTTGATGTGCTGCTGTATTCGGGTTGCCAGTGTTTTGTTGAGGATTTTCACATTGATGTTCATCAGGGATATTGGCCTGAAATTTTCTTTTCTTGTTGTGTCTCTGTCAGGTTTTGGTATCAGGATGATGCTGGCCTCTTAAATGAGTTAGGGAGGATTCCCTCTTTTTATATTGTTTGGAATAGTTTTAGAAGGAATGGAACCAACTCCTCTTTGTACTTCTGGTAGAATTCAGCTGTGAACCTGTCTGGTCCTTGGCTTTATTGGGTGGTAGGCTATTAATTACTGCCTCAATTTCAGAACTTGTTATTGGTCTATTCAGGGATTCAGTTTCTTCCTGGCTTAGTCTTGGAACGGTGTATGTGTCCAGGAATTTATCCATTTCTTCTAGAGTTTCTAGTTTATTTGCATAGAGGTGTTTATAGTATTCTCTGATGGTAGTTTGTATTTCTCTGGGATTAGTGGTGATCTCCCCGTTATCGTTTTTTATTGTACCTATTTGATTCCTCTCTCTTTTCTTCTTTATTAGTCTGGCTAGCAGTCTATCTATTTTGTTAATCTTTCCAAAAAAACAGCTCCTGGATTCACTGATTTTTGGAAGGGCTTTTTGTGTCTCCATCTCCTTTAGTTCTGCTCTGATCTTAGTTATTTCTTGTCTTCTGTTAACTTTTGAATTTGTTTGATCTTGCTTCTCTAGTTCTTTTAATTGTAATGTTGGGGTGTCGATTTTATATCTCTCCTGCTGTCTTCCGTGGGCATTTAGTGCTATAAATTAAAAAGTCAGGAAACAACAGATCCTGGAAAGTATGTATAGAAATAGGAATGCTTTTACACTGTTGGGGGGAGTGTGGATTAGTTCAACCATTGTGGAAGACAGTGTGGAGATTCCTCAAGGATCTAGAATCATAAATACCATTTGACCCAGCAATCTCATTACTGGGTATATACCCAAAGAATTATAAATCATTCTACTATAAAGACACATGCACACATATGTTTATTGCAGCACTATTCACAATAGCAAAGACTTGGAACCAACCCAAATGTCCATCAGTGATCGACTGGATAAAGAAAATGTGGTACATATACACGATATAATACTATGCAGCTATAAAAAAGGATGAGTTCATGTCCTTTGCAGGGACATGGATGTAGCTGGAAATCATCATTCTCAGCAAACTAACATAGGAACAGAAAACCAAACACCACATGTTCTCACTCATAAGTGGGAGTTGAACAATGAGAACACATGGACACAGGGAGGAGAACATCACACAACGGGGACTGTCGTGGGGTGGGGGGCTAGGGGAGGGATCACATAAGAGAAATACCTAATGTAGATGACAGGTTGATGGGTGCAGCAAACCACCATGGCACATGTATACCTATGTAACAAACCTGCACATTCTGCAGATGTATCCCATAACTTAAAGTATTAAAAAAAAAATTCTGTTTGTCTCTAAATTTCTCTACTATTATTACTTCCTACAGTTGTAGTCATTTTTTTTTTTTTTTTTTTTGGAAACGGAGTCTGGCTTTGTCACCCAGGCTGGAGTGCAGTAGTGCGATCTCAGCTCACTGCAAGCTCGGCCTCCTGGGTTCACGCCATTCTCCTGCCTCAGCTCCTGAGTAGGTGGGACCACAGGCGACCGCCACCACAGCCGGCTAATTTTTTTGTATTTTTAGTAGAGACGGGGTTTCACCATGTTAGCCAGGATGGTCTCATCTCCTGACCTCGTGATCCGCCCGCCTCGGCCTCCCAAAGTGCTGGGATTACAGACGTGAGACGTGAGCCACCGCGCCTGGCCAGCTGTAGTCGTTCTATTTTCATTGTAATATAATATTGCAAATAAGCAAACTATAATTGTTTTTGATTCCTAGTAAGTCAAAAGTAATGATCCTAAGCTTCTAGGGCTTCATGAAATCTGACTGGATGCACCCAGTACTTTCCTTCTCCACAAAGAAAAACCAAAACGGTCAGTAGATAATAATACATCAATTTGAGCTGCCAAGAGGAAACATCGGGATTCAGCAGGGAAGTGACAGGGAACCTCTGAGACACAGAAAGAGAGGAAGCAAAACAGCAGTTCCATGTCAGAATCAGCTCAGAGCCAGGAGGAGCTCTCCATTGTGGGGAAAAGATGAGAGATTCCCAGTGGCTTATATTCTCACCACAGATTCCCAAAATTCTAGCCATAGAAGAGCCCCCTAGGGCCCTTATGTACCCTGAGACTAATATAGAGAACTGTAGGGAGTCCAGGTGATGGCATTGTTCTAAGACGAGTTCAGGTTGGGTCCCTCACACCCTCTGAGATCCAAGCAGCTGCATCAGAGTGCCATTTTGAGACCTCAGCCTCCAACAGACTATATTCTTCCTGGGAGCCTAACTGTTCCTCAATCTCCACATCCCTAGAGCACTGTTGATATCCCCCATATCCACTCACAGAGCTGCAGCATCAGGATGCTTACCGGACTCAGTGATGAGACAAGATCCCCAGGACTCTAGCACATGTGGTGTCTTATGCCTCAGAAAATGAGCATTGCAGTGCATCACAGCAGGGAGTCTGCCCCCAGCACTAAAGAAGCCAAAATGTTTACTCCCCAGAGCCTAAGAGCTGCCCACTTGGGCCTGCTGCCACTGAAAGTAACCCAATCACCCTCTGGCTACAGGGCTGCCATGCACCTACAAATGCCTTCAAAGAGCTGGAGGACTGGCTCACCTGTGTGCCATCCTGGGGCCTGCAGTCATGCCCATTGTGCTCACTTGCAGTTGATACTGGTACGCAAGCATGCTGTCCAGGGACCTAGAAATTGATCTGCCCTACTTGCCACCGCTAGACCCCATGTAAGCTTTCTGGGGGCCTGATGCCATGTCTGCCCCACATACATTTACAACTGCTGGCATGCACATGTGTCATTGGGGGACCTGGGGTTCAACCCATCCTACTTGCCACCTCTGGATCCTACATATGTCTTCTGGGTACATGAGGACAAGTCCACTCTGCCCATTTTTTTTTCACTGGAGCATGTCATCCAGGGCCTTGGGGAATGGGCCTGCCTTGCCTGTAGCTATTGGTGAACAGGCATGCTGACCAGAGGTATAAGGGTGGGCCTAGCATGCCTGCTGCTGATGCCCATTCACACTTCCTGGGGACCTGGATTCTGGACCACCCAGCTTACCCCTGCCACCATTTGTGCCCATGCCTGCCAGTCATGTCTCAAGGGCTGACTCACTGCTGCAACCATCACTGTTGGCACCTGAGCATGCCACCTGAAGGCCCAAAGACCCACCTGATTGGACCTGCCATCACCAGTGCCCACAAGCACCATGTGGTTGCATTAGAATCAGCACTACTGGCCCACTGCCGCCACCATGGGTGCCAAAGGACCAGCTCATCTGGTGTCCTGATGCCCAACAAAGCCTCAACACAGCCGTCACTAACAACCATGCCGCCTAAGTCTCTGAGACTCACAGATGCCACTATTAACTACAAAGAAATCATACAGAGACTACACTACCATGCCCACCCAGAATCAAAGCCAAAGCACCCTACCCAACCAAAACTATAGATACATCTATAGAAAAGTCTTTCACTACAAAACCAATGAACAAAATGAGAAGTAACTGTTATACCAGATGCACATATGTCAACATAATGACACAAGAAATATAAAAAAGCAAGAAAACATAACACCTTCAAACGAATACAATAATTATCAGTAACAGATTCCAAAGGAAAGGTAACCTATGAAATGCCTAAACTTTTTTTCAAAATAATATTAAAGAAACTCAGTGAGATACAAGAAAACACTGATAATAGAAATCAGGGGGAAAATCAGCGTACAGGTATATATCCTAAATAAAGAAATAAATGGAAAACCTGGAATTGAAGAATTCAAAGAATGAAATAAGTAATACAATTGAAATTTTCAAAATAGACCATTTCAAGTAAAGAAAAAAATTCCTGAACTTGGGGACAGGCCTTTTGAAATAACCCAGTCAGATAAAAAAGTCTAAAAATGAATGAAGAAAACCTACATGACATATGAGATATCATAAAGCAATCAAGTGTTCGAATTTGGGGAGCCCTGGAAAGAGAAGAGATGAGCAAATGCACAGAAAACCTATTTAAGAAAACAATAATTAAAAAAGGAAGTTTATATTGATAAATTCCTACATCAATAAAGAAGAATTTCAGATAAAACATGTAATAATGCATCTCAAGGAACCAAAAAAGCAAGAACAAACCAATCCCAAAATTAGTAGAAGGAAAAAAATAATGAAAATCAGAGCAGAACTAATCAAAACAGAGACTAAAAAATGCAATGTATTAATGAAACAAAAAGTTGTCTTTTAAAAATATAAAATCAACAAACTGCCAGCTAGATTAACCAAGAAGAGACAACCCAAATAAATAAAATCAGAAGAGAAAAAAATGGCATTACAATTGACACCACAGAAATACAAAGGATCATTATAGACTATTATGAACAACTGTAGGCTAACAAATTGGAAAACCTAGAGAAAACTGAGAAGTTCCTAGACACATTCAACCTTCCAAGACTGATCCAGAAAGAAATAGAAAATTTGAACAAATCAATTGTATGTAACCAAATTGAATCAGTAATAAGAAGTCTCCCAAGAAAGAAAAGCACAGAACTGAATGGGTTGCCTGCCGAATTCTACCAAATTAATAAAGAAGTAACACTAATTATTCTCAAACTGTTCTAAACAATTGAAGATGAGAGAACTTTTTCTAATTAATTGTATGAGGACAACATTACCATGATATCAAGTCATACAAGAACATAACGACAACAAAAACTACAGGCCAACATCACCAGTCAACATTAATGTAAAATCATCAATAAAATACTTGTAAACCAAACCAAACAACACATCAAAAAGATAATACACCATGATCAAATGGGATTTATCCCATGGATGTTAGGATAGTTCAGCGTATCCAAATCAATAAGTGTGATACATCTTATTAACAGAAAAAGGGGAAAATACCAAATTCCCATTTCAATAAATGAAGAAAAATTGTTTGATAAACTGAAGCAGCTCTTCATAATAAATACTCTTAACAAACTAGGCATAAAAGGAACATACCTCAATATAACGAAGGCCATATATGACAAACCAACCAATAGCATTATAATGCATGGGAAAAGCTGAAAACTTTTCCTCTAAGAGCAAGAGCAAGCAAGGATGTCCACTTTCCACATTCCTATTCAATATAATACTCAATTCTAAGCCAGAGAAATCAGGCAAGAGAAAAAAATAAAAGGTATCTAAATTTAAAAAAAGAAAGTCAAATGATTTCTCTCTGTAGATGACATGATCTTGTACATAGAAACACCTAAAAACTCCACCTAAATATGCTTAGAACTAACAGATTCAGTAAAGTTGCAGGACAAAAAAAATCAACATATACAAATCAGTAGTGTTTCTATGGACCAATAATGAAGGAGCTGAGAAAGAAATTGAGAAAATAATCATTTTTATACTAGCTACCCAACAAAATATCTAGAAATAAATTTAACCAGAGAGGTAAAAGACCCTTAAAAACCATAAAACACTAATGAAAGAAATTTAAGAGGCCACAGACAAATTGAAAGACATCTTATGCTCAAGAACCAAAAGAATAGATACTTCTAAAGTGACCATACTAGCCATAGCAATCTATACATTCAGATCAATCCCTATCAAAGTACCAATGATATTCTTCAGAGGAATAGAAAAAAAAGCTAAATTAAAGTTTGTATAGAGCCACAAAAGACATCAGATAAGCAAAACAATCCTGAACAAAGAGAAAAAAACCCTAGAGGCATCACTCTTCCTGACTTTAAAATATACAGCAAAGTTTTAGTAGCCAGGACAACACAGTACAACAGATACATAGACCAATGGGACAGAAAAGAGCACCTAGAAATAAGTTCAAGTATTTACAGCCAACTGACTTTTGACACAGCTGCCAGAAATACACATTTGGGAAAGCACCCCTTCTTTAACAAATGGTGTTTCTCAAGCTTTATATCCACTTGCTAAAGAATGAAACTAGACCCTTATCTTTTCCACATACAACAATCAATTCAAAATGGATTAAAAATTTAAACATAGGATTAAAACCTATACAACTACTTGAAGAAAATGTAAAGGAAACACTTTAGGATATTACTCTAAGCAAATATTTTATGGCTAGGACTTCACAAGGACAGGAAACAAAACCAAAAAGGAACAAATGGCACTATATTAAACTCAAAAGCCTCTGCATAACAGAGGAAAAAATCAACAGAGTGAAAATACATCCTGTAGAATGGGAGAAAATATTTGCAGACTAATCATCTAACAAGGAACTAATATCTAGAATATACAAGGAACTCAAACAACTCATCGGCAAAAAACAAATACTGCTATTAATAAGTGGGCAGAGAATATAAGTAGACATTTCTCAAAAGAAGACATATAAATGACCAACAGGTATATGGAAAAATGTTCAACATTGCTAATCATCAGAAAAATGCCACTCAAAACCACCACAAGATATCATTTCACCCCAATTAGAATGGCTATTATAAGAAACACAAAAAAAATAGCAAATGCTGAAAAGGATGTGGAGAAAGGGGACATCCTACATTCCTACACTATTGGTGGTAATATAAATCAGTATAACTGCTATGGAAAAGAGTATGGAGGTTTCTCCCAAAACTATAAATAGAACTACCACATGATCCAGCAATTCCACTACTGCATATATATCCAAAAGATAGGAAATCAGTATGCTGAGGAGACATCTGCACTCCCATATTTATTGCAGCATTATTCACAGTAACCAAGATATGGAGTCAATCTAAGTATTCATCAATAGATGAATGGATGGAGAATGTAGTAAGTATACACAATGGAATACTACTAAGTCCTAAAAAGAAAAATAATTTTGCATTTTCAATAACTTGATGGAACTGGAAGTCATATGTTACATATGTTAAGTGAAATAAGCCAGGCACAGAAAGACAAATATTGCATGTTCTCACTCATATGTGGAAGCTAAAAATCTCATCTCATTGAGGTAAAGAGTATAAAGTTGATTATCAGAGACTTGCAAGGGTGGGATTGGGATGTAATGGGTACAAACATGCAGTTAGATAAAAGGTGTAAGTTCTAGTGTTCGATAGCATAGTAGGGTGAATACAGTTATTAATAATTTACAGTATATTTCAAAATAGCTAGAAGAGAATATTGGAAATGTTCCCAACACAAAGAAATGATACATTTTTCATATGATGGATATCTTAAATACTCAGACTTGATTACTACAAATTGTATATATGTATCAAAATACCATATGTACTCCATAAATATGTAAAATTATTATGCATCAATAAAATGTATTGATCCTATATAAGAAGCTTTTCTTATATGTATGTAAGTGACTTTTTTAAGGAAATAGAAAATAATTGGGAATGTGCTTAAAGATGTTTAAAAAAGCAAAAAGCAATTCATTTTCCTTTTTTGTACATGTGCTTTCGACATAGCCCCTTTTTAAATAAATTCTATTTATAGAGACATAATAACTTGTGCTCTTTCAGATATTTATCTGTATGCATTGTTTAGTTCCCAGGAAGAGATCTTTGCTTAATATTGAGTCATGACTTATTTATAGTACTTTCCAATCCATTAAACTCAACATGAATTCGTGGAGTTTTGCCAAGACAGGGTCTATTCTGTATGTTATTTTTCTTTTACAACTTTCAGACGCTCAAACATGGCTTGTCAAGGGAAATCATTACAAACATTGTCTCCTCCACTGGTTTTTGGCAAGGTTTTCTGCCTTATAGCATCTGGCACACACTATTATTTTTATTGAAATGAAATACACTATAATGCATCCACAACTACATGAGTTGATAGTTTATCTCTGAATTAGTATGTTTTCAACAGTATATACCCTAGAGAATCATTCTAAATTATTTATTATAAACTTAAATGAAGTAAAACTCTGTCTTTTATTAACTTTTTAAAATTCTTAAATGCCAAGAGACAACAAGATTTTGAAAAATAAAAAAGAGAACTGTTGACAACATTTAACCTTCAGGCACGACAAGAAGTAATCATTTTATGTAGTGCTTTTTCCATTCACCAATACATGCTATATTAAACTAGATAAAGCAATTGTAACTATTGCTTTTTCTGAAAGAATGCATTTTGTAGGAAGAGATAATTTCATTTTTTTTCAATGGATTTACTCCCATTGTTGTCAAACATGTATTTTATTTTTGTTCTCTTTTTTGTTTTTTGCTTTTTTTTGGTAAACCTTGTGCACATGACTCCAAACTATTTTCACGGGAATAACTGACACAAAATATAAAATGAGTCCTTAGAAGACAGGAGAAAATTTCTCCCAGTCTCTATTTTTGGAGATCTTTGTGTCTGTATTCTATTTTGTGGTCTTTGAGTTAGCTAGGTCTAGAATTGAATAGTTATTCTATTTTTAACTATGAGACCTATGACACTTAATTTGTCATTTTAAATCTTAGTTCTATTCTGTATGAAATATGGACAATGGTGTTTCTTTGAGGGTTGTTGCAAGAATTAACATTACATGAATAAACATACACAGTCAGAGACTCATGCACAAATAGAAACATTGCATTTGCCAACAAAAGGTACCACAAAAAAGAGTAATAGTGGTAATATTATAAACTCTTTTAACTCATTAAGAAATAATTTTAATCTAAGTATAAAAATATACCTTGTGTTTATTTGTAAGAAAAATTTACATATAACATTAATATATGTAGCTGCCAATGGATTATTAGTAGTACTAAACAAATAGCATTATAAGTATACTTAATTAGATTCAAACATAAGCTATATTTGTTTTAAATATCTACAGTAAATGTGAACACTATGTTGACAGAGGACATACATATTTTAAGCATATTACAGTTTACTTCTTTTATGCTATTTGAAGATATAGCTGGTTAATTAACTCAGTAAAAATTCTACCTTCTCCACCTCCAATATAGAGGCAGTAATTATTTTAGCCATATTGTTTGTAATTAAAACTGAATGTATACCAGTCATACCAATGACATGCTAAGTGTAAGTACACTAAGGTACTCTAGGGAAATATTTTGCATTCTTCTCTCTGGTAAATCTCCACTTCCTGCCTTGGAGTTAAGTAAGTGATCTTGTGCCAATGAAGAATGAAATCCCTTGCCAACAGAGCTCCCTACCAACATTTGCCTTGTTATGTGTAAGCTTCTGATTGATGAAGCCAATTGGTTTTTCTGCCATTTACAGCTGAAAGTATCACTAATTGATACACTGTTCAAGCGAAGGGCTTCCTTCACCATTAAAGGACCCATAGAATCATAGACGCTGTAGCCATTTGGAAATTTAAAGCTCACCAAGCCTAGTATTTAATCTCTTCATCCATGTTTATTGGAAGAATAATGATAGTCAAGTTAATTGATGGAGCTTAACCATCTAAGTACTATTAAATAATATAAGATCCTGGATGTTAGATTTCTGCCAACAGTGTCTTTGTTTCATCCAATAATACCAGATCCCCTCCCTAAAAATTCTGTATGCTAAAATGCTTAATTTGCAAGTTTATAGGATAACTATTCTATGTAGGTGATTTGAAAAGTATCATCTAGCCAAAAAATTTTTTTTAATAAAAGCAACAAATTGAAATAATTCCCACATTATAGACTAAGTATTTTTAGATGACAATGAGAAAGAGTAGTAATACAAATGTTACGTTTAATATGCAGAGATGAAATAATCTCCAGAAACTGGAAACATGGTTATAATCTGAGACTAATAATAGTAACAAATGAGGTGTAATGGATGAAATAAACAAGTAAAAAGGTAACTCAGTATTAATAATGGGTTGTAAATACATGGATGAGGAGTTGTAAATATGTAAGTTCAATCAAAATTATGGCTACCATATTAGAAAATAAAATTTAAGCAGCTATGTAGTTGAAAGAAGAGGGTAGTAAGCATGAAGTGCTTTTTAAAGAAACACTGTAATTTAGAGCAGTTTTAAATGTATAGAAAAATGTGAAAATAGTACTGAGAGTTATAGCCAAAGTTTTTCTTGCTATTAATGTCTTACATTAGCTTCTATATATTCATGTATTTATATTGATACACCATTTTTAACTAAAGTCTACACTTTATTCAGATTTCTTAATGTTTTACCTAATATTCTTTTTATGTTCCAGGATGCTGCCCATTGTACCATAGTAAATTATGGCTCCTGCTGGCAGTGGCAGTTTCTAAAACTTGCTGTTTTTGATGACCCTGACAGTTTGGAGGAGTCCTGTAAAGACATTTTGTGGAATATCTTTTTATGAGACTGTTTGATGTTTTTCACATAATCTGACTGAGATTATGTGTTTTGGGGAGGAAAACCACAGAGGCAAACTGCCATTTTCATAACATCCTATCATGGGTATATACATACACGTGACTTGAGTTTGCTGATGATCAGCGTTTGTCTGATGTAGTGTTTGTACAATGTAAAGTTATTCCATATCCCCTTTTCTTTCCGTATGTACTCTTTGGAAGAAAGTCTCTATGTACAATCCACAGTGAAGAAGTGGGGAGGTATGTCTGCTACCTCGTTGAGGGCTATTTACATAAATTATTTGAAATTCCTATTCATGGGAGGCTTATTTCTCCGCCACATTTATTTATTTATTCCCATATTTATTTTTATCAGTGGCAATTAATAGATATTCCATTTATATTTCGGGTTCTAATGCAACATTATTTATGTTGTTGAACAAATCGTTCTGCCTTTGGCCATTTAGAGCTTTCTTGGTTTGTTCCTGTGCCCCTTGTGTGTTTTTTGTTTGTTTGTTTGTTTGTTTGTTTTTCATGTTTTAATTATCTACACATACAAGATACCCCGGTTCATCTGTATATTTCCTTCCCCAGTCCTAGAATCAGCCATTACTCCCAGGAACTCTAGTTCCCTTTACTGGAGAATGATAGACTTCAAGATCTGGGTGCTAGGTATGCCCTTTGCTAAAGTAGATTCAGTGCTGCTAGGCTCTCTCAGCTGACAGAGTTAGGAGATTTATGCGTGTATGCTTACCTGTATATATTCACATATCTTTAAATATTTCTATACGTAATCATTATTTATTTACATTGTAACATTAAACAACATGGGTCATGCTAGACTCCTTCCTTTGTTTCTCTGTACCTCCCACTCTAGCAATATGAAATCTTGGTCCTACCATTTAACATCCATTTACATAACTGTTCAATTTCAGTATGTGATATAGTGGAATTAGGATGGTTAGCCCATATTCCAATGGAAACAACTTATCAAATACTTTTCACTGCTTCTGTACAGGTTCTTTTGCCTTTAGACGCTGTAATAGACTCTGCTCATTTGCAAAGTTACTTAAGTCTACAAATTTCCCTCTGTGCCCATTACTGAGATTGTTTCATACACTTAAAATAATTAGGGTATCTTGTCACTCTTCATTTCACCCTGGGATACCTCAGACTACCGAATGATGTTTTCCAATGTCCATTTACTGAGGTCCACTCTGTGTTCTTAAGTTCCATGGCTTTCACCAAATGCAGAATATCGTGTATCCACCATTGCAGTATGATAAAACATAGCTTTACTGCCCTAAAAGTTTTTTTTTTTTGCTTCATTTATTTCCTATGCATCATATCAAACCACATCAAAAATTCTCTGTGCATCACATCAAACCACTGACATTTTCTGTCACTATAGTAGTGCGTTTTACACAGTATCTTTGATTGGAATCATACAGCATGTAGACATTTCAGCCTGATCCTTTCACTAAGAAATGTGCATTTAAGATTTATCCATGTTCTTTCATGGTAAGATATTCCATTTCTTTTTATTGCTAATAACAGTTCATTGCATGGATATATCAATTTCTTCCTTAATTGATCTGTTGAAAGACATCTTGGTGGGTTCCAGTTTTTGGAGGTTATAAATAAAACTGCTATAAACACTTGAATATGTGTTTTTTTAATACTTTAAATTTTAGGGTACATGTGCACAATGTGCAGGTTAGTTACATATGTATAAATGTGCCATGTTGGTGTGCTGCACCCAGTAACTCGTCATTTAACATTAGGTATATCTCCTAAGGCTATCCCTCCCCCCTCCACCCACCCCACAACAGGCCCCAGTGTGTGACATTCCCCTTCCCGTGTCCATGTGTTCTCATTGTTCAATTCCCACCTATCGGTGAGAACACGCGGTGTTTGTTTTTTTGTCCTTGTGATAGTTTGCTGAGAATGATGGTTTCCAGCTTCATCCATGTCCCTACAAAGGACATGATCTCATCATTTTTATGGCTGCATAGTATTCCATGGTGTATATGAGCCACATTTTCTTAATCCAGTCTATCATTGTTGGACATTTGGGTTGGTTCCAAGTCTTTGCTATTGTGAATAGTGCCGCAATAAACATACGTGTGCATGTGTCTTTATAGCAGCATGATTTATAGTCCTTTGGGTATATACCCAGTAATGGGATTGCTGGGTCAAATGGTAATTCTAGTTCTAGATCCCTGAGGAATTGCCACACTGACTTCCACAATGGTTGAAGTAGTTTACAGTCCCACCAGCAGTGTAAAAGTGTTCCTGTTTCTCCACATCCTCTCCAGCACCTGTTGTTTCCTGACTTTTTAATGATCCCCATTCTAACTGGTGTGAGATGGTATCTCATTGTGGTTTTGATTTGCATTTCTCTGATGACCAGTGATGATGAGCATTTCTTCATGTGTCTTTTGGCTGCATAAATGTCTTCTTTTGAGAAGTGTCTGTTCATATCTTTCATCCACTTTTTGATGGGGTTGTTTGTTTTTTTCTTGTAAATTTGTTGGAGTTCATTGTAGATTCTGGATATTAGCTCTTTGTCAGATGAGTAGATTGCAAAAATTTTCTCCCATTCTGTAGGTTGCCTGTTCACTCTGATGGTAATTTCTTTTGCTGTGCAGAAGCTCTTTAGTTTAATTAGATCCCATTTGTCAATTTTGGCTTTTGTTGCCATTGCTTTTGGTGTTTGTTTTAGACATGAAGTCATTGCCCATGCCTATGTCCTGAATGGTATTGCCTAGGTTTTCTTTTAGGGTCTTTATGGTTTTAGGTCTAACATGTAAGTCTTTAACCCGTCTTGAATTAATTTCTGTATAAGGTGTAAGGAAGGGATCCAGTTTCAGCTTTCTACATATGGTTAGCCAGTTTTCCCAGCACCATTTATTAAATAGGGATTCCTTTCCCTATTTCTTGTTTTTGTCAGGTTTGTCAAAGATCAGATGGTTGTAGATATGAAGCATTATTTCTGAGGGCTCTTTTCTGTTCCATTAGTCTATATCTCTGCTTTGGTGCCAGTACCATGCTGTTTTGGTTACTGTAGCCTTGTAGTATAGTTTGAAGTCAGGTAGCGTGATGCCTCCAGCTTTGTTCTTTTGGCTTAGGATTGATTTGTCAATGCAGGCTCTTTTTTGGTTCCATATGAACTTTAAAGTAGTTTTTTCCAATTCTGTAAAGAAAGTCACTGGTAGCTTGATGGGGATGGCATTGAATCTATAAATTACCTTGGGCAGTATGGCCATTTTCATGATATTGATTCTTCCTACCCATGAGCATAGAATGTTCTTCCATTTGTTTTGTTTGTATCCTCTTTTATTTCATTGAGCAGTGGTTTGTAGTTCTCCTTGAAGAGGTCCTTCACATCCCTTGTAAGTTGGATTCCTAGGTATTTTATTCTCTTTGAAGCAATTGTGAATGGGAGTTCACTCATGATTTGGCTCTCTGTTTGTCTGTTATTGGTGTATAAGAATGCTTGTGATTTTTGCACATTGATTTTGTATCCAGAGACTTTGCTGAAGTTGCCTATAAGCTTACAGAGATTTTGGGCTGAGACAATGGGGTTTTCTGGATATACAATCATGTCATCTGCAAACAAGGACAATTTGACTTCCTCTTTTCCTAATTGAATACCCTTTATTTCCTTCTCCTGCCTGATTGCCCTGGCCAGAACTTCCAACACTATGTTAAATAGGAGTGGTGAGAGAGGGCATCCCTGTCTTGTGCCTGTTTTCAAAGGGAATGCTTCCAGTTTTTGCCCATTCCGTATAATATTGGCTGTAGGTTTGTCATAGATAGCCCCTATTATTTTGAGATATGTCCCATCAATACCTAATTTATTGAGAGTTTTTAGCACGAAGGTTGTTGAATTTTGTCAAAGGCCTTTTCTGCATCTATTGAGTTAATCATAAGGTTTTTGTCATTGGTTCTGTTTATATGCTGGATTATGTTTATTAATTTGCATATGTTGAACCAGCCTTGCATCCCAGGGATGAAGCCCACTTGATCATGGTGGATAAGGTTTTTGATGTGCTGCTGGATTCAGTTTGCCAGTATTTTATTGAGGAGTTTTGCATCGATGTTCATCAAGGCTATTTGTCTAAAATTATCTTTTTTGGTTGTGTCTCTGCCAGGCTTTGGTATCAGGATGATGCTGGCCTCATAAAATGAGTTATGGAGGATTCCCTCTTTTTCTGTTGATTGGAATAGTTTCAGAAGGAATGGTACCAGCTCCTCCTTGTACCTCTGGTAGAATTCGGCTGTGAATCCATCTGGTCCTGGACTTTTTTTGGTTGGTAAGCTACTAATTATTGCCTCAATTTCAGAGCCTGTTATCGGTCTATTCAGAGATTCAACTTCTTCCTGGTTTAGTCTTGGGAGGGTGTATGTGTCAAGGAATTTATCCACTTCTTCTAGGTTTTGTAGTTTATTTGGGTAGAGGTTTTTATAGTGAATATGTGTTTTCATACAAATCTGAACTTTCAAATCAGTTAGACAAATACGTAGGAGTATGATAGATGAAATATATGGTAAGATTATGTCTCACTTTGTAAGAAGCTTCTGAAACTGCCCATCAAAGTGGCTGTATCAATTTATAATTCACTAGCAATAAAAATGAGTTCCTGTGACTTCAAAATTTTGCAAGCAGTTGATATTGTCACTTGCTGTTAAATATCAGCCATTGTAATACAAGTATACTCATATATCCTTATTATTTGAATTTGCAACTTCCTAATGGCAAACAATGTTGAGTATCTGGCTATATTTTTGTTTTCCATCTGTCTGTCTTCTTTGCTGAGATTTCTTGTTCAGATCTTTTGCATATTTATGAATTGGGTTGTTTCTTTCCTATTTTTAAGGTTAAGAGTTCTTTGTATAGTTTGGAAACAAAACCTTTTCAGATATTTATCTTGCAAATATTTTCCACAGATTTTGGCTTTTCTTCTGATTTTCTTAATAGTGTCTTTCTCTTATGAAATTTTAATTTCAATAGGCCTAGCTTATCTGTGTCTTTTTCATGTATCATGTATCTAAAAACTTTTAACCAAATCCCAGTTCAGCTAGATTTTCATCTATGGTATAGTCTAAAGGTGTTTAATTTTTCTGTTTCATATTTAGGTCTATAATTCATACTGAGTTTATTTCCGTGAAAGAGAAAGGATCTATGTTTAGTTTTGTTATATGCTGAATGTTAATTTTTCCCAAAAATTCATATGTTGAAATTCTAATCCCCAATGTGATGATACTAGGAGGGTGGGCCTTTGAGAGGTAATTAGATCATGAGGTCATAAGTGGTTTAATGTTCTTTTCAAAGGGATCCCAGAGAGCTCTGTGGTCCTGTTTCTGTGATGTGAGGATGCAAGAAGATAGCAGTCTGCAACCAAGAAGTGGGCTCTCTCCAGTATCTGACCATGCTGGCACCCTAATCTCAGACTTCCAGCCTCCAGAACTTTGAGAAACGAATTTCTGTTGTTTAAGCTATTCAATCTGTTATACTTTGTTACAACAATCCAGGCTAAGATGAAAGTTTGTATTGAGAAGCTTAGGTGCTTCTCTAACAAATACTTAAAAATATGAAAGCAGCATTTAAACTGGCAGTAGGTAGAGGCTGGAAGAGTTTTGTGCTCCATACTAGGAAAAGCCTACATTGCTGTGAATGGACTTTTGTGTATGTATGTATGTATGTATGTATGTATGTATGTATGTATCTATTTATATACTTTATGTTCTGGGGTACATGTGCAGAACGTGCAGTTTTGTTGCATAGGTATACATGTGCCACGGTGGTTTGCTGCACCCATCAACCCGTCACCTACATTAGGTATTTCTCCTAATGCTATCCCTCCCCTAGCCCCACTCCCCCGACATACACTGGTGGGTGATGTTCCCCTCCCTGTGTCCATGTGTTCTCATTGTTCCATTCCCACTTATGAGTGAGAACATGTGATATTTGGTTTTCTGTTCTTGTGTTAGTTGCTGATAATGCAAACTAACAGTTTCATTGATGTCCCTGTAAAGAACATGAACTTATCCTTTGTTATGGCTGCATAGTATTCCATGGTGTGGTGATTCTTTCTAATGAGAGCTCAGAGAGAAAGGGGGAAAGTCGTAAAAGCTTTCATTTCCTTAGAAAATACATAAATAATCATCTAAAGAATGTTGGGAAAAATATGGGCAATGAAGTCCAAACTCATGTTCCCAGACACAAATGAGGAACATGTTATTGGAAAGTGGAAAGAAAGGATTCCTTGTTAAACAATGGCAAAGAACTTGACTGAGTCATGCTCATATTTTAATGTTTTATGGAAGGTACAAATTTTAAGAGATGAAATTGGATATTTAGCTAAGGAGATTTTTATGGAACTATTTAAGAAGTTGTTTGTTTCTTCATATATGAAAATGCTTACATTAAAATGGAAGAAGAGAAAAAGTATATGAAAATGGAATTATTAAGCAAGAAGGAACAACAACTGAAAGATTTGGAAAATTCTCAGCCTATCTATATTGCCAAAAATCCTGTTTATAAGAGAACACTAAGAGTGTGGCTAAAACAACCATTTGATAAGGAGATTTGTAGGTATATAACACACTGGCTTAACCAATGATCTCAATAGATGCCAGGTGCTGTTCTTTAGGACAAGGAAAGAATGACCCTGGAAGGCAATTCAACAATCACTGTGACTGCCATTCTTGCCAGAGGCCCAGAGTGTAAGGGAGGGGTTGAGAGCTAGTTCCTCTCTGGTTTGGCAGACCATGATACCCTCACCCAGTGCCTTATGTGTGGGGTCCCCCAGGGAGCTGCTGTGTGTGCTGTGAGCAGTAGAGCCACCCAAAATCATGGATCCATGAACTCCTTTACCCAGTGGAGCCACCCAAAGTGTATTTAATTGAAACTCATCTTATCTTCTTATATGATAGGGTCATAAAATATTATTCCATGCATTCTAAAGTTTCCATTTCTACTAGATAAATCCCATCAAAAAATAAACTTGAAAAAGTACATTTTGTATTTAAAAAAATTTGACCTCAAATCCCATTCTATGTTTTCTTTCAAACTTCTCATAAGAATTGTCATTGCCAGCAATGTCCATGTTCTAGCTTTTCATTGTCTTTTCACTTTGTTCTAATCAGGTTTGTATTTATATCACTCTAATCCCCACTCAGAGTGATCTTCAAATTATGAAATCCAATGGATAATTCTCAGACCCCATTCTTATTCAATATAAAAATCAAAATCTCTTTCAATTTTTAAAAACTTTCATCATTTTATTTCTTGGGTAGTACACATTTTTGGCATTGTTCCTACTTTGCTGGAAAATTCTTCTTAGCCATCTTTGTTTGTTCCTCCTCAGAGTCTACAATAAGAAATATTGGAATGCCTCAGGGATTAGTTATTGGACCTTCTTCCCTGTCCTTATTCCTTCATTATCCATCAAGTTTCAGGTCTTGAAGTATTATCTATATGCTCATAAACTTCAAAAGTTTATCACTAGCCCAAACTACTCCCCTAAACTTCAGATTTGTATAATGAATAGTACAATCAAAATCTTCACTTAGATGTTTGACAAACTTTCCAAAATAAAACTCCATATGAGGTCTTTAAAAAAAGACATGTTAATCTAAGTAAGTTTATTTGATATGTTAAATCACACGGGGAACACTGCAGATAAGAAGTGACATTAAATGCTCCTTATGTTATATTCATATGTATACATGTCATTAAAGGAAGTGTCCCGGAAATTGAATAAATTCCTAGATACCTGATATGCCTTGATATAATGTTATCAGTCATAATTTCAATTACTTAAAACATTGTATATCACAGAAATAACCAATTTTTGCCATATGTATAATAATAAACTCTCATGGGCATATCTTCAAATTTTGGTTCTCTGAAGTAGAGAAAGAGGAGAATTAAATTGGAATAAGAATTATAATGGATGTATGGTATACTAAATGAAGTAACAAATGTAAATGAATGATTGTGACACATACAAAGAATCTCAAGGAATCACATTGGGATTGTGCAATCTTTTCCTAGAAATATAAAAATTCAAACGTTTTGGACAAGTTGTCATATTGAAATTAATTGTATCTATTTGTTGAATAATTACTATGTCCTGGACATTATTTTAAGTTTTTATTTCTATTAACTAACTTAATCTTTTTATAATTTATGAAACTAGTACTATTAACATTATTAGGCCCATTTGACAGATGAGGAAATTGAGGCAAGAATTAGGTTACTTCCCATCCTAATTATTAGTCCCACATAAGTGACTGTTTTTACAATGGAAAAAAATGAATGACCTAAAACACATGTGTGCAGGTAGCATTGATACAAGAAGTTTAAAAGAATACATATTAGCATACCAGACAACATCATCTGGGAGAAAATGCCTGAATGTAGCTGTTGTCCAGAGAAATGAAATTAAGAGAAATAAGTTATATTGCCTCATTGTCATTATGTCATATTTGTATATTACAGATGTTTGAGAATGTGCTCTGTCATAAAATAAGGAATGAATAAAAATTCATGGTTTAGACAGTATTAACATCCTGAGATTAGGTTATACAATCATGATATAAACCTATTATCCTGCAAAGTTATTTCTAAGGGAAATACTGCCTTGTGGTTTTCTCTCTGAGTGGTTCCTAACTTTGAGATTAAGTGACTAACTTTCTCAGTCATAGCCCGAAAGTAACCTTTAAAGTGATGATTGCCATTATAAAAATAACAGGATTCCGTTGTCCCTCTTGCAACCGAATGAGTTGCTGCTGCTGCCTCCTCCTGCTCTCATTATCCTCCTGACACTGGGAGGAAAGTTGGCTTCTCACATGGCCAGGCATTATAGGTCAACGTTTTGAGGCAGTCTGCTTTCTTTTTCCTCTTCAATCAATTCATAGATGTCAAGTGTCATGATATGTGAAGCAGAACAATGAGAGTAAAATGATATACAAGGAGTGCTATGTCACATGTCACTGCTGATACCTATCTATTTTTTCAAGAATAATTCTACCAGCATGTAGGTTCTGTTATTGTTTGCCTTTGGGATTTAGATCAGTTTTTCTTTTCAAGTGTTTTCCTGTCACGTCTATCCTAAGAATACTAAGAGTAAGATTCATTTAGTGATCTTTAAAAAAAAAAAATCCTACCGTGTTTCTCAGCTGCCTCTTGCATCAAATTAAACCACACTATTATGAATTTAAAAGTTAGACTTTTATCATTCTCCCTAAATATACTGCATCTAATATTCATTCACTAAAATTATTAACCATGTTTTTGAATCTCACTGAACCACTTATAATCTGTAATACATTTTTCTTATACCAGTGAATATTTTATCATTGATTTAACTTAATAACATTGTCCTTTGCTAACTCATGTCACTCTCATATGGGTTAAAATTACCTTCTCAGGTATACAGTCTTTAACTAATAAGACCTGATATTTGTCACCTATATACCCAAACAAAGGTTTAAACTTTGTTATACAGGTAATTTATAAGGAGAAATGATATTGTGTCCAGAATTGGTGGGTTCTTGGTCTCACTGACTTCAAGAATGAAGCCGCGAACCCTCACAGTGAGTGTTACAGTTCTTAAAGGCGGCGTGTCTGGAGTTTGTTCATTCCTCCCGGTGGGTTCGTGGTCTCGCTGAATGTGTTCAGAGTTTCTTCCTTCTGGTGGGTTCATGGTCTCGCTGGCTTCAGGAGTGAAGCTGCAGACCTTCGTGGTGAGCGTTACAGCTCATAAAGGCAGTGTGGACCCAAAGAGTGAGCAGCAGCAAGATTTATTGCAAAGAGCAAAAGAACAAGGTTTCCACAGTGTGGAAGGGGACCCTAGGGGGTTGCCAGTGCTGGCTCAGGTAGCCTGCTTTTATTCCCTTATCATGCCCCACCCACACCCTGCTGATCGGTCCATTTTACAGAGAGCTGATTGGTCTGTTTTACAGAGAGCTGATTGGTCCGTTTTGAAAGGGTGCTGATTGGTGTGTTTACAATCCCTGAGCTAGACACATAAGTTCTCCAAGTCCCCACCAGATCAGCTAGATAAAGAGTGCTGATTGGTGTATTTACAAACCCTGAGCTAGATACAGAGTGCTGATTGGTGTATTCACAATCCCTTAGCTAGACATAAAGGTTCTCCAAGTCCCCACCAGATCAGCTAGACACAGAGTGCTGATTGGTGCATTTACAAACCTTGAGCTAGACACAGGGTGCTGATTGGTGTATTTACAAACCCTGGGCTAGATACAGAGTGCTGATTGGTGTATTTACAATCCCTTAGCTAGACATAAAGGTTCTCCAAGTCCCTGCTAGACTCAGGAGCCCAGCTGGCTTCACCCAGTGGATCCTGCACTTGGGCCACAGGTGGAGCTGCCTGCCAGTCCCAAGCCTTGCACCCACACTCCCCAGCCCTTGGGCAGTCAATGGGACCAGGTGCCATGGAGCAGGGGGTGGGGCTCGTTGGGGAGGCTTGGGCTTCACAGGAGCCCAGGGAGTTTGGGGGAGGCTCAGGTATGGTGGGCTGCAGGTCCCGAGCCCTGCCCCGCAGGGAGGCAGCTAAGGCCCTGCAAGAAATCGAGCACAGTGCCAGTGGGCTGGCACTGCTGGGGGACCTGGCACACCCTCCGCAGCTGCTGGCCTGGGTGCTAAGCCCCTCACTGCCTGGGGCCAGCGGGGCCGGCTGGCCGCTCCGAGTGCAGGGCCGCAGAGCCCATGCCCCCAGAACTTGCGCTGGCCCACAGGCACTGCACTCAGCCCCAGTTCCTGCCCACACCTCTCCCTCCACACCTCCCCGCAAGCTGAAGGAGCCTGCTCCAGCCTCGACCAGCCCAGAAAGGGGCTCCCCCAGTGCAGTGTTGGGCTGAAGGGCTCCTCAAGCGTGGCCAGAGTGGTTGCTGAGGCCGAGGAGGCGCCGAGAGCAAGCGAGGGCTGCCAGCACGCTGTCACCTCTCAATATTTTCAGTTATTAAATTCCATAATACTTTTCTTTCTCTGTATTTTCCTTTTTCTTACTCTGGTTTTAGGAAGAAACTAGCTCTGTGTTCATTGTCTTAGAAAAATCTGATAGTATTACAGAAAAAAGATTTTTAAAAAACACTTCTATTTACAGTGTTTGTTTTTAAAATTCAAATTCCTAATTGTGGAGGGGGAGCACAAATGGGGGTAAGGTAGAGAGAAAAATGGTAGCATAGCTGGGGAATGAACACATCCTGAAATTCACAGAAAACTGTAGATAATGTGCTTCTTGTTTTACTATCATCACTCAACTTTTCAAGTCAGGGCTTCATCTTCAGCTGCTCTGCAACACCTTGTAATATTTGTCAAAGTCTCCTTTATGGAGATGGCTGAGGAAATGCTCACCAGGGATCATTCTCCACCTGTCTTTCATAATTCCTCACTTAACAGTCTCCAATGTTGTCTTGATGGTATTCCAGCTATATGAATCCGATTGATACTAAATTTTTCAAGATCTAATCTTTTCATAGGTATGCCAGATGTTGGTGCAAAAGGGTTTAAAACATTTTTTAAAAGCAATGGAATCTATAATTTTGTATCTGGTCAAATGTTTATTCAAATGTAAGTCATTAATAAAATTTTCTATTTTATAAAACTTATATTCAACTAATTTTTGAAATAAGTGTTGAAGTTAGAAGTTGAGTCAAATTCATGGATCTACAAGTGTCCAGGTGTTTCCCTAAACAACTCAGAATATATACCCAAAGGATTATAAAACATGCTGCTGTAAAGACACATGCACACGTATGTTTATTGCGGCACTATTCACAATAGCAAAGACTTGGAACCACCCCAAATGTCCAACAATGATAGACTGGATTAAGAAAATGTGGCGGCCGGGCGCGGTGGCTCACGCCTGTAATCCCAGCACTTTGGGAGGCCAAGGCGGGTGGATCATGAGGTCAGGAGATCGAGACCATCCTGGCTAACAAGGTGAAACCCCGTCTCTACTAAAAATACAAAAAATTAGCCGGGCGCGGTGGCGGGCGCCTGTAGTCCCAGCTACTCGGGAGGCTGAGGCAGGAGAATGGCGTGAACCCGGGAAGCGGAGCTTGCAGTGAGCCGAGATTGCGCCACTGCAGTCCGCAGTCCGGCCTGGGCGACAGAGCGAGACTCCGTCTCAAAAAAAAAAAAAAAAAAAGAAAAAGAAAATGTGGCACATATACACCATGAAATACTGTGCAGCATAAAAAATGATGAGTTCATGTCCTTTGTAGGGACATGGATGAAGCTGGAAACCATCATTCTCAGCAAACTATCACAAGGACAAAAAACCAAACACCGCATGTTCTCACTAATGGGTGGGAATTGAACAATGAGAACACATGGACACGGGAAGGGGAACTTCACACACCAGGCCCTGTTGTGGGGTGCGGGGAGGGGGAGGAGATATACCTAATGTTAAATGACGAGTTAATGGGTGCAGCACACCAACATGGCACATGTATACATATGTAACAAACCTGCACGTTGGGCACATGTACCCTAAAACTTAAAGTATAAAAAAAAAAAGTTCCTAGTTTTACGCTTCTAATTCCTTATAGAATATCATTCATTTAACCTGGTCACTGGCCTCTACTTTCATTAGTCAGCACCTGCCTCAAATGTCACTGATTTGCTTAATTTACTCCACTGTCTTCTCTGTGCTTACAAAGTCGTACCTCTAACAGTTTTTTTTTTTTTTACTGTGGATTATAGATTTGTTTATAGAGGCAGACCTTTGATGGATTGTTAGCGATTTATGAATATGTCATTTTTTTCATCCACAGCATAAGGCCAGAAACGTAGCTTACACTTCATGATTAAGCAAAAAGCATTTCCTAAGTGGTTACATAAATGTGCATAGTAACTTTTGTCTTGCATTTGTTTTGGATTTTACTCAATCTTCTGTTGTTTTTAAAATCTCTTAAACGTTTTTCTTCTTGAATTTCTCTGCTGAATGTGTGGAGAACAAAAATGAACAGTGAAAACATAACTGATAACTATGCCAGGAAAGTTTTCAAGAAATTTTGATGTAATAAATGACATTGTCGAAAGAGCCTGAAGTGCTTTTTAGAAAAGTATAGAACTCCAACTTACCTTGCAAATTTTTCTAATATTTTGTTAAATGGCTACTATTAAAACTATGCAGTTTATTAGCATATTTTATTTTGAGTAAATATTTTATTTTTTAGCATTATGGATTACATCGCAATCTATTGACCATTTAAAGCATTTGTGTGAATGTATGTGTTCTGAGCCTAACCCGTTTATTATACTATGCTGGGTGTCATATCGTTACATACAAAATATATTCATCCATTGGTCTTTAAAATATCACAAGATTATAAGGCCCTTAGAAGTAGTTTTAGAGGTATTTAGCTGTGTTTTCTACTTTAGAAAATATTCTGTAATCCTTTGGGCCCCATAAGCTAATAGTAACGTAATGTTTCAGGTTTAGTTAGCTACTAAGTTTAAGCTAACTAAAGTTTAGTTTAGACTTTCGTAATTTAGTTCTGCTAATATGTAATAAGTACTACTATGTGCCCAACATAATGGGAATATGTGAAGCATCATTCCATAGTTAAGAGCATGGACTCTGGAGCTACATTTTCTACACTGAATCCCAACATTTCCCCTCGTATTGCTATGATTTGGAGGGGAAATAACCTGCAAATTTTCTCATTCGAAAAATGGATAAAAACAACACCTAATTCATGTGGTTATGAGGATTAAATGAGTTGATACATATAGAGAAGAGTGTATTGCAAAAAATGGGCACAGGATATGAGTTAATTTTCGTTGTTTATTCTGCAGCTACTTACTGGATTTTATCTATGTGCAGGCCTTCTACTATGTTCTCAGATTCAAAAAGACTCAATGAATGACCTCTTGCTCACAACCTATCGAACTTCTTTTATTCAACATTTTCATCATCCCTACTTAATAAGGCTTCATATGACACTTCTTGTAAAATTCTAAACATTCTGTATTTAATTCTTCCTTTTTTAAAGCATTTAGCCATTACTGATAAAACTACAAATTGTGACAACATGAAGTTTTCTGAGATATATTTTGGTAGGAAAACCTGATCTTACCTGAACTGACATGAGGATAGCTAGGTTTCTTATTGATTTCACTCTTGTGAATACTCATATGTTTTGCTAAAGGAATACTATGTGTTTGATTACAGAGGATTTCTCCAGAATCTGCTGGGATGTGATATTTGGTACATGTTTGCTTTTGTATCTCTAAAATTTAAAAAAAATATATTTTACTTATTAATACATGTGGCCCTCAAGGCTATACATAAAGAATTGTGGAGGTGTATCTGAACTTATTGAGCAATTATTTTGTGCCAAACTGAAAATACAATAAGGCAAAATTTCAATATATTAGTAGCAAAAAAAAGAAATCAAATAAAATAATTATGGGTTGTGTTAACTGCCAGAGACAGAGAAGGATAGCTTTGGAGTACTTGAAATAGAAATGCCAGGGAAGACCTCACAGTAAGAATGAACTATGAATACTATATCAATAAGGAATATTTTCTCTGTTCACTGTCTTTAACCATAACAAAACTTACACTGAATGTAAAATTAAAAGAATGTGCATTTATCCTTAGTTAGGGGTGACATATCAGTTTGTCTTCATGGTAAGTGTACCTTCAAAAGGGGTACACATGATGGTCACATAGAGCTCCTATATTTACCTTACAAAGTCATAAATATTCAGCAGTGTATAAAAATGCATAAATTAAAATTTTAGGGCAATTTCCAAATTCAGTAAAACTCATTAAAACCAAAAGTTATTTAAATATTGAGAGAAATTGCATTAGGTGTACATAAATAGATAAGATCTATTATGATGATAGTATTCTGCCATTTCAAGGCTAAATAACATTCTTTTTCTTATGACTGCCAATTCTAATATGAGAATTGCTATTCAGATCATTAAATATATTTAAGCTAATTCAAATATTGCTCCATGTGATCAGTGCAATGGATTAGACCAAGGTGTTAATAAATGTGGTCACAGTTTTGATCTCAGATTTCTATAGGAGCCCACATTGCCACTCCCCACTACAAAAAATTACTGCACTGAAAGAGGTTGCTAGCAGAATGTAAGTACATTATATTTTCACAAAACAATTCATATATCTTTCTGCTAGTTGTACATAATGATGGTATTTTGATTTGATAATTCTGAATAATTCAAGGAAATTAAAGAAAATAAAGCTCTCAGATTATCAGATCACCTGATAACTTTCATTACATACACATACACACACACATAAATACAATAACTACCTGAGCCTATTTTGTTTTAGTGTAGGACTAAACACCTGATGTATGTCTGTAGAGATTTTTGTTCGTTTTCCTCACGGTAATGAATTTACAATGTTAGCTGCTTAACTTCAATGTATAAAGCATAATAGCATATATTTACATAACCTTTAATACGTACCACCACTTTTCCAAGTGTTTGAAGTATATTAATTATTATAAACCTTAGAGCTTCCCTAGGAGATAACTCCTCACAGCCTTGTTTTAATATTCGCTGTTTTAGGAATGAAAAATGAGGAAAAAGAAAGAATTTATGCAACTTGCTCCGGGTCACATCACATAAAAAAGCTGGAGCTGTACTCTGAGCCCTGAGGATCCAGTCCTAGACCCACATTTTTATGATGGTAATATACTACACAGGAAGTTTCCACCTCTGATTCTTAGTAAAAGTGTAGACATTAGCTATTCCTTTGTGTGTAAAACACAAATAAAATTGACCAAATTAGGTACGAAAAATGAGTGGATTTGCTTAGGTTATCTAATTTGTAATGTGAGGAGTTATTTTCCTAACATACCACTCAAATGCAACAGTGAATATTTTACTTGTCTTTCAAGCATCCCTTAGTCCTCTGTATTTTGCAGAAGTCATTCTTCTGGATAGATTAATGCTTTCCACAAAGTAGAGCTCTGATTGATATACATGAATGAGGTTAATGAAATCTCTATTATTACATATAGTCAAACTAGATCTAAAGTCATCAGTATCAAAGCATTTTACTATTCTTGACACATGGTATAGTATTATATATATACACTTACAAGCAGTATTTGCCTGGGGAACATTAAAATTCATTGTATGTTTCATCACAACCATCTTTAACAGGTGGCATATAAATTTTGAGTGACTCTCTGGAATGACAGACCCTCATGGACCTAGTTGAAGACATTTTTTCTGACCAATGAAAAATGGAACTTTTTTAAATGAACTATGAACCTGGTCTTCTTTTCTTGGCTAGTTGTAAATGAGGGCTTATTTCCTGAGATTACAGATGGTAGCCATCTAGTACTGTGAGGGCAAACAACCTTAGAATAAGATAATGTAGTTTCCAAGCCAGAAAGAAATGAAAACTTCGAGGCCTGGCACGGTGGCTCATGACTGTGTTCCCGGTACCTTCAGAGGCTGAGGTGGGTGGATCATTTGAGTCGAGGAGTTCAAGATCAGCCTGGGCAACATGGTGAAACCCCGTTTTTATAAAAAATACAAAAATTAGCTGGGTGTGGTGGTATGTGCCTGTGTTACTCAGGAAGCTGAGGTGGGAGGATGACTTTAGCCTGGGAGGTCAAGACTGCAGTGAGCTGAGATCTGCACTTCAGCCTGAGCGATAGAGTGAGACCCCATCTCAAAAACAATTTTTTTTAATGGAAACTCTGATGTTATTGAGCCACAGGTTTTACTCGTTCTGCATATACACCAACTCTAGATTTTCTAGCAGCACCATCCTAATTTCCTCACCGTAATAATCATTTGACTTACCAGAAACAGTCATAACTGATCCAGATGCCAATTCATCTAATTAACTTCAAGAGATTCATATTTATTCTAGCCAAATTGAAATAGAATATGTTTTTAAATTTTGAAACAAATGAACTTTATTTTCTCAGAATGTAAAGATTAAGAATGGATACATCTTTGCATGGAATGAAGTAATCCAATTTAATGGCTACATTCCACAAAGTCCATGGCAAAATTGACTTATTCTTTGTAATCCGTCTGTGCAGAGGAGATGATTCTGGATAATCTACGTGAAAGTGCCAAACGTGCTCATTACAATCTGGAGTATCAGATAATTAAAGTTAGCTTATTCAAATGTGAATCAGAAATGCATATTCCAAAGTTATATATGAATAAGTTCTGAAATATAAACTATATTTTTACTATACATGCCATTATTTTCCTTTACTAAATGGGATAAGCTGGAGTCTCTGATACATAAATGCTAATCAATGTGATTAGTATTTGAGTGTCCTTTGTGGATACTGCAGTTGCATATTTTACAAATTAGCTTCTTAGTTTTAAATCCTCTTAGTGCCTTGTTTTGCATTCTATTTCATGTATACCCAGAAGTACTAAGAGGTGGAGAATGAGGGATATGCTGTAAATGTTACTTTAATAAAAAGCACAGGACTTGGAGTCCTGCAATTGTTCTATCAACCAGTAGTTGAGTGTCACTGATCAAAACATTTAACTTATATACTTTCCTCTGCTATGAATTAGGACTATAACAAAAATTGCCCTATTCATGTCTTGGTGCTACAATGTTAACTACAGCATAGGTGTAAGTGCATTGTAAGTTGCAAAGTATTAAGCACACATGAAGTGGAGTTGAATCAATTTATAACTTCAAGAATCAGATCCCCTAATTTATCATCAAATGCTTCACTAACTCCATAAATAAAATTAGTCTAATTTTAAATGCATTTAGTGGCATTATACAGGATTTTGTAATATATAATGTCATTTTGATTGTATATTATTTATTCTTCCTTTCTAACCCAAATCAAACATTTTCTATATTTTTATTGCCTTACCGAGCATTTCATTTAGGCCAATTGGGAAGACAAAACATATGAATACTCATTTCTTGCCACAAGTAACCTAATACTCCGCTTATTTTGCTGTAAGAAATCAAGTCAATGACTAGATACTCTAGACACAATCAGTGTTGTGTAATGAGGACACTTGATCAGAGAAAATTAAACAATTATATTTATATATTTATATATATTTATATATAATACATCCTTTTTGTCTATCTTACAAAGTTTTACTGACTACATTGAGGCAATCAACTTCACTTCTAAATCTTAACAACTAAAAAAAAAGAAGATAGAAAAATAAAGCAAAGCAGTATGATTTCAAGACAGCAGAATTTCAATATTTTCATCATCACTACTGTGTGACTCTTCTATTTTTTAAAAATAGGAGTTAGGCAGACAATGGATCAGAAAGTAATTTGAATGGATTCATATGAAAGTTTCTATCCAGTATCAACAAATGATTTCTAAACTTTGCCTGAGTTATAAATGACACCTTGATTTGAATGAAGCACAGCAATTATACATAACTGCTTCAACAAACCAAAATTAAGTCATTTTTGTCCTCTTTTGTGTGGTTACCAGAGGAAAACTCAGGCAAAGTAAACTGAGAGAAAGAGAAGCTGGTTTATCCTGGGTTTTCCTTTAGACAACCCATACCAATATTCTTTCTATCAACATCCCATTGTCAAATGGAAACTCTTAGCTACCTCTTCAGCTTAGTGTGAAGTCGTTTTTCCCGTGCTAGTCTCGGAACTTAACTTCAAAACTGGACATAAATCAAGAAATTCTGTAACTAAAATACATGGTACACAACAATTCTCAGTATATTTGAGCATAAGCCAATACAAATTGCTAAAGGATTAAGTTCCCCCAAATAAAAACAGATGTGTACATATATTTGATATACTGAGAGTAGAAACAAGGAATTGATGCAGATGTAATGCAACATATATATATATATCTACTTTTAAAAAGCAGTATTGGTAGATTGGTATAATTGGAATTAGATCTTCCTTTTCTGTTATATTATTATTCTGGAATAATAGAAAAGCAAGATAATTTATACCCTAAACAAAACTTCCGAATTTCTTAAAACTGCCTTATGAAAGAAACTGCATTTTATCCATCCTTTGATGTCTCTAAAGAACAATTACTATGAACTGTGAAAATCTTTATTTGACAAAAATATTTATTGTTCTTATAATGTATGCTAGAAAATAGCGTATAACAATAAATTAGAAATGCAGCTGGTCTCCAAGTAAACTCATATATCATGCAAAAAAGCTTTTATATTTCTAAAAATTTCAGTAGAAAATATCAAAGAAGCAATAAAAAATCTACTAATATATTTCACTCTTCTACTTTCTTTTTGTACTGAGAAGAAAAATGATTTAATGTTTGTACAAGTGCTTGGTAAACAATAATATTACCAGTTAAGTATTTTTATTACTTATGAATAGGGGAATCTAAACAAATATTTTGGAACAGCCATTAAATGGTAAATTATATATGAAAAGATTAAAATGTGGTCTCAAATATTTCTCTCTGAATAGAATACTGAATTAATCATACATTACTTCATATGATGGGAAAGTGGCTAGAGTTGTATGAGATGTGATGATCAGTTAACACCATTCTTTCCAGAATTTTAAATTTTCTGATAGCATATATTTAATATTCTTTCATTTCCTTTCAGGAGTCTTATTTTTTGCAAATCAAGTTGCCATAGCTTGGAAGTTTGTGCCCCCAAATCTCATGTTGAAATTTAATCCCCAGTGTTGAAGGTGGGATGGAATGGGAGGTGTTTTTATAATGGGGGCAATCCTTCATGAATAGTTAGGTGCTATCCTCTTGGTAATTAGGGAGTTCTTGCTCTATTAGTTCATGTAAGAGCCAGCTACTAAAAAGAACAGGGCACCTCCACCTTCTCTCTCTTGCTTCCTCTCTCAACACATGTTCTCTGCACATGCCTATTACCATTCACTATCTACTGTGAGTAGAAGCAGCCTGAAGCCCTCACTAGAAGCAGATGCGAGTGGCATGCTTCTTTTCTGATTTTTATGTAACTACTATTCCTATCTATAACCTTCTAATATTTGTATCCTTTCAAGTAATTTATTGTCTGTAATTGATGTGTTTATTTGGATTCTTTCACTATTTTTCTCTTAACATAATTTATTCACTCTGTATACTCAACTCATGCTCTACTCCAAAATCATTCTTTAATTTTAACACTAATAACTATTTCTTATTTAATTAACTATAGTTGTTTGTAGTGTTGATTGTCAGTTTTATGGTGAATCACTTTATTCCCTATCTGTCACCTTTCTTCTTTACAGGTTTACTTTTTATTTAAATAACCCTATGCAGTTTATGTTTTTGAATTTCTTCATATTTTTAAGTTCACTTTTGCTTCCAGTACCTATTTTAATTATGCTATCATACATTAATTAACATTATTTTAGTTGTAATTAACTGAAACCAAACTGGTTAACATGGTAAAAGTAGATTTATTAGAAAGATATTTGCATTTCTTCTTCATGCCAATGCATGTAACATAATACAGCTACAATTTTAAAGTGAAGGAGTGAAATAAAAAAATGACTGGGAAAATCAATTAAGGCCAGCAATGAAAAGGAAATATTAAGGGGATATTAACTTCCTCCTGATCTTCCATCTCCACTAGTAAAAACAGCATTGCTGTATCATGTCATAAAATAGAGTTATAACCCTATGTTTAAAGTGTACAGAATTATGTTTCTTGCATGTCTTCTTTGTCAATTCTCTTACCTTCTTCCAGTGTTTTTCAATATTTGTCACTTGTCCTGTTGTGTCTCTACATTCATTCTCAGTCAATTGAGAATTTTACTTCAAATGTGCTGATACAAAGTGGGCACACAAAACCAAACAGACAAAAAAGACTCTGAGTACGTTTAAATAGTTTAAATAGTTCAGAGTTTTGACAAGGAGAACATTTTTCTTAAAACTATTTACTTTCTTACTTCTAGTTTCTGAGTTATGTTTTAATATTTGAGATTGTTGACAATTTGACTACTAAGAAATTGATGCTATATAATCTTTTCAATTTTATTTGTACTAACGAATCACATAGATCTTAAAAGGTTTTCTTCTGATTCAAACTCTCACATTGAGAAAACAATGACATTTCACTGTGAAGCATCAAAAAGAGGCACTTTAAATGTGTGTGTGTGTGTGTGTGTGTGTGTGTGTGTGTGTGTAGAGAGAGAGAGATTCCAGATAAAGAGACAAAAAAAAGCTTTTTCTAGAGCCAAAAGGGTAGAAGTCATGTATTAATGAGGAGAGCAGTAAATAAACTGTTAATGCGAATCCAGGAAGGTGAGCCAGGGCTTCCAGAAGGCCATGCTAGAGTGAAGAGAGTAAGTGGGTAGAAAACCTGGGCTGCTTGCCTCAAGTGGAATAATACTAAAGGACCATCTCAGTTCCAGAGTTGCATATGGGTTCAGGTAAGACTCCTGCTGCAATTTCAAAGCAGTTAAAACTCTCCTTATATCTTTCAAATACTGACAGAAGAAAAACTGCCAATCTAGAATTCTATATACAGTGATTATTTTAAAAAAGAAAAAAAGAAGGGATCTCATGCCTGTAATTCCAGCAATTTGGGGGAGGCCAAGGTGGGCAGATCATGAGGTCAGGAGATCAAGACCATCCTGGCTAACACGGTGAAACCCCGTCTCAACTAAAAATACAAAAAATTAGCCAGGCATGGTGGCAGGTGCCTGTAGTCCCAGCTACTCAGGAGGCTGAGGCAGGAGAATGGCATGAACCCGGGAGGTGGAGCTTGCAGTGAGCCAAGATTGCGCCACTGCACTCCAGCCTGGGCGACAGAGTGAGACTCCGTCTCAACAACAAAAACAACAACAAAAAAAAAAAAAAAAAGAAGGGATCAACACTCTCATCTTATTTTTCTGAACTCTGCATATCAGAAAAGACTCAAAAACACTCAACTAAAAATGAAAGATCAACTGAGATAAAAATTGCTATACTGAACATGCTAGATAATGGACAAAAGCAGGCCAAGTGTGGTGAAGTGTACACCCTGGCTTGGAGGAAGTTAAACATGGAGCTCTACACAGCTTTTACTCTGGGGTTAAGTAAAGTTTATGTAGCAAGCACCATAGTCTCAATATAAAGGTGGAAAAACCAACAGATATACTGGTCTGGAGAATCAGAAAACTATAGGCAGTTCACCACAAATGCTGGAAAATTATTGAGATGTCCCAGAGAATAAAAGCTGAAAAGGGCATTATTCATCTCTGTCATTCCACATCCTGACAGACTCTCAAACGATGCATATGCAGAATAGACACAAAGCAACTCAGCTGGAAAGGAAGAAAAAAAAAAGTTCTGAACTGAGGCAGAGTTGCTGCCTCAAATGACTTTTCAGGTTAAGCCTAGTGAAGAAAAGTACATGCTAAAATAAATAAAAATAACACTCATTGCCTGAACATAGTAGGCTTCAGAGTTCCCACAATTTAACATGTATATGTCCAGGATATCATCCAAAACTACCCAACATACAGACAGAATGCGGTAGGTGTTAGTGGGCTAACATTAAATGGACAAAATAAAAGCCTCAAAATCAGCTGTTATGCTAGACCTAGTGTTTTACTAGAGCAGATCAACACAGTTTCTGGAACTTGATATGTGCAGTTCTCATAAATCTTGATCAGGACAGGTGATCAAAACCAGTTCACATTCACTTGGGTATGACAGCAATTTATATTCACAATTTGCCACAGAGCTGTGTTAACATTCATGCTATCGTAAAACAGGCTCAAGAATTCCTGATTGCCTTAGTATTTCACAGCATATTCAGGTGTCCGACTACACTGAAGACATCATGCTAATCAGACCTGCTAAGCAGGGAGCCCCAAGCAATCCTGATGCCCTTGACACATGAATATGAGAAGGCGAGAGAAAAAGTCTAAATTTTACATGTATGCCACATCAGTGTAGGTTTTAGGGTTAAAATTTAGGACATGACAAGACATTCTAATAAGGTAGAGAAAAATTATAGTGCCTTATACCTCCACCACTAAAATAGTGGCACACCACTCATTGGACTTTTTTTTCCCTGCATTTAGGAGAGAATATATACCACATTTGGAAATACTTCTCTAACCCATTGTCTAATGATGACTCAAAAAACTGCTAGCTTTGAAAAGAGAACAGAATGAAAGAGGATTCTGCCACAGGCCTAGGCTTTGGTTAGTCTATCCTACCACTAGGGCAATATGAACGATTAAATCCAGTGGTGGTGGAGATAGTCATTGAACTAAATATAAATATTCTGTTCCTGGGAAGCCCCAAAGGAGAGTTCTGGGTTCTGGAGAAATGCCATGCTTTCTGTAGCTGAAAATGACTCATCATTGGAAAAGCAGCTACTAGCTTGATACTAACTCCTAGTAGATACTAAATGCCTGACCATGGGAGATAAGTGACTGTGTAATTAGAATTGTCTATCAGAAACTTGGTGTTGTCAGAACAATCAAGCCTTAAGGTCTGGGCAATGCAGTTACAATCTGTTGTGCTATGAAAATGATATACGTGGACCTGAACAGATCCAGAAGGCACACTAAATGCTTCACAAAAGGTGGCAACGAATCCCATTATACTTATCTTTGATGCAACATTGCCTGTCTCACAGCTTACATTCTATGTCCTGTTAAAAAAAGACCTTGTGATCTGCAGAGGAAAAAGGGAGAGCTTTATATATATATATATATATATATATATATATATATATATGCAGGTATCTTCGGAACAGGGAGGCACAGCCTTCAGTATGAGTGAAAGTGTGCTCTCCAAAGAACAAAGGAAAGGTTTGACTTAAGAAAGGAAAGTTCTGGTCCAGGTTCCCAATCAGATTCGTTTATGCAAATAAAAGAGTCAAGCTTGTTCAATTCTGATTGATCACGATAGCTGAGCCATAATTGGATGACTTCCCAAGGTCAAAACCAGAAGTCTCTGTCAGATGGACGTTTTTCCCAAATGGCCAGTGAACGGGTGTCTCTGACTTCAGCTTTTCTTTGTTCCAGTCATAGGAACTGTTCTGGCTCAAGGGCTTAAAGCAGGATGTTTATCAAGAGCTGCCTTTTCTTGGAACAAAGAGGGCATAATCACTTGTTCTCACCCTACCATAGCTGCTTGGTTCGGTTATGTAAATTTAAGCATCTCTATTAGCCACAGAGAGTTCATCTTGTCTGAACAGCATGTGGTCTTATTGACAGTTGCATTTCCATTTCTCTCTTCTGGTCCAAACCTGCAATAGGCAGCATTAATTACCAATTTATAATGTTGCATTTTGTCCCACATCATTGTCAGGACTGGTGTGGCTACTTTCCCTGGGTCCATCTAGTCCCTCAGTGGGACTTATGTGGCTGATATTTACACCCATTTTTTAACAACCTGTGCTAGACAAGGTAGAAAAGGTGAGGAGGTAGAAAAGGTGAGGAGGTACCTGTTAAATGTCTAAGAGCTTTTCTTGTTGGAGTTTTGTGGAGGCGTCAGAAACTGGACAAAGCCCGCAGGTGTTGAGCTATCATAATTTGGGCTAGGGACTGGCTAAGGCATCTGGTTAAACAAACAAGAATCAATTTTAAATAGACCCAAATACTTAGACTCAACATAAATAAAACCATTAAAAACTGAAGGGTAGAATAAAGACAGAAGCCAATGCTGGAGGAGAGTGTGGGGAGAAGAAGTGCAATCAGGATGAGTACTTATAGCTTTGCACAGCCTAGAGTTGTCTACATATGGGAATACAGGGGGCTACTCTAGCATGACATAGAGCATCTAGAATACAAAGGATCCCTAAAGCTATGACAACCAAGTCAATAATGAGGAAAAGATGAGAGCTGAGCATGCACATTAATCTCACACCTAAAAAAAGAGGTATTTTTACAGGCCTGGTCTGATGGGTCGGCTGTCAACTACAGGTGCCATCTTCTTCTTGGCCCAGTGATAGGACTTTGATCAACTCAAGTTTGGTGTAAGATACCGGTGTTGATGTCCAAAATTCATTAAGGGCTGATGCCTTCTTTAGGTGGAATATATGTATCCAAGAGTCGACACCCTGTAACTTGGCAGTGTGAGGGTTGATTAACAGTACCTGGAAAAGATTCTTCCAATAGGGTCTGAGGAAGTCTTTTAGCTAATGTCTTAACCAGTACACAGAATCACTTGGCTAGACATGATTTAATAATATAAACTCACCAGTTTATAAAAGACAGTTGTATTCAAACTTTTTTCCTGACGAAATGCAATAAGGCCAAACTTTAAGATTTTTTTTAATTGGGCAATCTTATAAAGGCTGTGAACCAGATTTGAAGTATAGCATTTTCAGTCAGTAACCGATATACTAAATTGGACAAAGAATAGTTAAGTGTAAAAATGTGACTGAATTATGTGAGGAGGCCCAAAAGATAATTTATTCTAAAGGTTTTGTACAGATTTTTCTTGGTATCAATTTTTTGTCCTTGAATACAAAAATGCCACCATTTATTTTAGTATAGGGAGGAAGTCCTTTCCAAGGGAATTTCATCTTTTCTGGCTTTCAAATGTTTTTACAAATAGTATGTCAGAATAGCTAAGGAATGTTGGAGGAGTTTTGGACAAAGGGAGCTTAGCTAAGAGAAAGACAAAGGGAAAGAATTGTAAAAAGGGAAGGAAAGAGTTCCAAAGAGAAAAGAGTTTCAGCTAGCTTTGGGACAGTATTTTATAGAAAGGCAATCTTTCAGTCTCAAATGGTTCTTCTTTTTTTTTAGCCTCAAGATATCAAATGTATATATGTATATATCTTATTTGGAATGTATGATTTTATAGCCATGGTCTTTTAATTTAGTTTTAAGGACAACAGACTGTTTGAAATATCCTGATAACGTCTGAACATGTTACCAGCTGGAGTCTCAGAAAATATCTTGGCATGCCTTTGATCTTTCTTGGTTTAATTTTATCCAAAGTCTTAAATAGGCACAGGGATTTTCCCCATAATTTTAAATATGAAGGCAGCTGGAGTACCGGAAGGCAGTTGGTCAGAAACCCCTCTCTTTAGAATAGGGGTTACCCATAGCACTCACCTAATGAAGGCATCCCTTCAAGTGCAGTCAGTGTGGGCATCCCCACAGAACATCAAATGTGAGCATACCCCATGAAGCACAAGTGTATCCTGCAAAATGTGAGCATACCCCAAAAGGTGTGAGCCTACCCCCACCCATGGGGCACACGGAGCCAAATGACATGGATTGGCTCCCCGAAGAAAGTAAAGTCTCCAAGACTTCAACCCAAAAATGGGAGACCTTCGATCCAAGAGGGCTTACTTGATTCTCCTCAACACAGATGAGAAGATAACTGAGCTCAAGGGGCTCTTGTAGGCCTGATGCATTTGTCTAGACAGCACTGGGAAGGTGCTTGGGGGACACTTCAGATTCCATCCACATCACCAAAAAATGTTTAAAAAATACCATGAGATCTGCAAAGGAAAAGGGGAGAGCTTTATTTTCTGTATATAAACAAAATAATGTGCAGATTAGGGAGGCATAGCTTCCCAAGTGAAAAGGAAAGTGCTCTCCAAAGAGCAAAGGAAGAGTTTGGTTCAAGTAGGGAAAGTTCCAGCCCTGGTTCTCAATTATGTCCATTTATGCAAACAAATAATTCAAGCTTGTTTAGTTCTGATTGGTGGAGATAGTAGAGCCCTGATGGATGGCTTCCCAAGCGTAAAGTAGAATGTTTCAAAAGCCACCTTTGCTATAGTTGCTTGGTTCTGTTATCTAAATTTGGTCATCTCTATTAACCACAGGGTGTCCATCTCATCTGGTAAGTTTGGAGTCTTATTTACTGTTTCATTTCACAGGACTCACACCTGATTTGATTAGCTGATGAAAGAGAAAACAAAACAAAAAACGGCCTGATTCACAAACGGGTCAGTTCAGTATGTTTGTGCAAGGCATTGTATTATATTATAGCCCCACCCAGTGTGGTATAAAGGATAGTGATGAGAAAATATTCTCTCAGGCAGAATTTTGGGTAGTACAAATGATTATCTCCTCTGTATGAATAGAAAAGGATTGAGGTAAAGAATGCATAAAATCTGGAAGATTATTAGACGGTTTTTTAATGGTTAGTGCCTAGAAGGAAAAAAATGAGTCAGAGACAGACAAGGAGGTTTGTGGAAATGGCTACAGACAGGCTTGTGGGAATGTCATTAAACTACACAGCTCTTTATGTCTCATGTCAAAGTACACTAGAAAACATTTGCTACAGAGGAATCACTAAAACTAATCATTTTAGAGCTAAAGAAATAAATTAGTTTCTAAAAATTTATAAATTTTGAAGTAGTTTAATAAAAAATTAAAAATACAAATGAAACTTTATTCAATTATCGAGTTAAACATAAAAATTACTATACATTAATGTATTTACTTTTGTTTTCTTTTTTTAATCATGATCCTTTTTTCCAATTGGCAAAAATTGACTTCTTTTTTAAAATGAAAAAATAGAAAAAAAATCAATTATATTTAAATTTCTTAACAGGCACAGTTTTGGAAAAGGAGTACGTGCAAAATATTTAAACTTACATGTTTCTTCCAGACCATAGTTGTTATCTGCTTTTCTGAAATCAAGTAACAACAAAATAATTTATTTTACCCTTGCATGAAAGAAACAGCATTTAAATTATTGGTTTCAAGCCACAAATCAATTATTGTCAATGACAGGCATTACCAATTAGCAAAATAGTTTTAGGAGGTCACATGCAGTAAACATTCCCACATTAGTACTTTCATTCACTAAATTCAATAAAACTTTAACCAATTGAAATGATCACTATGGGGATAAGGTTTGGAGTTTGTGGATTTTACTAGGAAAATTGTTATTGTTTTTGAAAATGATTAAGTATAGCAGAAATTTAATCACCACATAAAGTTAACTGAAAAAGATAATCCAAGATATCTAACTGTGTTAGGGCATTTTCTGTTGCTATAACAGATACCACAGACTGGGTAATTTTAAAAGGAATTATTCAGCTCAGTGTTCTGGAGGCTGGGAGATTCAAGAGATGGGAGTCCATCATCCCATGGTGAAGAAGAAGAGCAGAATGGTAACATAATATTTGTGTGTGAAAGAGATGGCTTTTAAAACAAGTCCAATCCCATGATATCAATATTAATCCGTACATGATGGTGGAGTTCCCAAAATCTAAAAAAAAAATGAAAAAGTATATGACATCTTAAAGGCCCCACCTTTTAATACTGTTGCAACAGCATTCATTTCAACGTGTTTTGGAAAGAACATTTAAACCATAGTGTTCTGACACTGGCCCCACAAAATTTATAGCCTTCTTAACATACAAAATACATGTATTCCATCTCAATACCCTCAAAAGTCTTAATATAGTCAAGTGCCAACTCTAAAGTGCAAAGTCTAGAGTCTCATCTAAATCATATATGGGCGAGACTTAAGGTATGATTTACCTTGGGGTAAATATCTTATAAGTGTAAGCCTGTGAAATGTTATTTACTTGCACAATGCAATGCTAGGAAAAGGAATAGGATAGACATTCCCATTTCAAAGGGGAGAAATAGGTAAGACTGCAGGTGTTACTGGTCCCAATTAAATCCAAAACCTAACAGAGAGAACAACAACATTCAGTCTTAAAGCTGAGAATAACCTTCTTTGACTCTGTGTGCCACTTCCCAGATACACTGGAGTAGAGATTGAGCCCCCAAAGCCTCTGGCCACTCTGCTTCATAGCTCTGCTAGGCTCAGTCCATGAAGCAGCTCTCACAAGTTGTAATTGTGGGCCTGTAGCTCTCCCAGGCTGGAGTTGCACACTAGTAGCTCTACATTTTTGGAGCCTCAGCAGTGTCCATAAATCCAGTTGGCATTGCCCTGGAGCAAAGACCATTCTTACTATCAAGTAGAAAAAACTTTGGCTGAATTGTGTCTATGTCCTGTATTTTATGGTATGCAGAAATTAAGAGTGATAAACTAGGATATCTGGTGAAAGAAATATCTAAACAGCAAAGTATTCAGTCTGCTGCTTGGTTTCATTTAACTGTATATGTGAGATATAACAGCAAATAAATAACTTACAGATGGAATTTATAATTAAAAGGAAAGCAGAAGAAAAAGATTTGGAAACTTTCCAGCCTGGCCACGTAAATAGTGAGAAACTGTTTAAAAGAAAATATTAAGGGTGTGTTATCAAGTTTATGTCTATAAGTAATTCGGGGGATTCACTTTAATTTTCTTTTATTAAAAAATGTTACCCTACCAGCTTTTTGTGTTTGTTCATATTATTTTCATGTTGATTTTCTTTTTTGGCCATTACAAATTTTAAAATGTTTCTTCTTATTTGAGGTATATATCTTTTAAGCAACATGTATCTGGATTACTTTAAAATTTCAAGTTGTATCTTAAATGAGTTTTCATTTGCCTTTCTTATGATTATTTATATTTTTATCTATTTATTTTAACTTTTTATTTTATTAAATTTTAACTTTTATTTTAGATTCAGGGGATATATGCGCAGATTTGTTACATGGGTCAGTTGTGCGATGCTCAGGTTTGGAGTACAATTGATCCCATCACCCAGGTAGTGAGCATAGTACCCAATAGTTAGTTTTTCAAATCTCAACCCCCTTCCGCCCTCCTCTTGGTAGTAGTCCCCAGTGCCTACTGTTGCTATCTTTATGTCTATGTGTACCCAATGTTTAGCTCCCACTTATAAGTGAGAACATGTGGAATTTGGTTTTCTGTTTCTATGTTAATTTGCCTAGGGTAATGGCCTCCAGCTGCATCCATGTTGTGGCATAGGACATGATTTTCATTCTTTTTTATGGATGCATAGTATTCTCTGGTGTATATGTACCACATTTTCTTTCTCCAATCCATCGTTGAAGGACACCTAGGTTGATTTCATGTTTTTGCTCTTGTTAATAGTCCTTCCATGAACATAGGAGTACATATGTCTTTTTGGTAGAATTCTTTATTTTCTTTTGGATACATAGTCAGTAATGGGATTTCTGGGTCAAATGGTAACTCTGTTTTAATTTCTTTGAGAAATTTGCAGACTACTTTCCACAGTGGCTAAACTAATTTTCATTCCCACTAATAGTATATAAATGTACTCTTTTTTCTACAACCTCACCAGTGTCTTTTTTTCTTCTTACTTTTTAATAATAGTCATTGTGACTGGTGTGAGACAGTATTTCACTTTGGTTTTGATTTGCATTTCTCTCATTAGTGATGTTGAGCATTTTCTCGTATGTCTGTTGGCCACTCCTCTTTTGAGAAGTGTGTGTTCATGTATTTTTCCCACTTCTTAATGGAATTATTTGCTTTTTGCTTGTTGAAGTGTTTGTTTCTTGTAGATTCTAAATATTAGACCTCTGTCGGGTGCCTAGTTTGCTAATATTTTTTCCCATTCTATAGGTGTCTGTTTACTCTGTTGATAGTTTCTTTTGCAGTGCAGAAACTCTTTTTATTTCAATTAAGTCTCACTTTGTCAATTTTTGTTTTTGTTGCAATTGTTTTTCAGGGCTCGGTAATACATTCTTTCCCAAGGCTGATATCCACAATGGTGTTTCCTAGGTTTTCTTCTAATATTCTTAGAGCTTGATGTCTTATATTTAAAACTTCAAGCCATATTGAGTTAACTTATGTATATGGTGAAAGGTAGGGGTCCAGTTTCATTCTTCTGCATATGGCTTGCCAGCCACCCCAGCACTGCTTATTGAATATGGAGTCCTTTCTCCATTGATTACTGTTGTAGACTTTGTCAAAGATCAGATGGCTTTAGGTGTGTGGCTTTGTTTCTGAGTTCTCTATTGTAATGATTATTTAAATGTTTAGAAATATTGTCAGGATTCTTTATTTCACATTTTCTGTATACTATTTTAAAAATCATCTTGCTATATTATGTTTTCCCTTTAATAGATAGATATTTCTGTTTTTTATTTTATTTCTCTGTAGAATTTGAAGTAAGAGATTTCTGTTTGATTATTGGTTATATTTGCATTTTTATGTTTATATTGCTTTATACATTGAATAATCAAATTATGTTATTTATATTTGCTATACAATTTCTAAGCAAAATAATTTGGTGTCACAATAACTTTATTATAAGAGATCTCTTTCCTGTGGAAAGCATATAGATACCCTTTCTGGCCATACTGTGTTTTAATTTTACTGGATGTGTCCATATCTGAATTGATTACTGTTATTTATTTTGAAGTCATTCTTATTAATAAAAATTTCCGCAATTATCTCTTCAAATGCTATGTTTAAGCCATTCCTTTTTTCTTCTTCTGAAACTCCAGTTTGACAATTATTTAAACCTCTCAATCTATCTTTTAAATCTCCCAACTGCTCCTTTATTTATTCTACTTTTATTTTTTAATCTATGATCATGTTTAATTTAGAAATGAGGCACAAAAAGAAATTAACAACAATAAATAAAAATAAAAAAAGAACAAGAGCAATTGTAACAATGTACTGTAATCAAAGCTATGTGAATATGGGCAAAGCATTTGTAAACAAAGTTAAAGACTACCTACAAGCTGGGAGAAATGTTTGTAACATGTTAACCTACAAAATATTCTCATTCCGAATATTTACAGTTTATACAAAGTCATAAGCAAAATGTGAACAACCTGATAGAAAAATGGGCAAGGACTATCAATAAGCAACTCACAGAAATATAATACAAAATAATAAACATATAAAAATATTTTCTTTTTCTAACTTTCATTTTGAGGTCGAGGGGTACATGTGCAGGTTTGTTATATAGGTAAACGTGTGTCATGGGGGACTGTTGTACAGATTATTATGGCACCCAGATGCTAAACTTTGTAACCAATAGTTATTTTTTCTGCCCCTCTCCCTCCTCCTAACTTCCATCCTCAACCAGTGTTTGTTGTTCTTTTCTTTGTGTCCATGAGTTATTATCATTTAGCTTCCACTTGTAAGTCAGAACATGTGGCATACGGTTTTGTGTTTCTGCATTAATTTGCGGAGGATAATAGCCTCCAGCTCCATCCATGTTTTCCCCAAAAGACATGCTCTCGTTGTTTTGTGTGGCTACCTAGTATTCTGTGGGGTATATGTACCATATTTTCTTTATCCAGTCTTTCACTTACGGGCATTTAGGTTGATTTCGTATCTTTGCTATTGTAAATAGTACTGCAATGAACATTCACATGCATGTCTTCATGGTGGAATGACATATTCCTCTGGGAATATACCTAGTAATGGAATTGTTGGGCTGAATTGTAGTTCTGGTTTTAGTGCTTTGAGCAATCATCACACTGCTTTCCACAATGGTTGAACTAATTTGTACTCCCACCAATAGTGTATGTGTTCCCTTTTCTCCACAACCTCACCGGTATGTGTTGTTTTTTTTTTTGACTTTTTAATCATAACTCTTCTGACTACTATGAGATGGTATCTCATTGTGGTTTTTATTTGCATTTATATAATAATCAGTGATGTTAAGCTATTTTTCAGATGCTTGTTGGCCAATTGTATGCCTTCATTTGAAAGTGTCTGTTTATGTCCTTTGCCCACTTTTTAATGTGGTTGTTTATTTTTTTCTTGTAAATTTGTTTTAAGTTCCATATAGATGCTGGATATTAGACATTTGTCAGATGCCTAGTTTGCAAAAATTTTCTTCCAATCTGTAGGTTATCTGTTTACACTGTTGTTATTTTCTTTTGCTGCACAGAAACTCTTAAATTTAATTCGATCCAACTTGTCAATTCTGCTTTTGTTGCAATTGCTTTTGGCATCTTTGTCATGAAATCTTTGCACATTCCTATGTCCAGAAGGGTATTGCTTAGATTGCCTTCCAGGGTTTTTATAGTTTGGGGTTTTACATTTGAGTCTTTTATCTATTTTGAGTTGATTTTTGTATATGGTGTAAGGAAGGATTCCAGTTTCAATCTTCTGCATATTGCCTGCCAGTTATCCCAGCACCATTTATTGAATAGGGAATTCTTTATCCATTGCTTATTTTTGTTAACCCTGTTGATTAGATGGTTGTAGGTATGTGGCCTTCTCTCTGGGCTTTCTATTCTGTTTGATTGGTCTGTGCGTCTGGTTTTATACCACTATCATGCTGTTTTGGTGATTGTAGCCTTGTAGTATAATTTGAAGTTGGGTAACACGTTGCCTCCAGCTTTGTTCTTTTTGCTTAGAATTGCCTTGGCTATTCAGGCTCTTTTTTGGTTCTATATACATTTAAATATAGTTTTTCTAGTTCTGTGAAGAATGTCATTTGCAGTTTGATAGTGATAGCATTGAATCGGTAAATTGCTTTGGACAGTGTGGCCATTTTAATGATATTGATTCTTCCTATTCATGAGCATGGGATGTTTTACCATTTGTTTGTATAATCTCTCATTTCTTTGAGCAGTGTTTTGTAGCTCTCATTGTAGAGAACTTTCACCTTTCTGGTGTACTGTATTCCTAGGTATTTTATTATTTTTTGTGGCAGTTGTGAATGGGCTTGCATTCTTGATTTGGCTCTTGGTTTTGCTGATCTTGATGTACAGGAATACTAGTAATTTTTGTATGTTGATTTTGTATCTGGAAACTTTGCTGAAGTTGTTTATCAGCTAAAGGAGCTCTTGAGAATATATCCAGTTTTTGTCCATTAAGTATGATGTTGGCTGTGGCTTTGCCATAGATAACTCTTATTATTTTTAGGTATGTTCCTTCAATACCTAGTTTATTGAGAGTTTTTAACATGAAGAGATGCTGAATTATATCAAAAGATTCTACAGAACCTATTGAGATGATCATGTGTTTTTTTGTCTTTAGTTCTATTTATATGATGAATCACATTTATTGATTTGTATATGATGAACCAAACTTGCATCCCAGGGATGAAGCCTACTTGATCATGGTGTATTAGTTTTTTGATGTGCTGCTGGCTTCAGTTTGCAAGTATTTTGTTGAGGATTTTTGCATCAATGTTCATCAAGGATACTGGCCTGAAGTTTTCTTTTTTATTGTGTCTCTGCTAGGGGTTGGTATCAGCTTGATGCTGATCTCATAAAAGGAGTTGGGGAGGAGTCTCTCCTCATCTATTTTTGGAATAGTTTCAGTGGAAATGATACCAACTTTCTTTGTACATCTGGTAGAATTCATCTGTGAATATATCTGTTCCTGGACTTGTTTTTGTTCGTAGGCTATTTATTACTAATTCAATTTTGTAGTCTGTATTAGTCTGTTTTGGAAATCAGTTTCTTCCTGGTTCAGTTTTGGGAGGGTGTATGTGTCCAGGAATTAATACATTTCTTCTAGATTTTCTAGTTTGTGATCATAGAGGTGTTTATAATAGTTACTGACAGTTATTTTTATTTCTGTGGGGTCAGTGGTAACATCCCATTTGTGATTTCTAGTTGTGTTTATTTGGATCGTCTCTCTTTTTTTCTTTATTAATCTAGCTAGTAGCCTATCTTAATTTTTTCAAAACATCAACCCCTAGGTTTGTTCATCTTTTGAATGTTTTTTGTTTGTGTCTTTGTTTCCTTCAGTTCGGCTATGAATTTGGTTATTTTTGTTTTCTGCTAGCTTTGGGGTTAGTATGCACTTGCTTCTCTAATTCTTTCAGTTGTGATGTTAGGTTGTTAATTTGAGATCTTTCTAACTTTTTGAGTATTCAGTGCTATAAATTTTCTTTTAACATTGTGTATCTTCTGTCTCAGAGATTCTGGTATGTTGTATCTTCATTCTCTTTAGTTTCAAAGAACTCATTGATTTCTGCCTTGATTTCACTATTTACCCAAAAGTTATTCAGGAGCATGTTGTTTAATTTCCATGTAATTGCTTGATTTTGAGTGATTTTTTTTTCATTCTTTACTTCTATTTTTGTTGCTCTGTAGTTTGGGAGTGTGTTTGGTACAATTTCGATTATTTTGCATTTGCTGAAGTTTGTTTTATGTCTGACTCTGTGGTCAGTTTTAGAGTATGTGCTATGTAGTGATGAGAAGAATGCAGTGAGTGTTACAGCTCTTAAAGGTGGTGTGTTCAGAGTTGTTTGTTCCTCCCGGTGGGTTCATGGTCTCACTGGCTTCAGGAGTGAAGCTGCAGACCTTCATTGTGAGTGTTACAGCTCCTAAAGCTAGTGTGGACTCAAAGAGTAAGCAGCAAAAAAGATTTATTGCAAAGAGCAAAAGAACAAAGCTTCCACAGCATGAAAAGGGACTGAAGTGGGTTGCCGCTGTTGGCTCGTGTGGCCAGCTTTTATTCCCTTATTTGGCCCCACCCACATCCTGCTGATTGGTCCATTTTACAGAGTGCTGATTGGTCCATTTTACAGAGTGCTGATTGGTGCATTTTTACAGAATGCTGACTGCTGCGTTTACAATCCTTTAGCTAGATACAGAGCACTGATTACTGCATTTACAATCCTTTAGCTAGACACAAAAGTTCTCTAAGTCCCCACCCGACTCAGAAGCCCAGCTGGCTTCACCTCTCACTACACACTTTTAAACAACCAGATCTCTTGATAATTCATTCACTATGGAGTACCAATGAGGGATGGTGCTAAACCATTTTTAAGAACTCCACCCCCATGATCCAATCACCTCCCACCAGGCCCCACCTCCAACATCGAGGATTACAATTAGACATGAGATTTGTTTGAGACACAGATCCAAAACCATATTATTCTAACCCTTGCCCCTCCAAATTTCATGTTCTTCTCACATAGTAAAATACAATCACTCTTCTCAACAGTCCCCCAATATCTTAACTCATTCCACCATTAACTCAAAAGTGCAAAGTTCAAAGTCTCGTCTAAGACAAAGCTAGTCCTTTCTGCCTAAGAGCCTGAAAAATTATAAACACGTTAGTTACTTCCAAGATATAATGAAGGGATAAGCATTGACTAAATAGTCTTATTCCAAATGAAATAAATCAACTAAAAGAAAGAGGCTACAGTCCCCTTGCAAGTCCATAATCCAGAAGGGCAATTATTAAATCTTAATAATCCAAACTAATCTCCTTTGACTTCATGTCCTACATCCAGCACACACTGGTGGGCTCCAAAGGCCTTGGGCAGCTCTTCTCCTATGGATTTAAAGGATTCAGCCTCTGTGGCTACTCTCACAGGTTAGCACCGAGTGCCTGTGGCTTTGCCAGATGCATAGTGCAAGCTGTCAATGGATCCACAATTCTGGGATCTGGAGGATGGTGGACCTCTTCTCACAGCACCACAAGGCAGTGCCCCAGTGGGGACTCGGTGTAGAGCTTCCAACCCCACATTTTCCCTCTTCACTGCTGTAGTAAAAGTTCTCCCTCAGGGCTCTGCCCCTGAAGTAAACTTCTGCCTAGATTTTCCATACATCCTCTGAAATCTAGGTGGAGGCTCTTAAGCCTCAATTCTTGCACTCTGTGCACCTGCAGGCTTAACATCAGGTGGAAGTCACAAAGGCTTACAGTTTGCACCCTCTGGAGGAGCAGCTTGAGCTTTACCTGGGCCCCTTTAAGCCACTGCTGAAGCTGGAGTGGCTGAGATGCAGGGAGCAGTGTCCCAAAGCTATCCTGGGTCTGGACCATGAAGCCATTCTTTTCTTCTAGACCTCCAGGTCTGTGATTTGAGCAGCTACCTTGGTCTCTGACATGTCTTTGAGACCTTTTCTCCATTGTCTTGGCTATCAGCACTTGTTTTCTTTTTAGTTATGCAAATTTCTGCAGCCAATTTGAATTGCTCCCGTGAAAATAAGATTATATTTTCGATCATATAGCCAAGCTGCAAATTTCTCAAACTTTTATGCTCTTCTTCCCTTTAAATGTAAGTTCAAGTTTTACATCATTTCTTTGCTCATGTATATGAGAATAGGTTGTTAGAAGCAGCCAGATTACTTCATGAATGCATTGCTGCTTAGAAATTTCTTCCTCCAGACACCTAAATCATCATTCTCAAGTTCAAAGTTCCACAGATCCCTAGGGCAGGGGCACAATGCAACCAACCACTTTGCTAATATACAGTAAAAGTGACCTTTACTCTAGTCAACAAGTTTCTCATTTCCATGTGAGACCTCATCAGCCTGGACTTTATTGTCCATATCACTCTCAGCATTTTGGTCACAACCATACATCAAGTCTCTAGGAAGTTCCAGCCTTCCCTCATCTTCCTGTCTTCTTCTGAGCCCTCTACACTCTTCAAACCTCTGCCTGTTACCAAGTTCCAAAGTTGCTTCTACACTTTTAGGTATTTTTATAGCAATGCCCTACTGCTTGGTACCAATTTTCTGTATTAGTTCGTTCTGCATTGCTATAAAAAAATCTGAGACTCGGTAATTTATAAAGAAAAGAGGTTTAGTTAGCTCCATACAGGAAGCATGGCAGCTTCTGCTTCTGGGGAGGTCTCAGGAAGCATATACTCATGGTGGAAGAAAAAGCAGGAGCTTATGTCTTACATGGCAGAAGCAGGAGAAAGGGCTGTATGAGGGGAGTCCTACAAACTTTTAAACAACCGGATCTCATGAGAACTCATTCACTATACAGTACCAAGGAGAGATGGTGCTAAATCGTTCATGAAAACTGCATACATATAATCAAATCACCCCCTACCAGGCCCCACCTCCATCACTGTAGATTATAATTTGACATGAGATTTGGTGGAGAAACAGATCCATAGCAGTCATCCTGCCTTGCTTTTCTCTATTCTCTGTGGGTCAAGTTGTTTCCTTGATTAGTCTCAATGCATGTACCTGGATGTTTCTATTGAAGTTGTATTTAAGAGTGGCACACACCAGCTGCTTCTAGGTGATTATCTTGGCCACTCTCTATTAATTCTTTTTCTCTTGTTACTTATTCCAATACAATTCTTTGTTATCTTCTTAAAATTTTCTAATTTATTATTTGATTGACTCTAAAGATTATAATATCTATGTAATTTTTATTTGAAATGCTTTTTTATTTCAGATATTTCAAATAATTTCTTTCAGTATGTCATCTGATATTTTAAAATTTTGCTTTAAAAAGTTTATTTTAAAAAATCAGGCTTTAGTTAAACATTTTAAACAACTTCAACATGTTTAATTTAAATATCTGAGAGCCTTTCTAGAAAATTAATTGCTTCTGGAATAAAATTCTAATCACATTATTAATTTTTTGGTTATTTTTTGCCAGTTCTTAGTATCTTCAATTTTTATTATAGTTTTCAAGCTCTTCTTAAGTTGAAGTATTTGTCACTCTCTTTTTTTTTCTCTCTCCATTTGCATTAATCATATTGTAATGATTCTAGAGTTTCATCGTGTATCTTCTGAGTGTGTTAGGTTAGTGGCTAATCTAATTATGGTAACTCACTTTCTGGTTTTGAGTATGCCATTTGTTTTTATCTTGTCTCTGTAGTTCACAATTTAAGAAAAAGTTCAGTTTCTATTGGTTGGGAAACATCTATTTTTCTTATTACATCTATAAAAGTGGAATCCACACAGCTTCTTTACCTTCATTTCACAAAAAGCCCTTTAGGGAGCCTATGCAGAAGCCTAAATTTCAGTTTAAATGACCTATTCTGCCTGCTCTGTGTCATGGAGCTCAGAAAGCCTGTAACTTTAGCTTCAATTCCTTAGTTTGTGTTTCTCTTCTCCTTTTGGTGTTCAAAGGTAATTTTTTTTTTGAGACAAAGAGAATTAAAAGTCATATGCTACCCTATGGATGTCCCTCTCACTCTCCCTCTTTCCATCATGCCTATGTTTTTGAAACAGAGGGAATTTTTTAAGGTATAATATTGAGTAGATATTTACTGTTGGGATTCGTAAAATCTCTGAGTTGAGATGTGTTGTAAATCCATGAATCCCTGTACGTTGGAGTTAGATATGCTGGGTATAAGCTTTGCATTTAAAGAGTTAGAAAAATAGAATTCTAGTCAGAGGGAAGAGCAAATTACTCTGCCAATTACTAGCTGCTATGAGGGCCATGTTGGTTAATATCTTTAAGTACCCTCATTTACAAAATTAACATTGTTTTCACCTCTCACTTTTGTAGAGTATTCAAATAAGATGATCTAGTATAAAATATAAACCACAGAAAGACGATCAATAGGGGTTTATTTTTTCCTGTATAATTTTATATTCATAAATTATAACATAAGACATTGAACAAATCTAAATATACAGAACACAATAACTATAATAAGCATCATATGTTCATTATGATGTCTAATTGGGTTTTCTTTCTCATTGTATGAAAAATTAGACCATAGCGAACCGTTGGCCTGACCTGTTTATTAGATTCATTTATTCATGCATGAATTCATCTTATTTTACTGAATATTAACAAAACTACTGTCAATAAAGTGACCATGGTTCAACACACATATGGAACCAAATAAATGAGATAGACTTGAAAATCGCTATAAATACAAACATATAACTATGACAAATGCCATTAATGTGAAGAACACAGCTTCATGATAGAAAATAATGGGGACACCTGTAGATACAGAGTAGGAGAGAGCCTCATTGTAAAAGTGACATTTAACTTGATATCTGAAGAACAACTTACCATGCAAACTGGGTCAAAGACTGTTCCAGGCAAAAGATAGATCTAAAGCAGGAAAGACTTAAGTGTTTTGGGTGACTCAAAGAAGGCCTGTGTAGATGACTGAAGAAAGAGATGTGATTGGAGTGGTATACAGATTCCCCTGTTACTGAGATAACTGAATTAAGCATATCAACTCATTTATTTGTGTATTTCTGTTGCTTGCCCCAGTGCAGAATGCATGGCAAATATTCAGTAAATACTAATTGAACAAGTAAATAAATTACATAGAGAAGAAACATAAAATATTATTTCCTGCTTGTCTCTATCTCTGCTTCTATTTATTTTATTTTCTTTTTCTTTTTTTTTAATTTTTTTGGGGGATAGGGTCTCATTCTGTCACCTAGGGCCCAGGCTGGAGTGCAGTGGTGTGATTTCAGCTCACTGCAACCTCCACCTCTGGGTTCAAGCAATTCTTGTGCTTCAGCCTCCTGAGTAGCTGGGATTACAGGCACATGCCACCATGCCTGGCTAATTTTTGTATTTTTAGTAGAGACAGGTTTCACCATATTTGCCAGGCTGGTCTCATATTCCTCATTTCAAGTGATCAGCCCACGTTGGCTTCCCAAAGTGCTGGGATTACAGGTGTGAGCCACCATGCTCAGCCACTCCATCTATTTCTTTCTGTTTCTCTCTGTCTTGCTTGCACATATGTTATATTTTATTTCATTTTTAAAGAGGCTATTTTAAATTATGTTAGAAATAGTTTATTTCAAACTATTTTAGCATAGTTTTAATTAACAGAAAAATGGCAAACACAGAGTTCCTCCATGCCCTCCCACCCAATTTATCCTATTACTAACATTATACATTAATATGGTACATTTGTTATAATTAATTAACCAGTTTGATACATTATTATTAATTAAAGCACATACTTTATTAAGAATTCCTTAGTTTTCCCCAATGGCCTTTTCCTATCCCAGGATCTCACATTACATTTATCCCTTATGTGTCCTCAGACTCCCCTTGCCTGTGACTGTTTCTCAGACATTCCTTGTTTTTGAAGACCTGAACAGTTCTGAGACATTTTGGTCAGATATTTTGTAGAATATTCCTCAGTTGGGTTTTATCAAATTTATTTTAATGATTAGACTGGTAGTTATATGTTTTTGGAAGGAGGTCAACAGAGGTAAACTGCCCATTTTCATTATATCATATCAAGTATGAATATTATTAACATGATTTTTCAGTGTTAATTATAACCAGAGTATCTACCTAAATTATTTGTAAATCTCTATGGAAGATTTGTCTTTTCACACTCATCTATGTACTTAATTTTTTGTTTATATTAGCATGGACTCATAGATATTTACCTTACAATTAGGGTTATCCATACTACTTTATTTTGTCACTCAAAGTCTTTAGTCCATGCCATTGCATTGGAAGCTCTTTCAGTTCATTACTTTTTCTTTTAGTGTTTTTTTTTTTCTTACTTTCTGACAGTAAAAGAATCTCCAGGCTTATCTTGTATATATTAATATAATAGAATCAGCCATTCTGGCAAGGAATGCTTCATCCTTTTGTGTCCAAAATTGGTGGGTTCTTGGTCTCACTAACTTCAAGAATGAAGCTGCTGACACTCACGTTGAGTGTTACAGTTCTTAAAGATGGTGTGTCCGGAGTTTGTTCCTTCTGATGTTCGGATGTGTTCAGAGTTTCTTCCTTCTGGTGGGTTTGTGGTCTCACTGGCCTCAGGAGTGAAGCTGCAGACCTTTGTGGTGAATGTTACAGCCCATAAAGGCAGTGCAGACCCAAAGAGTGAGCAGCAGCAAGATTTATTGCAAACAGCGAAAGAACAAAGCTTCCACAGTGTGGAAGGGGACACCAGTGGGTTGCCACTGCTGGCCCAGGCAGCCTTCTTTTATTCCCTTATCTGATCCCACCCACATCAGGCTGATTGGTCCATTTTACAGACAGTTGATTGGTCTGTTTTACAGAGAACTGATTGGTCCGTTTTGACAAGGTGCTGATTGGTGTGTTTACAATCCCTGAGCTAGACAGAGAGTGCTGATTGGTGCATTTACAAACCTTCTTCTTCATTTGAAGAACCAGTCCCTCAAGGAGTAGCTCCTGGTATCTAAGTAGGTGGTTGTCTGATAGCCATAAACTTCCTTTGGCACCTAGTATGCCATTTACATCATGAGCAGTCCAGAGAGTGAGATCCTTTCCTTGTATTACCTTGATAGCCTCTGACACTAAGACAGTCATCGCCGCAACTACCCTTAAACAGTGAGGTCAGTCTTTTGCTACTACATCAATTTCCTTACTTAGGTATGCCACTGGTTGTGGGGTTGTCCCACGAATCTGAGTAAGGACTCCAAGAGCTATCCCTGCTCTCTCTGTGACGTATAAAGAGAAGTTTTGTCCTGTGGGAAGGCTTAAAGCTGGAGCTTGTACTAGGGCCTGCTTTAATGTTTTGAAGGCTGTTTCTGCCTCTGGTTCCCATTCTACTAGATGAGTATTTGCCCTCTGGGTTTCCTTGATTAGAGTATAGAGGGGCTTGGCTATCTTGCTGCATCCAGGGATCCATATTTTACAAAAGCTGGTAATTCCAAGGAACCTCCGCAACTCTTTTAATGTCTTAGGGTGAGGATAAGCCAGTATAGGCTGTATTCATTCCTTGCTGAGGGCCCTGGACTGTCTGGCTAAGATTAGGCCTAGATGTTTTACCTGCTGTAGGCAAAGCTGGGCCTTAGACCTAGACAGCTTTACCCTTGATTAGCTAGAAATTTCAAGAGATCTAGAATAGCCTGCTGGCACAAGGCTTCTGAACTGGTAGACAAAAGTAAATCATCCACATACTGAAGGACCAGAGTGCCTGGACTGGAGAAGTGGCCTAGATCTTGGGCCAGTGCCTGACCAAACAGATGAGGGCTATCCCTAAACCCTTGGGGCAAGACCGTCCACATAAGTTAGGACATGTGGTCTGTGGGATCCTCAAAGTCAAAGAGAAACTGGGAGTCAGAGTGCAGGGGAATACAGAAGAAGGCATCCTTGAAGTCCAGAACTATGAACCATTCTGCTTCCTCTGGTATTTGAGAGAGCAGGGTATAGGAGTTGGGTACAACTGGATATAGAGGAATTACTGCCTCATTGATGAGTCTAAGATCTTTCACTAATCTCCACTGAGCATTCGGTTTTTGTACTCCTAGAATTGGGGTGTTGCATGGACTGCTGCCTTGAGCTTTTAAATGTTTGACAATGTCTGGTAATCCTTTATGAGCTACAGGCCTTAAGGGATATTGCCTTGATAAGGAAAAGTGGTGGGATCTTTTAACTTGATTTGGACTGGGTGGGCATTTTTTGCCCTTCTAAATTGTCCTTCCAATGCCCAGACTTCAGGGTTGATTCCCTCCTCAAGTAGGGGACAAAAAATGGGTAACTTGTTCCCATAGTCATGTGGATAATAGCTCCAGCCTTGGCTAATATATCCCTCCCTAAAAAGCGTGTGGGACTTTCAGGCATAACAAGAAAAGCATGTGAAAAGAGCAAAGTCTCCCAATTACAACTGAGGAGGTGGGAGAAATACCTGGTTACAGGCTGTCCCAGGATTCCTCAGCTGTAATGGACCTTGAGGACAGTCATCCAGGACAGGAGATTAACACTGAGAAGGCCGTGCCACTGTCCAGGAGGAAGTCAATTTCCTGGCCCTCAATGGTTAAACATACCTGGGGCTCGGAGAGAGTGATGACATGAGCTGGTGCTTGCCCCAGGCACCCTAAGTCCTGTTGTTTGATCATCTGGTTGGGGGCTTCTGACCCAGAGAGCCTTCATCGTCTGGGACAGTGTACCTTCCAGTGATTGCATTGGCATAGTGGACATGGATGAGGGGGCAGCTTGTTTCTCACTGGACAATCTTTTTTAAATTGTCATAGTAAACCAAACTGATAACAAGCCTTACCAGGTGATTGGCCTGCTCCACTTTCTGTCCTCTCTGAACCACCAAGGTTTGTTTGTCTGAGGGCCATGACTAAGGCTGCAGCCTTTCTCTGATCTCACTTTTCCTTTTGGGACTGTTCCTCTTGGTCCCTATTATAGAACACCAAGGTTGCCAGGTTTATTAATGCCTCCAAATTTTGTTCAGGGTCCAGGGCTCGCTTTTGGAGCTTCCTCCTGATATCTGTGGCTGATAGGGTAATAAACTTATCTTTTAGAATCAATTGACCCTCAAGTGATTTGGGTGACAGGGGAGTATACTTTCTTAAGGCCTCCCGTAGCCGCTCAAGGGAAGCAGAAGGATTATCTTCCTTTCCCTGAGTTATGGTGGACATCATTGAATAATTCATGGGCTTTATTATAATTCTCCTTCATCCTTCTAGAACACAGGTCAACAGATGTTTATGACTCCAGTCCCCATGATCTGAGTCAAGGTCCCAGTGGGGATCCATACTGGAGATGGCTTGCTGACCAGTAGGGAATTTATCCCTTTCTTCAGCTGTCATTCTATCATTTACTTGACTAAGATACCAGGTATCTCCAAATTCTCGGGCTGCAACTAAAGCCACATTCTTTTCATTAAAGGCCAGGGTTTGTTCTAACAGTAGCGTGAGATCTCTCCAAGTGAGGTTGAAGGTTTGTCCCAGACCTTGTAGGACATCTATGTACCTATCAGGATCATCTGAAAACTATGCCAGGTCTGCCTTGATCTGCTTTAAGTCAGAGAGGGAGAAGAGGACATGTACCCAGGTTGGGCACAATCCCCTCCCCTTACAGCTTGAAGGGGACATAACTGATAGCCTTGGGGGTTGTGGTCCTTTGGATATTTCGTTGCTTATTTCCTTATGGGCAGAGGAGATTAGAGGAGAATTATCATTAATAGGAAGGGGAGATACAGGGAGGCTAGGATATGAGGGTAAGCTGAAAGGTCCTCCTGTGGCATGTAAATTGCAAGCTTTGCACAGTGGTGTTTTCTCCCTCAATGAAAAGAAAGCTTGGACATAAGGTATTTCACTCCATTTGCCTTCCCTCTTACAGAAAAGGTCAAGCTGCAGGATAGTATTTTAATTCGTACTTCCTTCAGGTGGCCATTTTTTCCCATCAGAGAGAGAATATTGGGGCCAGGCCGTAGTGCAGTAAAAAATGAGCTGCCTCTTTTTCAGGGTTTGCGGGTCAAATTTGTCCCAATGGCTTAGGATGCATTTCAAGGGTGAGCCTGTTGATGCCTGAGTGTTTCCCATCTGAAAGACAAAACGGCCCACAGTTTTTGGTTTGTTTTTTTTTCTCCCCCTGCCCAAGAACCTGCAACGGTCCCTGGACCCTGCTGATCAGAATAGTTGCGCTCACCGATGCAGCAGCAGAAACAACCTCTGCCCAAGAACGCGCAATGGTCCCTGGACCCTGCTGATCAGAATAGTTGTGCTCACTGACGCAGCAGCAGAAACACTAGTTTTCCTCACAGACAACACGGAGGACCAAGGAAGGTCAGATTTAGTGGCCCTTACCAATGCATTCTCAAAATCCTGCACCTTTGCCTGTCCTCCTAGACCACAAGGAGGACTGAGAAAAATCGGATTTAGTGGCCCTTACTGATGCATTCTCGAAAACCTGTTAGAGTCCTAAGTATTCTCTTGTTAATATTGGGACATTTCCCATGTCCTATAAAGATGTTATGCCCAAAAAATGAAGTGGAGGGCCATACCCTGAGGGAGGGACGGGATCTCCAGAGTTGGAAGAATGACACCTTTTGTCCTCACTTATGTGAATAGGAACGATACAATTTCTGAGGCTCCCCATATCCTAGCTTCAGGAATAGCTTTTGTTAGGCCTGTTAGTCTGAGGAGGGATCCTAAAATTCCGTGTAGTCCCCCCTGTGATGGCGCTTTGGGCAAAAATTATATCTTTCTGATTGGTGAGCCAGGTTGCCTAAAGAAGGTAACAGAGTCTTGGAGTTTATATTAGAAATCATTCTTATAGGAGAAACTAGAAAAGCACCGGAGACAGGGAGTGATTTTTAGAAGCAGGACTAACCTCGGAGAAGAGAGGCAAGAGGAAGTTTGTCTGGCAGGCTTTAGAACCCAGGGGCAAGGGTCAGGATAGATAGGATATATGGGCGAGTCTTGCTTGGATGACATGCCTTTGAGAGTTCCGCTCATGGTCGCAGGGTCAACCAACTGTTGTTGGGACCGTGGAGCTGCATGGCTTTCCTCTCTGTCAACCCTTGGCTCAGCCCAGAAGTACAGGAACAGCAGAAGCTGGTTCTAGGCAAACCAATGCTCCCAACTCCGAAGAGTCGGGGGTTGTTAGAGAGCCCTTTCCCAGAAAGCCTGACACCCATGTCTTTAGTCCATCAGCCGCGCTAGTTGTTTTTAACTGGCCGACAGGTACCTGGTATTTAGCCCCCTAATTCTAGGGAAAAATAAGATAGAATAGCAAGTGAAAGGGGTCCAATGGTACTCACTGCTTGGTGATAGGTGACAGTCTCACCGCTTGGTGATAGGCGATAGTCTCACCGCTTGGCGGTAGGCGATGGTCTCACCACTTGGCCATAGTCTCACCACTTTGCGATAGGCAATATTCCCTTCATGGTCACCAAAATGTGTCTGAAATTGGTGTGTTCTTGGTCTCACTGACTTCAAGAATGAAGCCGAGGACCCTCACAGTGAGTTTTACAGTTCTTAAAGATAGTGTGTCCAGAGTTTGTTTCTTCTGATGTTCGGATGTGTTCAGAGTTTCTTCCTTCTGGTGGGTTCATGGTCTCGCTGGGCTCAGAAGTGAACCTGCAGACCTTCGCGGTGAGTGTTAAAGCTCATAAAGGCAGTGCAGTCCCAAAGAGTGAACAGCAGCAAGATTTATTGCAAACAGTGAAAGAACAAACCTTCCACAGTGTGGAAGGGGACCCGAGCATGTTGCCGCTGCTGGCTCAGGCAACCTGCTTTTATTCCCTTATCTGACCACACCCACATCCAGCTGATTGGCCCATTTTACAGAGAGCTGATTGGTCTATTTTACAGAGATTGTCAAAATGATTGGTCAATTTACAGAGATTGTCAAAATGATTGGTCCATTTTGACAGGGTGCTGATTGGTGTGTTTATAATCCCTGAGCTAGACACAGAGTGCTGACTGGTGCATGTACTATCCTCTAGCTAGACATAAAAGTTCTCCAAGTCCCCACTAGATTAGCTAGACACAGAGCACTGATTGGTGCATTTACAAACCTTTAGCTAGACACAGAGTGCTGATTGGTGCATTTACAAACCTTGAGCCAGACACAGAGTGCTGACTGGTGTGTTTACAAACCTTGAGCTAGACACAGAGTGCTGATTTGTCTATTTACAATCCTTTAGCTAGACATAAAGGTTCTCCAAGTCCCCACTAGATTAGCTAGACACAGAGCACTGATTGGTGCATTTACAAACCTTGAGCTAGACACAGGGTGCTGATTCATATGTTTACAATCCTTTAGCTAGACATAAAGGTTCTCCAAGTCCTACCCAACTCAGGAGCCCAGCTGGCTTTGCCTAGTGGATCCCGCACCAGGGCTGCGGGCGGAGCTGCCCACCAGTCCCATGCCACACTCCTTCACTCCTCAGCCCTTGGGTGGTCGATGGGACTGGGTGCTGCAGAGTAGGGGTCGGTGCCCATCAGGGAGGCTCAGGACATGTGGGAGCCCACTGCGTGGGGGGACTCAGGCATGGCGGGCTGCAGGTCCCGAGCCCTGCCCCATGGGGAGGCTGCTCAGGCCTGGTGAGAATTCGAGCGTGGTGCGGGCGGGCCAGCAGTGCTGGGGGACCTGGCACCCCCTCTGCAGCTGCTGGCCCAGGTGCTAAGCCCCTCACTGCTTGGGGCTGGTGGTGCTGGTGAGCCACTCCAAGTGTGGGGCCCACCGAGCCCACACCCACCTGGAACTCGTGCTGGCCCGCAAGCTCCATGCGCAGCCCTGGTTCCCACCCGTATCTCTCCCTCCACACCTCCCTGCAAGCAGAGGGAGCCAGCTCCAGCCTCTGCAAGCCCAGAGACGTGCTCCCACAGTGCAGCAGTGGGCTGAAGGGCTCCTCAAGTGTGGCCAGAGCAGATGCCGAGGCTGACTAGGTGCTGAGAGTGAGCGAGGGCCGCCAGCACGTTGTCACATCTCACTTTCAGTGGAGTATGGTATTAGAAACTAATACCAAGTTCTAGATGCTAGGTGATGTTTCTCTTCTCAAGGGGCGTATTGCATCTTTGTGTCACTGACAGATAATGTCTCATTACATACAAAGCATATTATTGTTTAGAGGTGAGGTTAGAGGTTGAAAGGAAATAGCAGACGTTACAATTGCAATGTTTCAAATTAAAACTCAGAGTAAGCAACAGAATGTTATCAATTATGGCTGCCTACAGTTGGTCTGAATAAGGAAAACATGTTATAATTTCAGAATAGTTGTGTTAAATGTGAGATATGTAAAGCATATTTTATCTCATGACATTTTCTGTCATGGATAAAAAAATTTATGGTATATAATTTATTACAATTCCAGGAAGCTCTTAACTGAAAAAAAATGATGACAAAATTAAGAAATTTCCTTTATAATAATATTCAATGACATAAAATTCTCAAATTTTAACAAAATATAGTTCAATGCTATTAACACAATAAAAGGAAATTTTATAAATAAATTCTTTAAACTTAATATATAGTCCATTTGTCTTACTGGGCTTTCTGCAAGCATTTTCCTTTGTATAATATTTATGAGTAATCATAGGTTGTGTTATATATTTTCAAATAGGTGTATTTTTAAAGATAAACCATAATAAACCAAGTCATTCTGTGTAGTTTTTAGTTAATGCCACATAGAAAGCTGATCACTGAGATGACAAGTATTGCCAAGGAAGAAGTCTTTAATTGGGCATTGCAGGAAGCAGATAGGAGATCAGTCTCAAATCCGTCTCCCTGACTGACTAAAACCAGGGGTTTATATAGCAAGCAAGAAGTGTAACAATGTGTAAGAAAGCAGGAACATGGGAGGGGCAAGGAAGCAATCATGGCAAATGAAGAGTTCAGCATCTGGTGTGGTGATCTGGTTCCAGTTTTTTGTGCTTTTTGTGAGAGGTCTAAAGGTCATTTCCTGAGAAAGGAACTCAGATAAAACAAAACAAAAAAAAAGTTTCAAGCTTTTTAAGACTAGAAGGGTCAATTTCTATGTTTATCAAAAAGATCAGTCTATGGGGCAATTGGGTTGTTTTCAAAAGAACTAATTTGTTTGAGGTGTGGGGCAACCTGAAAAATTGATTGTAGTCAATCTGTAAAATTGTGTTTTTTGAGAAGGGTTATCCCTCTGTCACTGAGGCTGGAGTGCACTGCAACCTCCACCTCCTGGTCTCAAAGGATCCTCTTGCCTCACCCTCCCTAGTAGCTCCACAGGTGCATGCCACCATGTCTGGCTAATTTTTTGTTGTTGTATTGTTTTAGAGACAAGGTTTCTCCATGTTGCCTAGGCTGGTCTCAAACTCCTGAGCTCAAGCAATCTGCCCACCTCTGCCTCACAAAGTGCTGGGATTACACGCCTGAGCCACTACACTTGGCCAAAAACCACTCTTTAGACTGTAACAGTGTCTCATTTCTCTCTAGATACTGGGCGTCAGAATGTTACAGATAAAGAAACTATTAATTCTATCAAGTGAGTTATGAGTCTATTATTTTGTATATTCAACATATTTTTAAAACAAGATAAGTAAGGCTAAAACTTCAAGCTGCTACTTATAAAACTATGACAACCATACCATTGGCAACTTTCTTTTTTCTTCATATATAAAAAAGCATAACAATGACTATTTATCAGGGATTCTGTGAGGATTATAATGTATGCCGATGGCTAAGCACAGTTTTTGGCACATGATAAATGTTTAGTAAATCCTAACTGCTTTTCTTCTTCTTACTTAGCAATTAAATTATCAACATCTAAGTGATACCTATTTCACCAGATTAAGTAATCTTAAACATGATGCGATTATATTCTAAACAAATAACATTTAATTCAACAAATTAAAAATAGTCATACTAGGCAACATTTTGAACATTCATAAAACTTTCCCTTGGTGCCAGCCAGATCAAATCTCCTACACAGTTTAAAATGTAGGTAGAGGTTCCACACACACAAAAAAAATACTAAATTATTTCACTTAGAAACTACATAATTACAAAGAACAGCTATCAAGAATGGTTTCCAATTTTATATAATTTTTATTTGAAAACTAAATAAATTGAATGTTTTCCTATATTAGATACCAAGCCAAAAGTGAAATAAAATAAGCATGCTATATATTTTTAGTTTCCATAAAATTTCTCTTATTGGAGTAAATCCATGATCATTGACCTTATATTCCTGATGTCTACCAACAAACAATTACACTGTGTATGAATAACTACTTAATTTTTTTTTTTTTGAGACTGAGTCTTCCTCTCTCACCCAGGCTGGATTGCAGTTGTGTGATCTCGGCTCACTGCAACCTCCACAACCTCCACCTCCCATGTTCCAGTAACTCTCCTGCCTCAGCCTCCCGGGTAACAGACTACAAGTGTGCACCACAGCACTTGGCTAATTTTTGTATTTTTAGCAGAGATGGGGTTTTCCCATGTTAGCCAAACTGGTCTTGAACTCCTCACCTCAGGTGATCCACCCGCCTCTGTCTCTCAAAGTGCTGAGATTACAGGCATGAGCCGCTGCACCCGGCCTTCAAATTTTAATTATAAGTTTACATATAGGAATAATGTCCTTGGAATATGAATCAAATTAATTAATTCTTAAGAATCCCAAAGAAGATACTTACTTGAATAGTATGTTTTACTTACATTTTTCAAACTCCGTGCTAGACTACAAATATTCAGATGCAAATTGTGCTGCATTAACAATGAATCATATAATAACAGAGGTAACGAATTATTACTCAGATTATTTTTCCCCTTTCAAATGATCAGAAAATATATTGCATATTGGATAAATTAAGTCATTGAAGATCTTAAGACTGATAATATTAATTTGATTATTTTCTTGCACAATATACTCTTACTAGATAATAATGGGGATATCGTTACGCAATATCATGTTATACAACTGATTGAATACATGCATAAGCATTATTATAGTTAAGTTGCAGATATTTTACTTTATAAATAAAAAATAAAATATCTTGATTAATATTAACCAAAATTTTGGTTATTTAACTGATGACTAAGCATGGAAGGCAATTTACATAAATAAATAAATAATTTCTAAAGTGTTTTTAATATATTATGATAAATGCAAAAACAGATTGATTTTTAAAGATACATCCTCTATATATTAATACCAAATGTAAAAAAGCAGTACTGTGTTAGTCCATCAATGTAATTGTGATTCAAACTTCACTTTTGTTTAAAAAAATTACTAAACAGATTTTTAAAAAGTAACATGAAGTCAACTGCATCCAACAAAGTCATTGGAAACAAGTTTCTATGCTATCTGATCAGTTTCATTGGTTTTATTTTTACATAAACCTTACTTCCAATTTAAGTTTTTTACTTAGTATGCAATATCCCTTTACATGTTTGTCTTTCAAAATTTAAAAAATTGTATAGAAATGTTGCAATTTATTAGCATGTTTTCCCTAATCCTATAATATCTTCAAAATGTATGAATGTTTGCTAAATTTATTAAAGAATACAAATTAATTACATAAGTTACATTTTATAAATATATTCTGTATCAGATGTGACCTTTAGGAGGGAAACACTGAGGAGTTCAGAGAATAGACTTTATTTTGGAAATAAAGCCTACACATTTTAAAAGATTAAAGGGAGTGTGAATGTGACCTTGTGAAAAGAGAAAAAGGAGAAAGTGCAACTGGGCAGAGAAAGGTTTGGTCCATAGTGCAGATTTGATACATTCCCAGATGACCAAGCAATTCTGGAGTGAAGATGGCCCATTAGAGGAGTCCCACATTGGGCAGAAATGGTCAGGTCCTAGGAGCCTCACCATGGTCAATCATTGAGTGGGATTTCCTGAAGAGTGTATGGCCTCAACTTGATGGCAGAAAAGAAAAAAAAAAAAGTATCCAGAAGGCACTAGCAGAGTCTGTCAGCTAATTATACTTCTTGCATCTTAGTTACAGTATTTTCCTTGAAGGAAGCATCCAGCAACAAGTACACCCCTTTGCTGCCACACATATTACATTTCTTTTCTTTGAAGAAGAAATTTTTTCAACTGTCAAAATTTTATTAAATAAAATCATAGAATTAGCTGGGTGTGGTGGCACATGCCTGTAATCCCAGCTGCTGGAGAGGCTAAGGCAAGAGAATTGCCTGAACCCAGGAGGCAGAGGTTGCAGTAAGCCGAGATTGTGCCACTGAACTCCAGCCTGGGCGACAAAGTGAAACCCTGTATCAGAAAAAAAAAATCATAGGTCACCCCAGTAATTAAGTATTAGTTATATCAATTAACAATTAATTATAGAAAACTTTTAACTGAATGATGACTATTTTAGACCTTTTAAATTGTTTATGCAAATAAGTGAAAGTTCAACTTCTAAAATAATATGTAAAAGCTGAAGTATTAAAATGTCAAGGATTGAGGCCCTTAAGTTTAAGTTAAATTTATTTATTTATTTTTTAATGAACATCTTCCTGAAATGCACTTACTAAAGGATTCTTGTCATGATTCAGCGGCAGGCAATAGTATTTCGTCTATCCAATATCTGCTACCATATCTGCCAGTATCTTTACTAATAAGCATTTTGTATCAAGCATCAGAAGGAAAACAAATGCTTTTGTGCTTCCAAGTAGAAAGAAACTAAACAGTTTTGTAGAGCATATTTATGACCTCATGATAATACTTAAGTTATAAGGTCACAGACTGCTTATACATTTTGAAAATATGAAAACTATCAATGTGCTTCCTGCTTCATAGGGAAAAGTATTTTGTGACAAAATTTAATTTTTTAATTTTTTAGCATTTTCAAACATAACTTTAAAATCAACGCCCTTTATTGTGTATTAAGATGTTTTAAACATTAGTGTACTACTACTAATACTATTGATAGCCAATATGTTATACACATTTACTGCGGCCAGATATTTAGGCACATTATCTTTATTGTTCTTAGTAATCATGAAAGGAATTATTATCATTCCCATTTTTGATGTTTGAAATTAAATCTCAATAAGCCTTGACCATAAATCCAATAAATAATATAACTGCAATTTGATCTCTAGTGTGACTCACTCAAATACATCATCTGTCCAAGCAACTATTATGCTGCCTTCCAAAAAAAAAAATCAAAGCTAAATCAAATGCCCAAATCATAACTTTGAATCCTGAAATACCTCAATAGTAATGATATTTGTACGCAAGGGACCATGATAAAGATGAAAGGATACAAGTAAAAATCTCCAAATCATGAAAAACATGCATTTTCTAAACTCTTCCCTCTATATTATAACATGCTAAATAATATTATATCCAGGAAGGCAAAACGTGTTTCTTCTCCTGAAATTTTTTAAAAGGGGGGTGCAAATTACAAGTTCTTATATTCGTTTTATTTTCTCTGGTAGAATAGGGATCACTTGCTTTATTTATGATAGCTCCACCTCTACAAAAAGGAATTACACTCACAAAGATATCAGGAGATATTCTTGGTTTGGATTTTGAAGTTTAAAATTTTAATTTAATTTAATGCGGATAAATCTAAGTGGCAAAGATTTTGCTGATGAGACCAATTTAACAGATACATTTTCCACGAAAGCAGTAGTTGCTGAATACATTGAGCACAACTATAAGTTTGAATGTCCTTTAATGAAAAATATTTAATTATACAACTTGAAAAGTTCCCCATTTCTTGGCATATGTTAAAGATAATTTTCCTGAAAAAAATTGATTTTATATAAAGAAAATAACTTTGTGTGACGTATTTTCTTTTTTGTTTGTTTTTGTTTGCTTGTTTGTTTGTTTGTTTTTGAGATGGAGTCTCACTCTATTGCCGAAGCTGGAGGGCAGTGGCGCGATCTCGGCTCACTGCAAGCACCACCTCCCAGGTTCAAGCCATTCTCCTGCCTCAGCATCCCACGTAGCTGGGACTACAGGCGCCTGCCACCACCCCCAGCTAATTTTTTTTTTTTTTTTTTTTTTGTATTTTTAGTAGAGACGGGGTTTCACCGGGTTAGCCACAATGGTCTCGATCTCTGACCTTGTGATCCGCCTGCCTCCGTCTCCCAAAGTGCTGGGATTACACGCGTGAGCCACTGCGCCTGGTGACTTATTTTCTTTTGGTAGTCATCAGTCTTCCACAAATCCATTGAAATGTTCACACTATGTTATATCATAAGAAAATGTAATATTAAAAATACAACAAGTCAGGCACAGTGGCTTACACCTGTAATCCCAGCACTTTGGGAGGCCAAGGTGGAAGGATGGCTTGAGGATTTGGTGAGCTAGGATGGTGCCACTACACTCTATCCTGGGTGACAGAGCAAGGTCTCATCTCAAAAATAACATACATTTAAAAATCAAAATATAAAGCTTTAAAATCAGCTTTTCTCAATATGTACTTGCCAGACATCTTTCATTGAAGTTAACTGGGTTCTTTCACAAAATATAAAGTTCTGGCCTCCCCTGAGGTCTACTGAATCCAAATCTCTTGGTGAGTATTTAGAGAGTCTCACGTGAGTCTTAAAAGCACTCAATTTGCAATCAATCTATGAGAGAACAGGGTCTAATTGAAACTGGGGAAAATATCTGAACTCTCATTCTTTTCAAGTGAACTATAAATATAAGATTAGTTTGATGATCTCCAGGCTTTTGAATACCTGGACACCACACATTTTTAAATCCATACTTCACTTGTGTATTTCTGAAATACAACTCCATAACAAACAATAAGCAAAATTTGAAATAATTATGTTACAAATGTTATATTTTATAGGACAAATAGTGTTATTCTCAAGGAAAATATTGTATACCACTATGAAAATAAAACATGTCACTCTCAATCCTTTTTGGAGTAAAATATTTATTTTCCCTCATGTTAATATTGTGTTTGCATGAAAATCTATTCTACTGTTTGACACAAATCAATGACTAATATTTGCTCTATGTTATCACTGTCAAAGTAGTCATTTAAGATCACCTTACAGATCAGTCGCAATTTTAAAAAGTAATTTATTTCTGCTAAAACCGTGACACTTGGCTAATTTTCCCCAAAATATATTCTCAATCAAATTTGCAATTTGTTAAAAATGTCCTACTCCCATTGAGATATAACCAATTGAAATAAGTTGAAGCAAGCTGTCAGAGTACATTATTAGTAATAATTGTTTACTTACAAGAAAATAACAACAGAGAAGAGGTGAAGATTTTAGGTATAACATAGTGAATGTTACTCATTTTGAAATGTCTTGTGCCCTACTTCCGATGCAACAACAATGCAGCTTCATTCATTTACCGGCAGGAAAACTATTACTGAAATGCTGTTCTTCGTCAGGTACTATGTTTAGAAGCAGAATATGGAAAAAGCACGTTGTGAAATCTAAAAGAGATCTTGTAATTAATAAGTGTTTTCACAAATAATTTTATTCCTACAAAAGCTTTTTAAAATCTAACTTGCTTTCCTGAAAATATGATGTTTAATCTCAGACTCAGAGAATGAACACAAATTATCAGAAAAAAAAGAGGAAAAAAAGACAACAAGGTTTATAAAACTCAAAGGACATGTTAAAAAGTTGAAAGCTTGAATTTTTTTATTAAAGCAAACAACAAAAAAACTTCAATCTTGTGACTCCAAGTGGCCCCATAGTCCTCATCTGTCAGTGATTAGAGAGAAGAAAGGGATTCCATCTACTTCCATCTATGTTGAACAAATTCTTCTTCTATCTTAAGCCTTTTAAGTGATCTAAAAGCCTTGGCACATTTGTCTCCACCAAACTGCTCCTTTCCTAGCTAAATCTTATTGTGCTTCTCTAATACATGTGAGTAAAGTTGTTGTCTGGCTTGACTGTGTCCAAAGCATTTAGGCAACCATTATCAGTGCTCCCTCCCACCACCCCAGGAATCAGACCTAGCTTCAGTATCCGCCATTGTGACAAGGGTTTTATTCGAAACAGCAGTGTCTTCCTCACACCATGACATGGCAATCCACCTGGTTCCTTGTGGTTCTGTGACTAGAGGAAGTTCAATTTGCTCTACTCACTAATAAATTAATTCAGCCAGCAGAGAACAAGTTTTTAATGCTTACAGCTCTCTAACTACTGGATTTTAATTTTCCAGTCATTCTTTACTGAGTGTAACACCAAAAATGGTGTATTTCTCCAGCTTCAGTATTTCTCTTTACCAACTTCCCCTATTATCTAAAGCCTTGTTCATGCTGGAATGCCCATCAAGCATACATAGACTAGTATGGCTTTTACCAAGTTCACATGGGAATAATGGCTATATTCACTGATTTTTATGCAAAGGTAGTTCTAGTAATTGAAAAAAGTGATACCAGACCCTAAGTATCAGACTCCAAATTATTATATGCATCATTCTACAGAGCATGTTATCATAAACTTTATATGGATGATACAGTTATCCACACATGAAGATTTGGGGCATCCTATGGAATGAATTGTGAGCCTCTCAAATTCATATAATGAGGCCCTAAATGCCATATGACTGTATTGGAGATAGGGCCTTTAAGGAGAAGTTTGAGATTAAATAAGGTCAGAAAGGTGGAACACTGATCCTATGGACTAGTGCCCATAATAAAAAAGAAGAGACACTAGAGATCTCTATATCCCTCTGCCAATGTGAAGATAGAGCAAAAAATGACTATTTATAAGTAAAGATGAGAGCCCTTGGCAGAAATCAAACCCTTCTGGATCCTTGATCTTGGACTTTCCAGCCTTCAGAGCTGTGAGAAAATAAATTTCTGTTGTTTAAGCCACTGAGACTATCGTGTGGTGTTTCAGCAGCCCGAGAAGACAGATGGTGTAGTTATTATCAAATAAAACTATAAAATAACATTATTTTATCTCAATTTTAAAAAATAGATAATAATAGCTAAAATTTTGTAACTACACCTAAGACTGTAACTTTTTACAGTGTTAAAAAATCGTCAGTCATTCTGCTAAGACACCAGTGATAGGGTTCAAATAATTTGTTTAATTCTATGGCTTTATATTTTTTAAAAGAGAACCTTTGCAAAAAAGTATATTTTCTTATTTTATAACCCTGGTTTCTAACCCATAGCTGTGGGTTAGAAGAGTCTACTGGTCTCACATCTTTTTAATCTTGCAAATGTGCTGGATTCTCTCTGTTCATGTTTATATTACAGTGCTCAAAACCTCACCAATCAACTAAAATCCTCCCTAAATTTATTTCCATGAAAACCAATAGAATTAATACTTAGCCCAACCAACTGTGGACAGAGAATAAAATGAGAAAATGAGTTATAAGTTGTCCTGCTTTCCTTAGAGTAATGGTATTACTTAAAGAAAAAAAGAGCTATGCATTCCACTGTTAATCTTGGGAAAATAGATGTTGGCAAAGTGAAAAAAATTATGAAAAAATGGACCTTTTCTGATTATTAGGGATTTAAAATTATTCACTATGTTAAAATTAGAAAGGAACTATATTGTACATACAGTATGGTTACCACTACATGAAAAATATACCTATCTGTTAAAATAAATCATGCTCACAGTGGTGCTATTCATAATAGCAAAGAGGTGGAAGCAATCCAAATGTCCATCAATGGATGAATAGATACACAAAATAAAAAAGAATTATTTTGTGCTCTTCCACCACAAGGATTGATTTGCTTAAGATTCGACTCAGAATTGGTCCTATATCGGTTCAACTTACTTGGGATGTATTGACATCTTATTTATTTCAGATGAATTCTGTATTTTAATTTTTTAAGCTATATTGAGCTATTGTCTTCTGTTAAATGAATATCTGACAACATTTGATGTAAGGAAACCAAGATAATATGTATCTCAAAATAATAAGAGCTGTTTATGACAAACCAACAGCCAATATCATACTGAATGGGCAAAAACTGGAAGCATCCCCTTTGAAAACCAGCACAAGACAAGGATGCCCTCTCTCACCACTCCTATTCAATATAGTATTGAGAGGTGAAGCTAGCTGGGCTTCTGGGTTAGGTGGGGACTTGGAGAACTTTTCTGTCTAGCTAAAGGATTGTAAATGCACCAATCAGCGCTCTGTGTCTAGCTAAAGTTTTGTAAACGCACCAATCAGCACCCTGTAAAAATGCACCAATCAGCACTCTGTAAAATGGACCAATCAACAGCATCTGGGCGGGGCCAAATAAGAGAATAAAAGCTGGCCACCGGAGCCAGCAGTGGCGAGCCAGCAGTGGCAACCCGCTCGGGTTCCCTTCCATGCTGTGGAAGCTTTGTTCTTTTGCTCTTCAGAATAAAACTTGATGCTGCTCACTCTTTGGGTCTACACTATTTTTGTGAGCTGTAACACTCACTGTGAAGGTCTGCAGCTTCACTCCTGAAGTCAGGCGAGACCATGAACCCACTGGAAGGAAGAAACTCCAGACACATCTGAACATCTGAAGGAACAAACTCTGGACACACCACCTTTAAAAACTGTAACACTCACCACCAGGGTCAGCAGCTTCATTCTTGAAGTCAGTGAGACCAAGAACCTACCACAAGGAACCAATATTGGAAGTTCTGGCCAGGGCAATCAGCCAAGAGAAATAAATAAAGGATTTTCAATCATTTCTGTTTCCGTGCCCAAATGTTACATTTTCCAAAGACCACCTTGGCCCACCCCGCCCCCATCCTGTGCCTATAAAAACCCCTGAGACCCTAGGGGGCACAGACACAGGTGGCTGGATGTTGAGAGGAACACACCAGCAGAAGAGCACACAGATGGATGTTGAGAAGAGCAGAAGAACACACCGATAGGTGCCAGCAGATGCTGCAGGCCATCGACCTGTGGCACGACCTGAATGTCGAGGGGTATCTGGCCTGGGTGGTTGGAGGAGAGTGGAGCTGCAGCAGCTGGACTCCAGGAGAAAATGACCTTCCCACTCCATCCCCTTCTGGCTCCCTATCCATCTGCTGAGACCTACTTCCACCATTTACTGAAACTTTGCACGCGTTTTCCAAGCCTGACGTGATCTGATTTTTTCAGTACACCAAGGCAAAAACCCAGGATACAATTAGCCCTCCATTTTTGCAATAAAGCAGAGGGTCTAACTGAGCTGATTAACACAAGCGACCTACAAACGGCAAAACTAAAAGAGCACACTGTAACACAGGCACACTGGGGCGTCAGTAGCTGTAAGCATTCACCCCTAGATGCTGCCATGGGGTTGGAGCCCCACAACCTGCCTGTCTGGATGCTCCCCCTAGAGGTTTGAGCAGCAGAGCACTGAAACAGTGAGCCACTCCCCCCTGGCACACTCCCTGCCAGGGGGATAAGGGAGCTTTACCTGTTTTGTTAGTTTATTAGTTTCCTTGTTTTAATAAGAAATTCAATTTCTGGGGCCGAGCGTGGTGGCTCACACCTGTAATCCTAGCACTTTGGGAGGCCGAGGCAGGTGGATTACCTGAGATCAGGAGTTTGAGACCAGTCTGGACAACATGGTGAAACCCCGTCTCTACTAAAATACAAAAAAAAAAAAAAAAAAAAAAAAATAGCCGGGCTTGGCGGCATGCACCTGTAATCCTAGCTACTTGGGAGGCTGAGGCAGGAGAATCACTTGAATCTGGGAGGCGGAGGTTGCAATGAGCTGAGATCGTGCCACTGCACTCCAGCCTGGGTGGCAGAATGACACTTCGTCAAAAAAAAAATCAATTTCTGATAATATCTGTTTAACAATGTTTATTTCGATTGACAATTCCTATGTCTGAGGATGTGATTTTATAAAATGATAAGGGTAAAAGATGTAAACAAGCAGAATTAGATTATTTATTCCTAGATATACATTTCTGTGAGTATATTCCACATATTGTTCATTTTTATTTTTTATATCTTTTTGTTGCCATTTTTAGAGACAGAGTCTCTTTCTGTTCCCCAGGCTGGAGTGCGGTGGCACAATCATAACTCACCCTGCAGCCTTGAACTCCTAGTCTGAAGCAATCTTCCCCCCTTTGACTCTTGAGTGGCTGAGATTGAAGGCACAAGCCACCATGCCTAGACACATACTATTATTTATAATTTGTTCTCTCTTCTTAGAATCAAACCTGAGTATGTTAGACTAGGGTTAGGGTCAGGATGTGTAAATGTACACAATGACTACTTTCTCTTATATTTTCTTTGAATGTGCTAAAGAGTCTAATATTCATATTTTAAATATAGTATTTAAAGTGTATGTGTATCATAAAAGTAGTTAACAGCTATGAATTTGTCTTGTTCAAATATGTAAATCTATAAATGCCTAAATGCCTGTTTGTATTGCTCCAGACAATTCAGGGCATTTAATTCACTAATTACATTTAGGCGTTACCAATTAAATGTATGTTTCAAACAGATGCATAGGAATTAAACTGACAATGTATTTTCTATTTGAAGTAGCATGGGCTAGTTTTTCAAACTCGTCTTAAAAATAGGGCTGTGGTAACTAGGGTCAAAAAGAAAGATGTTTAAGATATATTGCCTCAGCCTCTTACTTTGACATTTTTCTTTACTTTAAAAAATACCATTTCTCACTCTTGCAAAGGAACAAGAAGCAACAGTAAAATATTCACTGAAGCAATGACAAGTAAAGGTCAGATATATTCTCTAAAGAAATCTCTACAATTTCCATAAATCAATCTATATAAGTTCCTGCCACAAAGACAGTTGACGGTAAATTTGTTTTAAATTATTTTAAAAGTATTATTTTACATGGTAGAACAAATGTCAGAGAATCTAAGAGAAGATGAATAATAACATCATTCTAGTTCCAAACAATAAAAATGCACAATGTGATTTATTTGCCAGAAAGGGTATACAAATACAGTTAAATCACTTTATATTTCCTAGATGACAGAGGCGTTAGAATTATCATATACCAAAATCTCACATCTAAAGCCTGTCAGAAAAAATTAAAACAATAATGGCAAGAATTTTATAGGTATTCGATTTTATTATCTTCTGATGGTTATAGTAACTGGAACTAGACTAACAAAACCTTTTTCTTAGAAGTCTTAGGTGACTTGATTTCATAATGAGAATAGAATGATACAAATTTATGATAAACATATTCAGAGAGACTTAGAAAGGGTGATATCTTAGCAGACCTACTTATAATCCACGTACCCATGTGTCCAGTGGACTTGTAGTGGTGATTTAGATCAATATATTGAATGTGTATTTATAGGCACTTTAGACATTAATTGACAAAACATTAACTGCTTACTATAAGCTGCAAGCAAGCCAAGTTCTGCCTAAACTTCTAAATGCTCAATATGACTAATAATTATCTCTTGAACTCTCAAGAAGATATCTATAAAGGATCTAAATTTGGATTCATTTGGGTTTTGCACAGACTCAAATGTCACTCTACCTTGAGGTCTGACATTGACCCTAAACTGTGTATGACGTTTCTTAGATCACAGCAATTCCGTAGGAAGAAGGTATAGAAATATTGACTGAATTGCAAGCATAAAATTACATGCATTAAAAGTGTACAGGTGAACCTGATAAATCTCATAGTGCTCTAATGCAGTAATGGAATGGCTAAAACATGGGGCCTGGTGGAGATATAAAATTGTGTTTTTTTCCTCAGTGAATGTGGTGGAAAGCCCTTTGAATAAGGGATTAAATCTGAGACTAACCCTTCAATAAATTAATTAAAATCAATAAATTAACTTTTGAAAGAAAGTGAAAATCTTGCATGATTCATTATCTGTTATCTACATGTCAAAGGCTGAGAGATTCACAAGCCCTAGAGATCAATAATTCATGTAGACTTACTGACAACATATTAAATGCAAACTATTATATAAATCTACAAATGTAAATTCAGTTAATAGCAAGCAGAGGAAAAATGAAGAACACTTCACCAAGGACCATCATAATCAAATTGCACAGTGGCATAATCAAATTACTAAGAGAAATTTTTAGCAGAAAGCATGAAAGTGAAAAGACAGCGGATAACATCTTTAAACTACGGAACGAAGAATTCTGTTAGCCTAGAATTTTCTCCTGGTAAAATATTGTCCAAAAAATTGAAGACAAAATAAATACATTTTGAGATGCACAAAAGCTGAAGGAATTCATGACCAGCAGAACTGTACTGTAAGAAATGTAAAGAGGAGTCCCTCGGACACAAGGAAAAAGATAGATAAAAAGCTGAATCTACACATAGGAATAAAAAAAATCAGATGACAACTACAAGGTAACTAAATAGATTTTTTAATGAAATATTTTCAAAATATAATTAGCTATTAAAAATAGAAGTATAGTGTTTATAAAATATGTTAAAGTTTAAAAGTATGACAATAGTAGCACAGATGCCAGGAGGGGAAAAATAAAAGTATACTATTATTGTAAGCATCGTTTTTATACGTGAAGTGGTACAATACCACATGAAGGTAGATTGCAGTAAGTTAGAGATATATACCATGAATGTTAAGTAACCATAAATTAAGCAATGTATTATAGATAGTAAGCCAACCAAGGAGATTTAATATAATCATGATATATAGCCAATTAAGATGAAAAAAGATCAAAAAAGAAAAGAAAGGTAGACAGAACAGATAAGGTGAATAGAAAACAATTTCAAGATGATATACTTCAACCAAAGCATAACAGTTACCATAATAAATAAATAAATGAATACATAAGTAAATGAATGTGTATATATATATTTATATTTATATATATTGGTGTTTGTGTCTATATAGTGTGTCTATATATTTATATATTCATATATGTATACATTTTAAAATATATACAAATTATGTATATGTATATTTAAAATACATATTTCGAAATATATCACATATATGTATATTTTTAAAATATATAAAATAAATATATACATATTTTTATATACACACACTTTACACACACACATTCACACCAATTAAAAGACAGACATTGTCAGATTGGATAGAAAAGCAAGACCCAACTATTTGCTGGGGGCAGCATATAGTCTGTAAAGCATATTTTCTATAAAAAGACATGTACATTAAAAGTGAAAACATGAAAGAACATTCTAAAATGAAGCAAAGAAAAGTAACAGTGGCTATATTAAAATCTTACACAAGATAGAACTAAAAAAGAAATTAATGATAATGAATTCATCAAAGGTACATATAATCCTCATCATTTATACACCTAATATTGGAGCTTCCAAATACGTGAAGCAAAAACTGATAAAGCATCAAAGAGAAAGAAGCAAATACAAGATTACAGTATTTGCTTATATTTACTGTTTCAATTTCCCCCTCTCAATAACTGGTAGAAAAAAAAACTAATAAATGGTAAGAATTTAGAGCTTGTAAATAATATTGTCAAACAAGTTGTCCTACCTGAGATTTACAGAATGTTCTGTTCATTAACAGAAGACAAGTATTCTTTCTGAAATGTATGCAGAATTTTTATCAATAGTGAAAAAACCTATCAAAATCTTTGGTATAAAGCAAAGGCACGGCTAACAGAAAAGTTTAATAGCCTTAAATGCCTACATCAAAATGTCTAAATGAGCATAAATAAATAATCTAAGGTCACACCTCAAGGAACCAGAGAAACAAGGACAAACCAAACCCAAACTCAGGAGAAGAAAAGAACAAACCAAGATAAGAGCAGAGCTAAATGAAATTGAAACAACAACAAAAATACAAAATATAAATGAAACAAAAACCTCACTCTTTGTAAAAATAAATAAAATTGATAGACCATTAGCAAGATTAACCAAGAAAAGAAGAGAGAAGATCCAAATAAGCTCAACTAGAAAGGAAACGGGAGCTATTACAACCAACACCACATAAATACAGAAGATCATTTAAGGTTACTGTGAAGACCTTCACACACATAAACCAGAAAACCTAGAGGAGATGGATAAATTCATGGAAATATAAAACCCCCTTAGCTTAAGCAGAGGAGAATTAGAACCCCTAAACAGACCAATAACAAGCAGTGAGATTAAAATGGTAGAAAAAAAATTGCCAACAACGACAAAAAAATTCCAGGACAATAAAGATTCACAGCAGAATTCTACCAGACATTCAAAAAAGAATTGGTACCAATTCTATTAACATTATTCCACAAGATAGAGAATAAGGGAATCCCCCCTAAATCATTCTATGAAGCCAGCATCACCCTAATATTCAAACCAGGAAAGGACACAACAAAAAAATAAAACTACAGACCAATATCTCTGATGAGTATAGATGAAAACATTTATAACAAAATTCAATAACTAGCTAACCAAACCCAACAACATATCAAAAAGATAACCCACCATGATCAAGTGGGTTTCATACCAGGGATGCAGGGATGGTTTAACATCAGCAAGTCAATAACTGTGATACACCACAAAAACAGAATTAAAAACAAAAATCACATGATCATCTCAATAGATGCAGAAAAAGCATTTGACAAAATCCAGCATCCTTTTATGATTAAAACCCTTGGCAAAATCAACATGGAAAGGACATAATGTAGCATAATAAAAGCCATCTACAGCCAACTACAAAACTACAGCCAACATAATAATGAATGTGGAAAAGTTGAAAGCATTCCCTCTGAAAATTAGAAGAAGACAAGGATGCCCACTGTCAGCACTTCTATTCAACAAAGTACTGGAAGTCCTAACCAGAGCAATCAGACAAGAGAACAAAATAAAGGGCATCAAAATTGGTAGAGGAAGTCGAACTGTTGCTGTATGCTGATGATATGATTATATACCTAAAAAACCCTAAAGACTCCTCCAAAAAGCTCCTAGAACTGAAAAATGAATTCAGCAAAATTTCTGGATACAAAATTAATGTACACAAACCAGTAGCTCTCCTATACACCAACAGCAACCAAACTGAGCATCAAATCAATAACTCAACCACTTTTACAATAACTACAAAAAAAAATCTAAAATACTTAAGAGTATACCTAACGAAGGAGGTGAAAGACTTTTACAAGCAAAACTACAAAACGCTGATCAAAGAAATCACAGATGACACAAACAAATGGAAATACATCTCATGCTCATGGATGGGTAGAATCAATCTATTGAAAATGACCATACTGCCAAAAGCAATCTACAAATTCAATACAATTCCCATCAAAATACCATATCATTCTTTACAGAACTAGAAAAGACAATCCTAACATTTACATGGACTTGAAGCAGAGCCCACATAGCCAAAGGAAGACTAACAAAAAAAATCTGGAGGCATCACATTACCTGATTTCAAACTATACTATAAGGCCATAGTCACCAAAACAGCATGGTTCTGGTATAAAAATAGACATGTAGACCAATGGAACAGAATAGACAACCTGGAAGTAAAGTGAAATGCTTACAGTCAACTGATCTTCGACACAGCAAACAAAAACATAAAGTGGGGAAAGGACACCCTATTCAACAAATGGTGCTGGGATAATTGGCACGCCACATTTAGAAGAATGAAACTTAATCCTCTTCCCTCACCTTATACAAAAATTAACTCAAAAGGGACCAAGGACTTAAATCTAAGACCAAAACCATACAAATTCTAAACAATAACATCAGAAAAACACTTCTAGACACTGGCTTAGGCAAAGACTTCATGACCAAGAACCCAAAAGCAAGTGCAACAAAAGCAATGATAAATAGGCTGGACTTAATTACACTAAAGGTTTCTGCAGAGCAAAATAGTCACCAGGGTAAACAGATAACCCACAGATCGGGAGAAAATATTTACAATCTATGCATCCAACAGAGAAATATATTCCAGAATCTACAGGGAACTCAAACAAATTAGCAAGAAAAATCAAACAATCTCGTCAAAAAATGGGCGAAGGACATGAATAAACAATTCTCAAAAGAAGATATACAAATGACCAACAAACATATGGAAAAACGGTCAACATCACTGAAAATCAGGGAAATGCAAATGAAAACCACAATTCACTTAAGAAGTGTTTGTTCATGTCCTTTGCCCACTTTTTGATGGGGTTGTTTGTTTTTTTCTTGTAAATTTGTTTGAGTTCATTGCAGATTCTGCATATTAGCCCTTTGTCAGGTGAGTAGGTTGCAAAAATTTTCTCCCATTTTGTAGGTTGCCTGTTCACTCTGATGGTAATTTCTTTTGCTGTGCAGAAGCTCTTTAGTTTAATTAGATCCCATTTGTCAATTTTGTCTTTTGTTGCCATTGCTTTTGGTGTTTTAGACATGAAGACATTTATGCAGCCAAAAAACACATGAAAAAATGCTCATCATCACTGGCCATCAGAGAAATGCAAATCAAAACCACAATGAGATACCATCTCACACCAGTTAGAATGGCAATCATTAAAAAGTCAGGAAACAACAGGTGCTGGAGAGGATGTGGAGAAATAGGAACACTTTTACACTGTTGGTGGGACTGTAAACTAGTTCAACCATTGTGGAAGTCAGTGTGGCGATTCCTCAGGGATCTAGAACTGGAAATACCATTTGACCCAGCCATCTCATTACTGGGTATATACCCAAAGGACTATAAATCATGCTGCTATAAAGACACATGCACACGTATGTTTATTGCGGCATTATTCACAATAGCAAAGACTTGGAACCAACCCAAATGTCCAACAATGATAGACTGGATTAAGAAAATGTGGCACATATACACCATGGAATACTATGCAGCCATAAAAAATGATGAGTTCATGTCCTTTGTAGGGACATGGATGAAATTGGAAATCATCATTCTCAGTAAACTATTGCAAGAACAAAAAACCAAACACCGCATATTCTCACTCATAGGTGGGAACTCAACAATGAGATCACATGGACACAGGAAGGGGAATATCACACTCTGGGGACCGTTGTGGGGTGGGGGGAGGGGGAGGGATAGCATCGGGAGATATACCTAATGCTAGATGACGAGTTAGTGGGTGCAGCGCACTAGCATGGCACATGTATACATGTGTAACTAACCTGCACAATGTGCACATGTACCCTAAAACTTAAAGTATAATAATAAAAAAAAGATTTAAAGGAAATATACCAAATGGTAACTGTGTAGATGGAAATACAGGTGATTTTATCTTAAAAAAAAAAAAAAGAAAAAACAAAAAAGAAAACCACAATTCAATACCACCTTACTCTTGCAAGAATGGACATGAACAAAAAATTAAAAAATATTAGATGTTCGCAGGGATGCGGTGAAAAGGGAACCCTCTTACGCTGCTCACGGAATGTAAACTAGTACAACCACTACAGAAAACAGTGTGGATGTTTTTTAAAAACTAGAAGTAGAACTAACATTTGATCTAGCAATCCCACTACTGAGTAGCCAGAGTTAAAGAAGTCCTTATATGAAAAAGATACCTGCACATGCATATTTGTAGCAGCACAATTTGCAATTGCAAAAATATAGAATATATGTAAATGTATAATGAAATACTATTTAGCCATTAAAAGAGGAATGGAATAATGACATTTCAGCAACCTGTGTGGAACTAGAGACTATTATTCTAAGTGCAGTAACTCAGGAGTGGAAAACCAAACATTGTATGTTCTCACTCATAAGTGGGAGCTAAGCTATGAGGATGCAGATGCCTAAGAATGATACAATGGACTTTGGGGACTTGAGGGAAAGGATAGCAGAAGGGTGAGGGATAAAAGACTTCAAATTGGGTACGGTGTATACTGCTTGAGTGAGTGATGGGTACACCAAAATCTCACAAATCACCACTAAAGAACTTACTAATGTAACTAGTAACTAAATACCAAAACCAATGGAAATTTTAAAAAAAATGAACAGAATAGAAATAGTAAATCTTGTCTTATCAATAATCATATTAAATGCAAATGTACTAAATACCCTAATTAAGACAGAAAGTGGCTGAATGCATAAAGCAAACAAAAAATCCAACAGTATTGAAAGACTGAAAGTGAAAAGATGAAAACATACATTCAATGCAAATAGTAACCAAAAGAGAGGAGGAGTATCTTTACTCATTTTTTATTTTTGTGTATTTTGAGACAGTGTCTCACTCTGTCCCCAGGCTGGAGTGCAGTGATGCAATTACGGACACTGCAGCCTTGATTTCCTGGGCCCAAGCAATCCTCCCACCTCTGCTTCCCAAGTAGCTGGGACTATAGGCACATGTCACCAAGCCTGGCTAATTTTTTGGTATGGTTTGTAAAGATGGCATGTCACCATGTTGCCCAGGCTGGTCGCCATGTTGATCTCCTAGACTCATGTGATCCACCTGCCTTGGTCTCCCAAAATGCTGGGATTATAGGCATGAGCCACCACACTGGCTATGTATACTTATATCAAACAAATTGAACTACATGTCAAAAATTGTCACAAAATAAAGGATATTATATAATGATAAAAGGCAAATCCACAAGGAAAATATAACAATTATAAATATATATGCCTTCAACACTGGAGAACCTAAATATATAAAGCAAAAATTGGCAGAATTGAAGAGAGGAATAGACAACAATACAACAAACTACTAGGAGACTTTAATATTCTATTCCCAATAATGAATAGGACATCCAGACAGAAGACCAATAAGAAAACAGAGGATTTAAACAAAACTTTAGACCTAATTGATCTAACAGAAATATTTAAAACATTCCACTCAACAGCAGCAGAATTCACATTCTTCCCAGGTGTAAATGGGATTTTTTCCAGGATATATAATTATTAGGTCACAAAACAAGTCTTAACAAGCTTAACATTGAAATTATAACACATATCTCTACTAATCAGAGTGGTGTAAAACCTGAAATCAGTAGTGGATGGCAAACTGGAAAATATGCAAATATGTGAAAGCTAACATGCGCTTAGACAACCACTGGTTAAAAAGGAAATAAAAATAAAATAAGAAATACCTCAGGACAAACAATAACATAAAAACAACATAACAAAAGTTATGGAATATAGAAAAAGCAGTAAGTACTAACAGAGAAGTTTATTGCAGTAAATACCTACATTAAAAAATAAAAGATTTCAAATAAATAACCTAACTTCACACAGGGAACTAGAAAAAGAAGAAACTAAGATCAAAGTTAGTAGAATAAAGGTAATAATAAAGATTAGTGCAAAAGTTAATAAAATAGAAAAATGATAGAAAAAAATCAATAAAACCAAGAGATGCTGCTTCAAAAAAATAAATAAAATGGGCAGCCTTTAGCCAGCCCTTAACTAATTTAAAAATTAGAGAGATGCTTCAAATAATTAGAAGCAGAAATGAAACAGGAAACATTACAACTGATACCACAGATATAAAAAGGATCATAAAATACTATTACCAATCATATGTTAACAAACTGGATAACCTAGAAGAAATACATAAATTCCTGAAAACCTATCTAAACCATTCTAAATCATGAAAAAACAGAAAGTCTGAAAAGATCTGTAACCAGTACCACGATTGACACTGTATTTAAGAGCCTTCCGACAAAGAAAATCCCAGGACCAGATGGCTTCCCTAGTGAATTCTACCAAACATATAAAGAAAAATTAATGCCAATTCTTCTCAACCTCTTCAAAAAGCAAAGAGGAGGAAACACTTCTAAAGTCACTTTATAAGGCCAGCATTTTTCTCATACCAAAGTCAGACAAATACATCACAAGATTAAAAAATAAAACTGATTAATACTGTGATGTAAATAGATGCAAAAACCCTCAATAACATACTAGTAAGCAAAATCCAACCACACATTAAAAGAATTATATGACATGACCAAGTGGGACTTATCCCTAGCATACAAGCATGCCATGTGATTAATCATCACATCAACACAATAAAATATAAAAATCACATAACTGTGTCTATAGATGCAGAAAAAGATATTTCAACACCTTTTCATAATAAAAATTCTCATCAAATTATAAATGAACAATGAATTACCTCAAAATAATAGAGGACATATATGAAAAGCACACAGTCAACATTATATTCAACTGTGAAATTTGAAAACTTTTACACCAAACTCAAGAACAAGGCAAAGATGTGCACCCTTGCTATTTACATTCAACACAGTTCTAGAAGTCCTAGTCAAAATAATTAGGCAAGAAAAGGAGACAAAAGGCCACCAAATTGTAGAGGAAGTAAAATTGTTCCTGTTTGCAGTTGTCATGATCTTATGTAAAGAAAACCCTGAAGACTCCATTAACAATTTTAAAAACCTGTTAAAATTAATAAACATATTCATTAAAGATATAGAATATAAAATCAACATACAAATATAGTGGGATTTCTATACACAAGCAACAAACTATCTTAAAAGGAAATTAGGAAAACAATCTCATTTATAATAACATAAAAAGAATTAAAAACCCAGAAATACACTTAATTAGAAGTGAAAAACTTACTAAAAATTGGAAAACATTAATGAAATAAATTAAAGAAGACACAAAAATAGACATTACATTTTCATGGATTGAAGCTGTTATATAGTTAAGAATGTCCAACCATCCAAAGAGATCCACAGATTCAATACAGTTTCTTTCACTTTTTTCTTTTTTTGAGACAGAGCCTCTGTCTGTCACCCAGGCTGGAGTCCAGTGGTGCCATCTCGGCTCACTGAAAGCGTCGCCTCCTGGGTTCACGCCATTCTCCTGCGTTAGCCTCCTGAGTAGCTGGGACTATAGGCACCCGCCACTTCGTCTGGCTAGTTTTTTTTTTTGTTTTTTTTTTTTTGTATTTTTAGTAGAGGTGGGGTTTCACCGTGTTAGCCAGGATGGTCTCAATCTCCTGACCTTGTGATCCGCCTGCCTCGGCCTCCCAAAGTGCTGGGATTACAGGCATTAGCCACTGCACCTGGCCTACAGTTTCCTTCAAAACCCCAATAACATTTTTATTAAATTAGAAACAGCTACTATTCAATTCACATGAATCCACAAAAGACAACAGAGCCAAACCAATTTCGAGAAAGAACGAAGTTGGAGACATCACACTTCCTGATTTTAAGATATATAAAACTACAGTAATAAAAACAGTATGGCACTGGCATAAAGACAGGTATAAACAAATGGAACAGAATAGAGTACAAAAATAAATTCACACATATAAGTTTATAATCTTTGACAAGAGTGGCAAGAATTCACAGTAATAAAAGTCTTATCTCCTCAACAGATGGTGCTGAGAAAACTGTATTTTCACAGGCAATAGAATAAAATGTGACTCCTATCTTACAGAATACACAAAAATCAACTCAAGTTGAATTAAAGACTTGTTCACAACATCTGAAACTACAGAACTCCTAGAAGAAAACATAGGAGAGAGGCTTCATGACATTGGTCTTGGCAGTAATTTCATGGATATGACAACTAAAACAAAAATAAACAAATTGGACTACATCAAACTAAAAAACTTCCCCAAAGCTATGTAAACAATCAACAGAGTCAAGAGTCAACCTACAAAATGAGAGAAAGTATTTGAAAATTATATATTTAACAAGAGGTAAATATCCAAAATGTATAAGAAACCCCTACAATTTAATACCAAAAAATAATATCTCAAACAATCGGCTAGATCTTGAATAGACATTTATGCAAAGAAGGCATACAAATGGCTAATGGGTATATGAAAAAATACTCAATATCACTAGTCATCAGGTTAATACAAATCAAAACCATAACAAAATATCACCTTACAACTGTCACGATGGCTATTATCAAAAAAACAAAAAGACTCCGAGAGCCGATGAGGATGTGGAGAAACTAGAATCTTGTACACTGTTAGTGGGAATGCAAAATTATTCAGCTGCTGTGGAAAACAGAATGGAGTTATTCAAAAATTAAAAATAGAACTACCATATTCAGCAGTCTTACTTTGCATATTTATCCATGACTTGAAATTATGATTCTCAAGAAATATCAGCACTCCTGTGTTTATTGCAGCAGCATTCCCAATAGCCAAGATGTGGAAACAACCTAGATATCTCTCAATAGATGAATAGGTGAAGAAAATGTGTTACATATATACAACAGAATACTGTTCATCCTTAAGAAAGAAAGAAATTCTGCAATATGTGACAATGTAGATGAAACTTCAGGACATTATGCTAAGTGAACTAAACCAGTCACAGAAAGGTAAATATTGCATGATTCCACTTTCATGAGGTATCTAAAATGTCAAATTCATAATATCAAGTCAGAATGATGGTGACCAGTGGCTGGGGCAAGGGAAAATTGAAAGTTACTAATCAATGTGTATAAACTTTCAGTTAAGCAAGATGAATAAGCTTTAGATATATGCTAATACAATATTGTACCTGTAGTCAACCACAATATATTGTATACTTAAAACTTGGTAATAGGGTAGATCTCATGTTAAGTGTTCTTACCGCAGTAAGATAAAATTTATAGAAGACACCTCTTCTTCATCCACACAAAATACATGTAGAATAAAAAAAAGTATAAAGTGGGTTATTTTGAAAATTATGAATATACTTTCTTTTTTTCTGAGTATAAGATGACTCCTTGTTGACATCGGGAATCCCTCTGAATTGTTATAAAAGGAATGAAAACCATGGCTATAGTAATTGTACAGTTTCTACAAAATAAGACAATATCATTTCAAAAATATTCATGAATTGCTTCTTTGCTAAATTTGCTAATTTTAAAAAATTCTTTACCTTCTTTGCCATTCTACAATTTTGCATCTAGCAATCTAATTTGAAGCCATATAAACATAGAGCTTTCTAGAAGGCAAGGAAATATCTTTGTAAATAATTATGGCTTTAGTAAAGGCAAAATAAAGCAGGATATAATGAGAGAGAGTAAAATTAAGGCCCATTTCATTGGTGACCGAATGTTATTTTGCAAATGAGATGTATAATATGCAGAATTGCATAATTTATTTAAATTGTCTTTTAAAAATTATAAAATGGTGGAATTATTATTTATAACTCCCTCGTAGTCATGCCAAAAAGATTAGATTGCATTACGTGGCTAATTTACACTCTCAAATATAGAAAACACATAAAAACTAAATTAATATTAGCTTATGTATTAGTATTATAACTTTCTATCCATTATATTATGTGTTGTATTTAAGTGTATGTGGGTGAATACTCACTCATTCAACAAATATCTTGAGTTTCTACATTGTGTGCATTGACGTGTATACATATAAACAAACGCTTTTTAGAAGTCATATTATGATAGGTTATTGAATTCTGTTACAGTATTGTATGAGACAGGTAGCATATGAAGTATGAAGTGTTGTTTTATTAAGTTGCCTAGAAATGACAAAACATGAGCCAGACAACGAGGTGCTTACGTTTTACTGAAAAGTGAAATGCCAGGGAAACATGAGTGAGGAAAATAGGAGTGTGAGGCAGGGAAGAAGACAGTACAAACACAAAGAACCAGTTACAAAACTGTCCACAGATTTAGGACAAGAATGTTTGATTACCAAGACACAGTGGATGTCTTTAGACATACTGTATGGAAGAAAAGAGAATTTATCTGCTATTTTTCTTCTATCTCCTGTCCTTCCCTGGTCAAAATTTACCTTAATTTAATTGACTCCCCTGGAGGGTTGTCACTTGGATTACTTGGATCCTTCAGCAGCCACTGGGGAAGTTGTGGAGTGTGACAGTTTCCTTCAGATGTTTGTGATACTAGGCCTTTACTCTAGTGGAATTTATACAAGGAAACTAGAATAGTGTCATTATTAAGGTCAACCATTTTTCACTTAAAAATATATGAATTGAGAAGCTGTGTAGGCCTTTACATCTGTTCAACTTTGGACAAATTGCTTAACTTCCCTATTTCCTGGGATACACATTTTAAAATAGGGATGATAACTGTGCTTGATGCATAGATTTAAGGTGAGAATTAAATACACTCTCAGTACTTATCCCAGGCTGCTACACAGTAAACTCACAATAAGTTTTGCTGATATTGTATTGTGCTACTCTAATATGCTATTAATGTAATGTATCCAATATATGGAACTCTAGGATAAATGGAAAACTTACATAATGTCAGTAATGAGTGTGTCTTTTGTCAGGGTATATTTGGAGCTTTAAACAGTTTCTTTGAAGGCATAATGATAGCACTTTGCAAAACTTCATATGCTGATGAGTTATCATCTTACTCCAGTCAGAACGGCTATTATTAAAAAGACAAAAAATAACAGATGTTGGAGAGGATGCAGAGAAAAAGGAACTCATACACTCTTGGTGAGAATATAAATTAGTACAGCCTCTATGGAAAACGATATGGAGATTTCTCAGATAACTAAAAATGGAACTACCATTCAATCTTGCAGTCTCTCTACTGGGTACACGCCCAGAGGAAATCAGTATATCGAAAAGATACCTGCACTCATCTTTATTGTAGCACTATTCAAAATAGCAAAGATACGGAATAAGCCTGTGTCCATCAACGGATCAATGATAAAGAAAATATCACACATATATATATACACAATGGAATATTATTCAGCCATAAGAAGGCGTAAAATCATGTCCTTTGAAGGAACAAAGATGGAACTGGAGATCATTATTTTAAGTGAAACAAGTCAGGCACAGAAAGTCAAATATCACATGTTCTCATTCATAAATGGGTGCTAAAATATGTATACACATAGATGGACATAAAGAGTGGAATGATATAGAATGGAGTCTCAAAATGATGCAAAGGTGGGAACGAGGTGGATGGTGAGAAATGAGTTAATTGGTACAATGTGCATTATTTGGGTAATAGATACCCTTAAAGCTCTGCCTTATTAATTACGCAATCTATCCATAAATTTGTACACATAAATATATCTAATATGAGCCAAAAAAAATAATAAAGTACCACTATGTGAAAAACAAAAAGAAAACTACCTTGACATGCTGAAGGAAAAACTTCAACCTGGCTATATATAAATCTATAGTCCTGGCTTCCCTACTTTTAACATCACTTCATCTATTTGTTGAAACCTTTTTGGAAACCACTAAAGAAACAGAAAACCTTCTTGTTCAGATAAAACTCTACCACAGACTAAATAAGAATGAGCTGCTTTTGAATTTTCCCTGTGAAATTGTTTTTTATGTACTTCAAGTCAGTGACTGTTATAGTAAATATTGGGCCCAAAATTAGGTAAAGGATAGCCTCATGGAGAGTCTTTAAAATTTAAAATTTTAAAGAATTTTAAAATCTCATTTCCTTTCCAAAGAAACCTTCTTTAAAGTAACTATTTATTATAGATATAATAATATGATTTTCATACACATCGAATTTAATTTGATTTGGTTTTCTGAGGAAATACTCAGGTAGTTTATTCTGAGACTTACAACAAAATAAGTGAAAGAGAACACTGTAGCTGTACCTTATTATTCTTTTCATGGGAGGTGATATTTTATGCATAGATAATTACAAAATGGTGGAGATTCTGAAGGAGGTCACCCAATATAATTAATAGTTTTCCTGTCATAATTCTGAACAGGTGATAAATGAAGAAATATAGAATGAAGGCCAGAATGTCTCCTTTATCACTGATAAAGACAGCAGTATTAAAAAGACTTCTGTGAGAATTAAATAGGCTTTTACAACCAATCCCTGGACATGGGTTGGGTTTGCTTTTCATGTAGTGAGGGATAACATGTCCCTGGAGGAAACATGTATAACCTGTTACTTTTCCCCAAACTTACGAGTCAGAACATGTCTCTTTATGTTTTCATAGGCATCATGAGTAAGGAGACGAGGACAGAGATGAAACATTCCAGTGAAAATATCTCCACATCTCTCTAGAGAAATCAAGAATAGGGAACAAATATTACCCTCTAATACAAATGATCCATAATACATTGGGATCCATGCTAAAAGTATATTTTAAGTAAAATCCTTTATGACTACAAAAAAGTAGTAGCTTCCCCACAATTTGGAAATTGTAAGAAAACCAAACCAAAACAAACCCCAAACCCTAAACCTTAGAAAAATGGCGAGGAAAAAATCTCTCCACAGCAGTTTCAAGATTTATTGATAGTTTTCATCAAACTATATTTTTCAAAACCTTATAAATATGACTCTGACACAAATATAGAGTGACCATGGGAAACATTTAGATAATAAATGAATGACTGAAACTGCATAATGGTACTTTGGTTCAAAAGAAATGTTTAGTAGATTAGGTATATAAAGATACTGAAAAAAAGAATTCTAAAGACAGATCAGTAATTTAGATACAAATTTAGTTAATAGGATTATAAGACAATGAAACTATAACTTTTGGGATTGTGTAATGCACTGCATAGAAATAATTGGTATCTCTACCAGACACAAATTGATAAAGTATTATGATACTTTAGAAAGTCTGATTCCAAACTAATGGTAAATAGAAAGTGAATAAAAGGCACTTTTCCTTAACAATTAAGTATTAGATGGACCTGTTAAGACTTCATTTTAACCTAAAAAGACATGCAGTCATCATTTTGCCTAATTTTTAATTTCTGCCTAACCTTTTAACAGTTTCTGCAATGTGTTACTTCTTAAAGGTGTTAAATTGAAAATAACATGATAGTAGAACTCATAAGTGGTAGGAGAGAAAATAAGGACTTTGAATTGCAAAGCCAGTACCCTCTCAATTATATTACAAGCCTTATAAGCAACTTTCCAACAATATCGTCCTCAAAATAAAAGTATCTAACACTTAGTGTCAAGTAGGCAAGAGCCAGTTTTTAAACCTTAAAGAGAAGAGGAATCCAGAATTCTATTATTATCATAGCCACAATTAAAATCAATTTTTTAGAATCCCAAGTCATCTTTAACTATTTAGTATTTACTTTCGACTAAGTACAGAAAAATCAGATTTTATTTTTAATTATAAATAGTAAAAATGAGTTACTAACGTATTTGAATTAAAACAGTGTTGTTGTAGGATGGAGTGAAAAGAATATATGTAATAGCACCTAGTGTGTGGGGACACACTAAGAAATTGATGGATGAAGGCTCTGGGCTTAAGTTAGTTGACGCGTGAGAATTACATATGAGAAGCTTTCTGCTAGAAATTATTTATGTATAAATGGATTTGTATAAGTATAAGCATACTCGGGATGTTTTTCAAAATAGGTGTATTTATGCACTCTGCTATATAACCTTTTAATATGCCAGATGGGACATTTTAATTCAAGGATCCACTCCCTGAAAGCACTAATAGTAAGTACCTAGTCAACGCAGTATCTGTAGTTTTAAACATTTACTGAGATGATTTTTAAAGACTGATCGGTTTACTCTAATTTATGATGAGACTTGAGAATCATCAGGAGAGGATGTCATATCACATTGCATCCTCTAAAAACCTTACAAACATTATTCTTAAAAAGGTCTGAAGTCCCCTTAGAAACATCTGCCTCTTCAGGGCATTTTCGCAGTATTCTGAAAAGATAACAGAGACACATCTTCAGTTATTCAGGGAGAAATATAAAAAGCTCATTTGGAGGAAATTTTATAATTTTAACTCTATTAATATTTCAAGGACAGTAGGTTACATTCTAGAGAGCTACAGAGTTCATTTAAACTGCAATTTACATTGTAAGTACAATAATAAAAATATATTAGCTTATTGAACACTTGTTCTTCATGTGAGAATAAAATAGCACCCAATTACATTATTTCCAGTCACTTAAAACATTCATATATTGACCAAATGAAGTCATAGTGAATTTATTTAAATATTTTTTGATAGACTATTAATTGGGATTTAGTTCTCAATATATTACTGGCAAAGTTCAGAGTGAAAACTTCTGTAGAGTGAACTGTGTGGCTTTCAAAATGAAGGACAAAGTATTTTGAAAACTAGGTTAACACATGCCAATCATTTTTCAAAATGTGTTTCAGGAAACCTGTAGTGTTTTATGTTGATGTATCAGGATTTTTTATTGTTTAATTCAAATTAAAATATAAAATGTAATTTTTTTCTTTATAAGAAGAGTTGAAATTTAAATTTAGTTATATATTATAGATAATAAAAGTGTAAACCAGCTACAAAATCAACTCAGAATAAAGCTTTTCTAGTCATCTGAGACCATATTCAAACTTCTTGTAAATGTTTCACTGATTTGAAAGGTTACAGCTTTGCAATTGTCTATTATTAAAAATGAGGTCTGGATATGTCCATTCATATACAGTTTTACAGAGAGCACCCTGGTAGGACGAAAATCTATTTGTTCAAACAGCTGGAACAACTTAGATGCATGTTCTTGAAGAATGTGCTTACCATGGTTGCATCAAAACTCATGTAATGACAAGGTCATATTAGAGATATATAAACCATTTAAGTTTTCTGCATTTAGCATTTGGCTTTCATAGCTACAATAATTCTGAGAAAGTTTTACATATTTTATTTGCCTGTATCTAATATATTCTACTATTGATATAAGAGTCTGACTAGTTTAACTGCAAATTAGCCTGAAGTTGCAAGATAAGGCATTAAAAATGAGTGGTTTTCAAATTCATTTCATGTGATTTTTCAAATAAATTACCAAAATATGAACAAAAAATAGTCACTCTGCTTTCTACCAATTTATAGGCTGTTCACATAGAGTGATCTCTGACCTTCTGCCATGTGCTTCATTATTCCTGGTTTATTCTCAATCCATAGCTCAAATAGCAATTCCATTAAGTGCCTCAGATTACCCTATGTACCAGGCTTATTTTCTTCATAACAGATACATTATCTGAAATTATCTTAGCATTTGTTTGTTTCTGTGACTTGTCTATCTAAATTTGTTTTGCTATAATTCCGATGAGGGCAAGGATTTTGTTTATCTTATTCAAGTGCCTGGAATTAAATATGCTAGGAAGAAAAAATAAGGAGATGAGGACAATAAGCAATGACACACCAGATACTGTCTTCCTGTTATCTCATAGACACTGAAAGGAATTTGACTTTCACCAGGAAAGAGATTGAAAGCCACTGGAGAGTGTGATGCTATTCATGCTTCAAAACGTTCATTTTGCCTTTTTTTTTTTTTTTTTCTGAGAAAGTTTGTGGACAAACAAAAATGGGCAGGCACAGGAGAAACCACTTAGAATTATGAAAGCATAATAATTGTGATTTTATTTACACTGATTGTGTTTAGTTTCTGTCTTCACCATTATAATCATTGTGGAAGTAAAATTGCCAAAAAAAAACCTCATAAAGATATTAAAATGTCCCTGAAATTTTAGTAGGCTACAACACTCTGACATTTTCTTGACTAGTTTATCACACAAATTCTGTTTCACAGTTCAAGTTATATATACTACCGGTATCATAGTGTATGTCAAAAATATTATTCTCACTAATAACCAGTGTAAGAAATTTAACCCATCAATAATTCAGAGTAAGTTCCCAAATCATTGGCTGTAAAGTGCTGTGTTCTTAGTGTCGTAGTCCCTAAAGATGGACTTTTCTTAGCCACATATCCATCCTGCCCTTACTGTGCTTAATGCCATGGCTGCTTGTCTATAACTCACCTTAGTATACTTTTTGTCAATAAGACATATTATGGTTACAAATATTTATCTGTGGAATGTATGCAAAAAGCATGACAGTTTGTTGAATGCCTGCATTTTGTCAGACACTTGCCAGGCACTTGCACAGCCCAACAACAGGAGTTCTGCTCTTATTTACAAATGAGGAACACTAGATCCATAGGAACTAAAGTGTGTGTGCATAGCCATTCTGTTGTGGGAAGTCAGGGACCCCAAACGGAGGGACCGGCTGAAGCCATGGCAGAAGAACATAAATTGTGAAGATTTCATGGACATTTATTTGTTCCCCAAATTAATACTTTTGTAATTTCTTACACCTGTCTTTACTGCAATCTCTGAACATAAATTGTGAAGATTTCATGGACACTTATCACTTCCCCAATTGATACCCTTGTGATTTCCTATGCCTGTCTTTACTGTAATCTCTTAATCCCATCATCTTTGTAAGCTGAGGAGAATGTATGTCACCTCAGGACCCTATGATGATTGTGTTAACTGCACAAATTGTTTGTAGAGCATGTGTGTTTGAACAATATGAAATCTGGGCACCTTGAGAAAAGAACAGGATAACAGCAATGTTCAGGGAACAAGGGAGATAACCTTAAACTCTGGCTGCCTGTGAGCCGGGAGGAACAGAGCCATATTTCTCTTCTTTCAAAAGCAAATAGGGGAAATATCGCTGAATTCTTTTTCTCAGCAAGGAACATCACTGAGAAAGAGAATTCCTCCCTAAGGGGAGGCCTCTGAAATGGCCGCTTTGTGGGGGCGGCTGTCTTTTACGGTTGTCGATAAGGGATGAAATAAGCCCCAGTCACCTGTAGCACTCCCAGGCTTATTGGAATGAGGAAATTCCCACCTAATAAATTTTGGTCACATCGGTTGTCTGCTCTCAAACCCTGTCTCCTGATAAGATGTTATCAATGACAATGTGCACCCTGCCTCCATTTGCCTTGTGATATTTTATCACCTTGTGAAGCATGTGACCCACAACCTATTCGTACACTCCCTCCGATTTGAAAATCATTAATAAAAACTTGCTGGTTTTATGGCTCAGGGGCATCACAGATCCTGCCGACATGTGATGTCTCCCCAGGACACCCAGCTTTAAAATTTCTCTCTTTTGTACTCTGTCCCTTTATTTCTCAGACAAGCTGACACTTAGGGAAAATAGAAAAGAACATATGTGAAATATCAGGGGTGAATTTCCCCCAATACCATTCAACTAGCAAAATTTGAGGGATTTTCATATATTCACTCTGACCCCAAATGTAATGAGTTTTGTTTATTTTTTATATGTAAGATTGACCAACCTCAAATGATTAAAAGAAAAACAAATTAAAGTGGAGCATTGGCTGGTGAAAATAGACAAAATCAATATTGATATTCTTGGATCTCATCAGTTTTTTAGTCTGAGGTGAGGAAAAATTTATAAATTTTAAAAAATAACTATGAGTTGTCTGGACACTACTTGCAAACACAAATCATTTTTCTTCATGCTCTAAGTTACAAAAAGCATATATTTCCAAGTGCTACCACAGAAACCAAACTACGGGATAAATTAAGCTTTTAAAACTAATAAAAAGGTCATAATCATATACCTAGTGTTATTATAAATAATTTAAAAACTATTTACTTTGATTTTCTTCAGAAAAAAAGCTAAGGATTTAAATTGACTTAAGAAAATTACTCTGAAAAAAGACTAAGAAAAATTATATTTAATCCCTTTATTAATAAAAGGCATTTCAAGGTAAATCCATTCAACTCAATTCAATCTGAGTCTCAATATTTTTATTTTTTGTTTTACTTATCTTTAAAAGGATAGTTCATTAACTTCTCACTAACCCCTTAAGTAAAGTCACATATATTATAGAAAGTTACTATCAGTGTGTGTATGTTATGTGTGTGTGCTTGCTGAAAATGCTTTTGAACATGTATTTTCCTCTAATTCTAATGTTTTATTTTCACCTTTTAAATATAGAAAGATATATTTCTGTCAAGATTGCGATCACTCATCTCTCCAAAGTGAAATGTTTTGGATAGATTTTGGAAAATCTCATAACAATAAACTGGGTATAAGCTGTCAATATGTAGGCACAATTTTCTTTAATGTACCATTCTGCAAAGTTATATACTTGATCATTCTGTGTCATTCTATAACAAAGTACTTATTCTATTTCCTAGTTTTAATTTTCTAATGTGACATACTTTACATATACTCAAGTGTAAAGACCTTAGGTGTTTAGGTTAATAAGCTTTATCACCCCAAATAAAACTGAAAAATAAATTCAATCATCCCAGTAATTTCCCTTGTTCTCTTTATAGTTAGTTTCTGCCATCACGCAGACCAACTTTTTCCTGGTTTCTGAGATCTTGAGTATTTTTTAATTTTTTAATAGTTCATACAGATGGAATTTTATGCATACAGTTGACTTTTGAGGAACATGGATTTGAACTGTGGGTGTCCACATATTTGTGAATTTTCTTCTGCCTCTGCCACCCCAGTGACAGCAAGACTACTCTCTTCTCTTTCTCCTCCTCCTTAGCCTGCTCAGTGTGAAGTTGATGAGGATTAAGACGTTTATGATGATCTACTTCCTAAATGAATAGTTAATATATTTTCTCCTCCTAATGATTTTCTTAATAACATTTTCATTTCTTTAGCTTATTTTATTGTAAAATTACAGCATACCATAGCTATAACATAAAAATTATGTGTTAATCAACTATTTATGTTATTAGTAAAGCTTCTGGTCAACAGCAGGCTATTAGTACTCAAGGTTTGAGGGACTCAAAAGTTATATGCAGATTTTTGACTGTGCAGGGGTCAGTTACCCTAACCTCATGCTATTCAAGGCTGAACTGTGTGTGTCTGAGTATATACATGTATATGCAACATTTTGTGTCTAATTTATTTTGGTCAGCACGATGGTTTCCAGATAGGTCCATGTTATAGAATATGTGAATCGATAATTTGTTACTTATTAGATATGAGCATAGCCCTACGTTTTTATTCACTTTTTTTTGAATGATTTTCACAATTTCTAGTTTTAGCCTTAACAGAATAAGGTGATTAAGAACATTTCTTTACATATTTTTGTAAGAATTTTTTCATTTCTTTTTGACAAGTAGAAAGGAGAGAAACTGCAGAATTAAAGATGCATTTTTAATGTTTTAAGAAAATATCAAACCATAGTTCAATGTGGCTATAATATTTTATGCTTGTACATAATGAATTATCAGTCATTTTATTTTGAAAATTCTATACTGTGAAATAATTTATTTTTGTTTTATTTTAGATTTTTCAGATAAAAACATTAAATGCCTTTTTATGTATACACATATATCATGTATATGATATTTGGGTATCATCTTTTGAGAAATATTTATTCATTGGCTAGCTTTTGATTTGGTTGTTGGTTTTTTATTGCAGATCAATAAGCATTTCTCATGTATTAAAGATTAAATCTTATTTCAGATTTATGTATTGTAAATATTTTCTATTCCAGCTTGTTAATTGCTTATTTGTTTTTAATAATGTTTTCGGAGAAAATAAAATTTCAATTTTTATAAAATTCTATTTATTCTTTATTAAGTGATTCACGATTTGTAGAATTAGTCTTAGAAAAACATTTGCTTACTCTAAACATGTAAAATTATTTTTCTATATGTTCTAAAATTTTGAAGGCTTTGATTTACCACCTGTGTCTGCTATATTTAATGCCTATGTCTGTTCACAATTGGTTTCAATTGCTTAATTGTTCTCCTTATTATGAATCACCTTTCACTGTATTTTTACATAGCTGGTAATTTGTTTTAATGCCAGAGATTTAATTTGATTTTGTTGAGTGCTGGATACTTTTGTATTTCTCACGAATACTCTTCATATTTATTTAAGGATGCAGTTATGTTACTTGGGAAGTGTTTCATCCTTTTCCAGGCTTGCATTTATGTTTTGTTAAAGGGAGCCAGCACTGGGGTTCCAATACTTTCTTTCAGGCTTAAGATTGATCTCAAATTATTTGTCATGTATAGGGTTATATAGAAGCTAAAATTTACTTTCTTTACATACATGTCCAATTATCCAGTAAAATTTTTAAGAAATATGTGCATTCTTTGATAATTCATTGCCCCTGTTTTAACATCAACTGCTTCTTCATGGAGCCTGGTATGGTTATAACGGCTTTTTGTCTCCATCCAAATCTCATCTTGAATTCTAATCCCCATAATCTCAATAAGCCCCACATGTCAAGGGAGAGACCAGATAGAGGGAACTGGGTCGTGGGGGTGCTTTCCCTCATGATAGTCTTGTGATAGTGAATGTGTTCTTATGAGATCTGACGGTTATATAAGGGGCTCTTCCCCCTTACCTCCACACTTCTCCTTTCTGCTGTCTTGCGAAGAAGGTGCCTTGTTTCCCCTTCATCTTCTGCCATGATTTTAAGTTTCCTGAGGCCACCCAGCCATCCTGAACTATGAGTCAATTAAACCTCTTTCTTTTTTATATTACCCAGTCTCACACAGTTCTTTATAGCAGTATAGAAATGGGTTAATACAGAGCATTTGTTCATTTTATTGGAGAGTTTTGTTTAGGTGTCAATATTTGGTTCTATATAGGCTCATTTCTACTGAGGAGTCATTGTTACTAGACCATCTCAGTAAATAGAAGAAAAAAAATAAGAAAAATATTGCATGATCTCGGTAGCAGGGGGTGGAGGAAATGAGGAGATGGAGGTCAAAGTGTACAAAGCTACAGTTATGCAGGATGCATGAGTCTAGAGATCTAATGTGTAGCATGAGGACTGTAGTTAATACTATTGTATCACAGATAAGACATTTGCTAAAGAAGGAAATTTTAGGTACTTTTACCCCACCCACATAAAAGGTCTATGTGAGATACTGGATATATTCCCATGTTTGATTGTAGTAATCATTACACTATGTTCATGTATATCAAAACATCATGTGCACCTTAAATATATACAGTAAAGTCAAATATAGATTATATATTTGAAATAAGTATATAAGCTATATCTAATAACTTTATAATAAAACATTTTCCATCAATTATTATGTAAGGAAATGCTACTGCTACTTTTTAGTAATAAAGTCATTACTTACTTTATGTTTAATTACAGAATAAGAGGTACAAAAATAGTTAGAAAGATTAAATAAGACCTACAATTTGCTAGCATGATAGGGTGACTATAGTTAAAAAATAATTTAATCATACATTTAAAAATAACTAAAATAGTATAATTGGATTGTTTGTAATGCAAAGGATGAATGCGCGAGGTGATAGATACCCCATTTACCCTGATGTGATTATTATGCATTGCATGCCTGTTTTCAAAATATCTCATGTTGCTTATAAACATATACACATATTATGTACCCACAAAGTAAAAATTAAAAAATTAAATATAAATAAAATATAAATTTAAAAAAGAAAGAAACTATTATATGCAATATTGGTTAAGAACAGGTCCTTGGTGAGATGCTAACTTGATTTCAAATCCTGATGATACTTACTAAATATATAAGCTTGATCTTGTTTTTAGCTTTTCAAAATCACAGTTTGTTCAGCTCTAAAAGGAGCATAGCTATAATAATTAGTTCTTTATTAAATAATAATTATAACATGAAACAGTACAGTTCCAAAAATAGTAGTAACTCAGTAAATTTCAATTATTTTCATTATTAATAATATAAAAACTTTGGTACACAGTTTTTATAAATATTTTGAAGAATAGGTGACTTTTGGGGAGATGATGAATATGCCTGGGCAAATTAACAACACTCCAACCAATATTCTTAGAAAACACAAATCCAGATTCTCAACATCCATATTATGCTAATACTTCACACTTAAAACTGTTTTTTACAACAGTCTTTCTACCTTACAAAAAAAAAAGATATACTTTTGAACCATCTTGAACTTTAGAGTGCCAAACAAAAGGCAGTTTAAAATATTGGTGTGGGTGAATTATTCTTTTTTTTTGAGACAGGGTCTCACTCTATTGCTTAGGATGAAGTGCAGCAACCTTGACCTCTCAGGCTCAAGCAATCTTCCCACCTCAGTCTCCCAAATAGCTGGTACTACAGACACAGAGCACCATGCCTGGCTAATTTTTATATTTTTCATAGAGATAGGTTTTGCCATGTTGCCCAGGCTGGTCTTGAACTCCTGGGCTCAAGCAATCTGCCTGCTTTGGCCTCCAAAATGCTGGGATTACAGGTGTGAGTCACCATACCTCACCTGAATTATTCTTTACTTAAGGCACTGTGTCTCTGCACTTTGGTCTTGTTTATTTTCTTGTCTTATATCTATTACTTTTAAAATGAAATATGATGCTAATGATAGTCTTTCATTCATACTGATATTCTGAATTGAAGGTATTGGGGCATAAGTGTGACTATAACTGATCTAATTAATTCCTAATCAATCTGTTCAATTCTAGTTTCTCCATTTTACTCCTCACATATCTTCCTCTGATGTATTCATACTTCAAATACCAGGTTCAAATTCCCATTTCTTCTCAACTAAAATACTTCAATGTTGATAAGGTGGCTTATGTGCCATATTGTCCAGGATAGTCTTTATTTATGCCTGCTGTCCCAATATCCAATCTGGTTTAGCATTTATCTCAGACAAAAGTAATCTGAAGTGTTCAATTATGTAGTCGCCCTATTACTAGGGAATTTGTGTAGATATTTTAGAGGAGAAGAAGAGACAACTAGTATTAGGGTGACTGGGTAGCTGTAAATGAGAAGATTAAAAGATAAGTTGGGCTTTTGGAATGAGTTCCAGGATGTTGGTACCTTTTTTTGAGATAAAAAATGCAATACATTGAATATTTTTGGAAAACTGTGGGAATGATGACTCTGCTTCAGCCATTTGAACCAGCTTTGTATATGTGTGTGTGTGTGTGTGTGTGTGTGTGTGTATGTAATGTCCATGTAGTCTTATGCAGAATGTAAAGCATATAAAAGCCATAAGAAAGTAAGAATAAAAGTTTGGAAGCTTTGGCAGTTGTTAAGAACAGCAGACAGCAATTATAAGAGAACTGAAAACAAAATATTTTCAATAATAATATAGTAAATAATGAGTGTATTACACACATTCTATGTTACAGGTTTCTATCTTGTTTAATCCCCATAATAATTCTATGAAGTGGAAACTACTGTTTTTCCATTTTGCAAATAAAAATTTATGCAGCAGGTTAAGAGGAAATAAAATGTTACCTGAAAATATTTTTAATGCATTTGGTTTATAAGGTTTATATAATTTAAAACAAAAACTTAATTTTCAATTTCTACAAGTCAAATATGTTTATTTCCTTATAAATGTTTATGGAGGTTTACAATACACTTTAGACTCCTAACAACAGGAAAAACCAGTAGTCAAAGATGAGTAAACTAGTTTCACTTCAAATTCTGCACTTGATATTTTATCAGAATTCACATTCTACTATAGTAGAATATATGACTGTGGGAATTATCCTGAGAATTCACAAAAAAAGCTTTTGCCAAATAATCGTATATAATTTTTCCATATTGAAAAGTAATTTCAGTAATTGGGCTTAAATTAAATAGAATGATTTTATTTTATTCAAGTAACTCGCTTTTAGAAGGATGATCAAAATAAACTACCCTTCTACTGAAAAATTTGCTTTATTATTTAAACTTACTGTAAATTTCTTTTAAACTGCTCACTGATATAATGGTAAATGTTTTAGTAATGAAAATGAACACACTGAATTTTTCCTTTGAATCTTAAGTTTTTGTAGATATTTAGAGAAAAAAGAACACAATTAGGAAAGCAGAAAGTAAGGGTCAAGATTTTCACTATCCGTTATGGTAGTCACATGAAGCTGCTGTGCACTTGAACTATGGCTGGTCTGAATTAAGATATGCTGTTAACATAAAATATATGCTGATATGAAAAATGATTATAAATATCTCAATGAGCTTTACATTTATTTAATGTTGAAATGACAATTTGGATATAAACTCAATTTTATCTGTTATACTTTTAAAGGAACCTGCTAAAAATTTAAAATTGCATGTGTGGTTTGTATTTGTGGCTCACATTATGTTCTACTGCACAGCATTTATCTAAATAGTAGGTATAGATGTAGAAAGCAACCATAAGAGGAAGGCAAAGTGCATTTTAGAATCACCCTCTGCATCCATTTATAAGAGAGATAACAAATATATGACCTAATAATTGTAAATTTTAGAAAGAGGAATTAAATTTGTTGGCTCGTGTAAATACAGTAAGGAAAGAAATCTCCCAGTTTAACAAGTGAAAATAAATATGTCTGGAGTGACAAAGTTTTCTGTAATTGGTCTCAATTACAATACGGGGGAGGGGAAAGAAGAAAACAATATCAACGTATCAGATAGCAGTGAAATATATTGACTATACTTAATTAGTATGAATCACCATCCCTTATTCCAGACCACCAAGCATTAGGCCTCAATGTTTTTAAAAAAATATTTTTATTTTTGATGTACTCAAAAATTTACTTATGCCAGTACATGAAGCATTTATTTATTTGTGATAGTTTTAAGTAGAAATCAATGTATTAATGTGCAATGAAAGTTTATCTAAGTTAAAGGCATTAAATAATTTCTGTAGGAATTAAGTTTATGGATCTAGTATCAGTATAAAAAATTTTGTTCAATAAAATTATTCATGTCTCATTATTTAAGAAACCAGATTCTCTAAAAAAATAAAAATAATAATTTTCTTTTTGTTTATAGTAAGATACATCTCTTAGAAAATACAATCAGGATGCACAGGCCTGATAGTTGTATTTATTACATAATGGTAATATCTAAGCAGATTCTGACAAAATAAAAATGCTAAAACATGATCTGGTTATATTTTGAGTTGTGCTTTTAGAGATGTATTTGCTGGAAATCAGTCTTCTGACTGTCCAAAATAACATGTATTTTCTCCCTGGAGCCATTGCAATTTATTTGATTTACAGCAATCATCATGTAGTAATTTGAGTTTTTCAAAGTGTTCACTGTTGTAAACATGTGATCATTTGAGCATTACAAATTTAAATAAAATTTATTTAGAATTAATACAACGGGATATTAAAACATTGAAAATTTTGTTCTGCATACCATATTCCTCATGTATAGTAGGTATATTTTATTTTCTAAATTCAATTTTAAAGAAAACATCGCACTCTGATCCTATCTCTAAGCACAAAGTCTCACCCAGCCCTTCCCCTTACAAATGAAAACAGCATGCTATTCAGCTAATATATATTTTTAATCACATTCATATTTATTAAAACTCTATTGTTTTCAGTCAAGCACAACAATGTCACCTACAAAGGAAAAAAAAGTCCGTGATAGCTAAGTTATTGTCAGAGCACTACCCTAGACTATTTGCAGAAAAGAACAAAAGAAGTAAAAAAAGAAAGGGAAAGGAAGAAAACAATATGAACTATTTGTTCCAAGTAAATTAAAAAAAAAATTTCCTTAACTTTTCGAATAAGCACTTCAAAAATAATTTAAAAATAATTCAACAACTGCTGCCTTAAGCACAGATATAAAAGCTGTTGCTGAAAAATAAAAACAGCTGGCAAGTCTGTGTATTGGAAAACAAAGGCAACCAATTGAGAACACTAATTTCACTAGGAGTAAATTTTAAAAATTCCAAAAATAGTTTATTTTCTATTAGGGTTATTCATCTTAGTCCTTGTGTACAGTTTTGGGAAAATTTTTTTTCAGATCATAAAAGAATGGTAAAATAACGTGAATTTCAGATTTGGAAGATGTTTTCAGGCCATTAACTCACAAAGCTTTAGTGTTCAGAAGCACATTTTTGTTGTGCTTATTTTTGTAAGATAAAAAAGTGTACCATATGAGCAAGTTTTTAATGTTTGACATTTGTCATTAAAAAGTGGCTATTGAAGATAAAATTTTCCAAAGCCTGAGAAAAATTGCTCCATCTTTTTAACTACCTATTGTTTATTTGATTATAAAGTTTGTCATTCATATTGACCAAGATCTGTTTCTAGGCTAATATTTTACCTGAGTAAAGTGGTATGGGAATACTCATTATTAAAATGTTAAATTAGGCCAGGTGCGGTGGCTCACGCCTGTAATCCCAGCACTTTGGGAGGCCGAGGTGGGCAGATCACTTGAGGTCAGGAGTTCGAGACTAGCCCAGCCAATATGGCAGAACCCCGCCTCTGCTAAAAATACAAATGTTAGCTGGGCATGGTGGTGGGCACCTGTAATCCCAGCTACTCGGAAGGCTAAGGCAGGAGAATCATGGAGGTTTCAGTGAGCCGAGATCACACTGCTGCACTCCAGCCTGGGGCAACAGAGAGAAACCCTGTCTCAAAAGGAAAAAAAAAAAAAAAAAAACCAAAAAACAAACAAAACAAACAAACAAAAGACCAGTAAATTATTTCTTTTCTGCTACTTGTCACATTCTTCCCTCCATTCTCCATACTACTTTGACCACACAGAGGACCTCCTCCCCTCAACATCCAGATGATCAGAACCCTTAGGATTAACACCTGCCACCACAGGGTGTTTGTTGGGGTGCCAGTGATATAAAAATGCACTCACTCTGACTGGTTTATGATGGTATCATACAGGTTTTAAACGTTTTGAATAAAATTCCATATTTGAATGGGGGGTTATGTCACTGTCTGCACCAGTTTTGACATCTCTATATGCATACTTTCAGAAATGCTTACTTGTTTAAATGCCAATAATTTAGCATTACAGAAGTATACGTCTTCATGAGTTAATAAATAATTGTGTTACAAAAATATTCATCATTAAAGAATAATTCTTCTATTTATTCACATGGTGTCTGATCACCTATATATATTGATCAAGATCTATTTGTAGGCTAATATTTTAACTGAGTAAAGTGGTATGGGAATACTCATTGTTAAAATGTTAAATTAGACCAAATGCTATACTTGTTAGATAGAATACAATGTTGAATAATCAAGACTTTTTTATTACACAACATATTATATTTTATTTCTCCCTTCAAATAAGCTTTTCAAAGTGACATAATCACAAATATGTAGCAGATTATACAAATATGTCATGTGCTTTTTACTAGTTTTTTCTTTTTAAAATGTATTAGCTAAGTAAGCAATAATAAATTACTGCCTGCCTGATATTGAAATAAAATATTAAGAGTATATCAAACAGCATTGTTTGCTTCTGTTCAAAATGGGCTTTTCTGTACGCATGAATTTAATATATATATATATATGTATACACACACACACAAAAAAAAAAAATCCAGCATTGAACAGCTTGTAGTAGGCAATTAATGAATGAAGACTATAATTACTATTCAAGTTGTGTCATACTTAATATGTTCCTTTAGTTAACCTGCACCAAAGAAAACAGTTTCTCTTATTTTTTCTTTGAAATACCTTCCAAGGTTCAAACAGCTCCTCCAATTTTACAATTCTATGATTTTGTATATAAGACATTGTTCAGATTATGTATATTGTGCTTGTGTTTATTACACATCTGCAACTTTGCATAGTAATTCATTCACAGAAAATGATATAAAAACTGAACTGGAATTAATTGAAAGGTACAACATATTCACATCTCCAGACTTATTCTAAAAACCTACACATTCTTTAGTTTTGAATGTGATCATGTTAGACATTAATATAAAATGTGGGAAATTATCAATTTATTTACACTGTCAGAAAGCCAAACTTACTTTGAGAAATTATCTGAATTGTCTACACTGATCAACATTAAAAGAAAACCATTTTCTACAACAGTTCTTAAATGAACTCATTTGAAAAGAGTTACATCTTTGAGTATTCCTTAATTTTAATTCTAGATTTAGATTTGTTCTCCATCACTTTCATTACTTTGTTCATATATTCATTGAGCAAATATTTTTAGTACATTATAAACAGTAGGCATTACATTTTTGAACTACAGTGGCAAATTCAAGCTCCTTCCCTATTGGTGTGGGAGAATTGAAGAGGAAACAAGCATTACATGTAGAACATAGTGAAAGTGCTATGAATAAAAATAAATAAAGGAATGGAATAGGATTACCAGGTTTGTGAATAGAAGATATTATAGGTAGAAGAAATGTCAGGTGCAAGTGCCTTGAAGAACAGCAAGTAGACCAGGGTGTGGATCACAGAAGTATTGAGGAGAGTGAAGGGCAGAGTCAGAAAGGTAACAGGTATTGGTTATGATGCGTACATATAGGCTTCTGTCCCTGTATTGATTGATAAGAAAACACACTGAAGAGGAGGAATTTAAAAGATTAATAGCATGAAATAAATTCTTAAAATATTATGTAGCTGCTGTGTTTAAAACAGAAATGCAGTGTCAGAATTGTGGAGAAGATTTAGAATGCAATTGCAAGAATAATCCAGATGAGAAATGATGGTTTGGACCAAGATAGCAGATATGACAGTATTAAGAGGTGGTAGAATTATTAATTCATTTTCAAAGTAAAGCAAATAAGTTGCTGGTGAACTTAATCTGAATGAAAGAAAAGGGAAACATTCAAGGATGAGTCTAAGTTTTGGTATCAGAAATTAAAATTAGAAAGTAGTCTATAATTGAAATAGGTCTGGATGGAAAAGACACAGTTTTCGAGATAAGAAAGCAACACGTTTTTGGATATGTTAATTTTCTAACTTCTGTTAGACACCTAAATGGAGATACCAAAGAAATAGTTGAATATATCAGTCTGCAGTTCAAAAAATAGTTATCAGCCAGGGATACAAATTCTATGAACATTAGCTGAGATATGATTCTAAAGCAATACAATTGCATGAGATCACCAAGAGAGTACATGTAGATGATTAAGAGAAGAGATTCAGTTACTAAATCTTATAGCCCTTGAATATGAAGTGGTCAAAGTAATGCAGAAACACCAGCAAAGCAGACTTGAAGGGAGAAGGCAGTGAAATAGATGACCTAGAGGCCAAGTGGAAAAACAAAAACCCATCAAAACGGAGCAAATGATCAACTATGTTTAATTTTCTGTCAACTGCAATAAAGACAGAGTGTTTGACAATGTGGAAGCCACTAATGTTTTCATATAGCAATTTCAAAAGAACAGTGGTAGAAAATCCATTCATTGGAATAGTCTTGACTCAGAATGGCAAGAGAGGAATTGAGGATATAGAGTAATTTTTTTTTGGGGGGGGGGTTGAAATAAAGGTAATAAATATGGTGATTGATTACAGAGAAATTTAAGAAACGTGAATTTTGAAAAATTTAAGCAAGTTTAAATGCTATTAGGAAAGTTCTAATAGGTAGGAAAAAAATTTGATGATGTAGGAGAAAGGAGAGAGATAGGAATATTGATAGATCTATGTCCTTCAGTAGGAAGAAAAGGATGGAACAATGGGCACAAGTAGACAAACAGGTTTTAGATAGGAGCCCAGACAGATTGTTGTTGGTAGCAGACGGAAATATTGAGTATCTGGGCAAAGCTTCCAGTACATGCGTACTGTGCTGGTGGCATTGTGTTGAAGTACTCTTCCACCAGCTCATAATTTTTTAGTCAAATAGGAAGAAAACGGTCAGTTGAGAATGACAATGGGGGTAAGACTGGAAGATGTGACAAGAGAAAAATTAATAAAATTACCTCTAGAAGTGTGTGAGAATCAATGGACCATTAAACTGAAGTAAGATTACCTGGCATCACTATGAGCTTGCTTTAATGAAATAATCATGGATTTAAAGTAAGCCCTGACAGTATGGTTGTGTTTTTCTCTTGTCACATTCAGCTATCCCAGAATAGGCTTAAAGCAGGGAAAGAGGCTGATTTACTGACGTTTGCAGTTTTGCAGTCAAACAGAGAGGTGCCAAAAGGCTAAAATTAGATGCAACAGTCATTATAATACTATAAGATGAACAGAAAGAGGGGTGATGACTTGAAGGAGTAGCATAGGTAGTAAAGGTGTAGACTCAGTAGACTTTTGATGTAATATAAGAGAAATAGTGAACTATAAAATCAAGAAGTCCTGATGGAGAATGGGATGACCCAGTTAGAATATTTATTTCAATTAATTAAAGAGCATGAGTTTTGTTCTCAAATAAAACTTGGCAACTTACTAAAAATCTGTACTCTTCTCAATTTGCTCATGTATAAACCAGAGAAAATAAATTTATCTGTAAGACTTTTTAGGACGAATACTTGAGATAATCCAGATAACATGCTTAGGCCTGTGTCTATATATGTTAATTATTGTGGAAGTGTTGTTAATATTATTAGCACTGTATTTTACTACACTGCTATTGATCAGGACATAAAACAACATTGATCTCTGTTTTAATAATGATATCTTAGATTCATGGGCTGAATTATAATCCACGCCTTAAGGGTAAAGCTGTCAACATAATTTTACATATTTCTTGTATTTTATTTTTCATATTTTCATGAACATAGAATACTAATAATAAAAAATTTCAAAGAATTGTGTATGGATGATGCTACAAGTAAAACCATCATTGAACTATTATGATACGTTTGTTTTACTTCATTCAAAAGAAAAAATCCATAAACAATTGCTAAGTATTAATTAAATATATATTCCATGTTTAATACTGGGCTAGATGTAATTAAAAAAAGATATGTACTTTAATCTCTTAAAAAGTTTATGACATACTTGGGGAGAAATATATCCACACATGAATGAAATGAAAATATAATCAATCATACATACTTAAATTATGTAGGAAGTATTTTAAATCTACTGTTTCTTCTTATTAGCTTTTTCTGGCGAAAATATTAATCAATTTTAATGCTCTTATTTTATCCTTTCGGGAATGACACTTCAACTTGAAGAAATTACAGGTACTATTAATTTTCAGATATGAAAATAATAGAAATTTACTTTCAACCATATGAAGCAAAACTACTTTTTTTCTAGAGAAAATGTGTTTGCAGTTATAAAAGTCAAAACAATGCTAGAGAATATCCTTTAAAATCTTTATCAGATTTCCCAAAGGCAAAAATTGCAGCTATACTGTTTTTGGCTGATCCTAGAATGCCCTGCCCATTACTCAATATTGATTGTTAAAATATAATTAATCTAGTGATATTTCCAAACTTTTTCAACATCTGAGGCAATTCATTCTCAAGAAAGCGTTTTCAGTTATAAAAATGGAGAAGCTGGAGATGAATTGAAATATTTATTTTATAGCATTTGTGATGACTAGATGACTATAGAAAAACACTAATGTTTCACATCACATTTTTTGGCAATATTATGACATTTTTGCAAGCTTTTTTATGAAGGCTAGTGACTCATCATCTATACATTTTTCTCTGCAATTTAATAAATGTTTAGAACGAACTCTAGCCATCTCTTGTGTAATTTCTTTTGCCAATGAAGTATGTGAAATTAGCTGATTAAGCTCCAAAAATGTTTCTGAAGTTTATGTTTAAGACCCAAATTTTCTAAGCATTAATTTATATAGGTTATCAACGAGAGCAGTTCTTTAGAAATCTGATTTATTTTTTATTAAAATGTAAACAAAAATATTGTATGTGAATTTATTAGTATAATGGTACAGATAACAGATAATAAATATTGTGTATTTTTTTGTAGTTGGAGAATTTGGGCCATGAACCCTACATAGCCTATTAAATTCTCACAAGAAAAAGCCTAGGCAGATTAAAATATAGACATTCAGTCATTTTTCTGAGAGAAATATAAGACATTTAGTATGACTTGTAAGAAAAAATTTTGAGAAGGACTAGAGATCAATTTTATTTATTAAAACTCAATTCCACTTTCTACCCCTTTCCTCTTTACAGCCTGGCACAGTGCCTGCCCCACGTAGGTCCGTGAGTACTTGCTCTGTATCTCAACAATTACGGTTACTGGAGGCAAATGCCTACAAAGTATGTCAACTAATAGTAAACATTCCTACAATTTTGGCATAAAGCATTGAGATATACATGTTGCTAGAGGCTGGCAAGTTTTCAGGGGAAAAGAAAGATTGAATTATTGAGATAGGAATGATTGAGGTAAACTTTACTTCTCCTTCATATCTAGCAATCTAGCATAGGCTCCAATGGGGATGGTGGATTCGGAACACAGCAGAACATTAGCCCAACTACATTAGCCACGTTATTTCAGCCGGCATTCCTACGTGCTCATACCTACACACACATTTCCGTTATTAGTGTACTTCCGTTCGGATGACTTTAACTCACTCAGATATTTGACTTAAAACTACAACACATAATCTTACAGAGCCAGGATTTATTTATTTATTTATTTATTTATTTATTTATTTATTTATTTGTAAGAAAATCAAAACTGTAGAGACAGGGAAAGGTTACTGGTTGCCAGGGGTTTCAGTCTGTGGTGAGGGGACAATTAGGTGTAGCAGAGGGGATTTTTTCAAAGTGAAACCATTTTTATGATACTACAGTGGTGGATACATAATATTATTCACAGGTTTATCAAAATCCATAGAACTATAGAACACACAGAGGGAACTCTAAGGTAAACTACGAGCTTGTTAGCAATAAATTATAAATAATGTGTCATCAATTGGAACAGATGTACTACAGCAAGGCGTAAAGTTAATAACAGGAGAAACTGTGATTGGAGGAAGGGTAAAGAGGGGATATTTTGGAATTATCTGTAAACTTTGTTTAATAACTTTATAAACCTAAAACTGTTCTATAAATAAACTCTACTTTAAAAAAACAAGAAGCCACTGTCTTGGTGCTTACATATTGTCATTATTTTACATCTGTAGAAATTTCATCTTAAGTGATTTCAAGAAGCATATGGTATCATTACATTATATGAAAAATCATAAAACAGAATCATGCATTGATACCATATTTACTGAATTCATTGAAAAAATAAGTAATAAACAGTAAATAATATTTTATATAGCTACTACAATAAGATAAAATAAATTCCACAATATTTAATGTAGTAGATCATATAGAATAAATAGTATATAATAATAAATAGTAAATACAATAAACAATAAGATAATAAAACAGTTTAACAACTTCAGAAATGCAAGGATGACTTAATGTTTAAAAAAACCTTAATATAAGTCAACATTTTTATAGATCAATATACAATAAGCCATAATCTGAATAAAAATATAAAATCTTTTTAAAACTCATAATAAAATGAGAATATCTCAATATAATTAAAATAATTAAAAACATATATAGATATAAAACCTAATATTTTGCCTAATAGTGATATAATCAAACATTCCCAAGAAAGTCAGGAATTCTATCAGTAATCAACCACATCTATTACTTACATTAATATGGTAGTATACACTAACACAGTAATATAAAATACTATAATAAAGAAATTATAAAAATTCCTGCTATGTATGGTTGATATCATTGTATGCTCATGAATTATAAGAAAATAAAGCAATAGCTATATGAGGAATAAGTCAAGTGACCAGTTAGAAATTATCATAAGAAAATAAAGAGAAATATTTTGATGTAAATGTACATTATATGAGGAAAGTTTTAAATATTTACTAATTTACTTACGAGCCTATTTTAATTAATTGGAAATCATATTTTATTCCTAGCCAAGAAACGTACATTTTCTAAAAATATTGTCTACAAATTTGTAAACACATCCACTGTAATTCAAATTCCTAATACAATTTGTAAAATATTTTTGTGACCTAAAACAAATAAAGTCTTCTTAAAAAATACTCATGTGAGGGTGATAACAAAAAAGGTAAAAAATGATATATTTGTGGAAAACTTTTCATATATAATATTGAAACTTAGTGAAGTCTTAATAATTAAAACAGTGTGATGCCAGCATAGGAACAAAGCAAGGTTTTCAGCTTGGCAGAAGATAATAAAATATCTGAGGGGCCATGGTTTAAGAGATAATGTTCTCTATTATTTACTTAAACTATCTGGAATTGGGGAGCTTTGGATTTTTTTTTTCCAGTAGCTCTGGATCTGTGTGTCCTCATTACAATATGCCTTCCAGGGTAACAGACAAGTCCTAAACAACAGCAAACCATGAGGAAAGAAATCGGTGAGTGGAAAGAAAATATTCTTCCTGTAATCATCTCTAATATGGAGAAAGGCAATATTCTTTCAATATGTCATTTACCAGAAGTGGGTTTACGTGCTTACCCCTTGTCTAAACACTAGCAAAACGGTGGGATTATAGTGACTGATGTAGTCCTATTAAGTTTCATCCCCTGATCTTTCCTCACACATCTGTTCAGTAGATGTAGCTGGGATAATGTTAACAATATCAAGAGCCAATGATGGATATTAAATAGGCCAGTCATACTCTGTGCCTACACTTCAATCAATGGATCAGAATTGAGAGTACAGAGACATTTACTGTAATATTTGATTAAAATATAATTTTTAATAAATGGAGTAAGGGATGTATTATTTAATAACTGGTATTGGGGTAATTGCCCATATCATCTGGAACAACAATTAAAATAAATTTGTATTATTCATTATAATTCATAATAAAAGAAATGTCAAATTTAATACTAATTCCAAAGTAGAATTTAGAACAGTAAAATTAGTGAAACAAGATAGTAATAAAATGTTTTAAACCTTGAACTGGAGAGGGTTATTATGAATTGACCATAAAATCTTGTTTTTAATTAATTAATTTATTCATTTATTTATTATGTTTACTTTTAAATAAATTTTAATGGAATGCCTCAGGAATTTGTATGTCATCCTTGTGCAAGGGCCATGCTAATCTTCTGTGTATCATTCCAATTTTAATATATGTGCCATCCAAGTGACGACTAACCATAAAATCTTAATAAAAAATAACAATTCCTGTGAATATTTGAAAATTTAAAATTATTTTAAAGCAAAGGAAATAGTCATTAAAAAATTTAAAATATAAATGACAGAATATAAAAATAATATTTATCTCAGTTACAACTGAGAAAACAACTTATATCCAGTAACAGCATTATTAATTATTATATCAGAAATAATAAAGACTAGATTTATTAAATGCTTACTCTGTGTAAGAAAATGAATGTATATTAGCTCTTGCAATCAACACAAACAATCTAATCAGATACTTCCACTGCAGTAGTTTCCTCTATGTACGTAAAAAAACAGATACACAGAGGGGTTAAGAAATAGCATAAGCACATGGAGTAGGTGGAAGAGTTAATATGAGTTCATGTAAAAATTGCACACTCTTCTCCCTTAGAAATTACTTTCACTAGGAATTATACTAAAAAGAAAATCAGACTGCAAAAATATAGGTACACAACAGTATTTACTCATAATACATTTTACAATAACACTATTTAGAAGCTGCATAAATGTACATCATAAGGATTGGATAAGTTAATGTGATATATCTACAGCAGGAAAATGGAGAGAATAGAAGACAACTAAAATAGTTGAGTGCTGGGGATGAGAACATGGAAACTGGAAGAAATGAAGCAAGAGATTCATTTCATTTCATTTTTTTTTATTTTTGCCCTAAACTGTGGATTGCCATTCAAGTTTAAAGATTACATATTTTGCTTTATAACAAATTCAAATATTTTGCTTAAAGTCACTGCATCGTATGAATCTTAAGCCATTTATGTAAATTGTTATGTGTGTATAAAAATATGTCTACAAGAAAAATTATAGAAATGCTAGCAGTGATTTATTTATGGATGAGATTTCAGGTGGTATGTATTTCTTTATATTTTCCATATTATTGGAATTGCTTTATATTGATACATATAAATATTGATAAATATGTATGTATTTAATTTTAAAACATAAAATATGACTTATTGTTTCAGAACATGAAAGAAGGGCATGCAATATCACATACATTAGATTCAATAGGAAAATGAATTAAGTTGGCATTTAAATAAGTTTATCACAAACCTAAGGTTGAGTTACAAATTGATGTATGTAATTTATTTATTTTTATTGCACAAGGTTTGTTGTAAGAAAACATACAGGAGGATTAATTTTTTACAAAACTAAATCTAATAAGAACTGAGTTGTTCTACTAAAGGAAAATAATTTCACATTTATGAATTTCACATTTAAATTTAAATCATTCAAAATATTAATCTGTCATAATTTATCCTGCATCTGATATAATCTTGAGTGTTATTTGTTATAACTTAAACATAAAATGCTGGCATACAAATTTTGATTTTTAGTTATATTTACTATAACAATAAAAAATGGAGTCTATCTTGAATTCATTGAGTTATTAATTAATTAGAATTTATACTGAGTTCATACTATATGTCAGACATGGTATTAAATATGAAAATTTAGGATGGGCACACTGGCTCACCCCTGTAATCCTAGCAATAAGGTAGGCCAAGGTGGGTGGATCACCTGAGGTCAGGAGTTGAGACCAGCCTTGTCAACATGCCGAAACCTTGTCTCTACTAAAAATACAAAAATTAGCCAAGTGTGGTTGCACACACCTGTAATGCCTGCTAATCGGGAGGCTGAGGCAGGAGAATCACTTGAACCCGGGAGATGGAGGTGCAATGAGCAGAGATTGTGCCACTGCACTCCACCATGGGCAACAGAGTGAGAGTCTCAAAAACAGACAAACCAAAAAGTGAAATTTTAAATATATAAGGTACCTGCTTCTACTCACATTCATCAAGTATGCTTGTGTTTTACTCAGTTCGAACTGTTATAACATAAATACTATAAACTGGGTGACTTAAACAACAGATATTAATTCTACACAGTTCTGAAGGCTGAGAAGTCAAATTTCAAGGTGTTGATGGGTGTCTGGGAGGGTCTCATTCAGACTTACACCATCTTGTGTTAGCCTCACATGGAGAGAGATCTCTGGTCTCTCTTTTGTATACTAATCCCATTAGGGAGGCTACATCCTAGTGGTCTCATGTAAACCTAATTTTCTGCCAAAGGTGCTGAGAAGTGACAGCATGCTGGCAGCCCTCGCTTGCTCTCGGTGCCTCCTCTGCCTCGGCACCTACTCAGGCCGTGCTTGAGGAGCCCTTCAGCCTGCTGCTGCACTGTGGGAGCCCCTTTCTGGGCTGGCCGAGGCCAGAGCTGGCTCCCTCAGCTTGCAGGGAGGTGTGAAAGGAGAAGCATGGGCGGGAACCAGGGCTGAGCACGGCGCTTTCGGGCCAGCGTGGGTTCCGGGTGGGCGTGGACTCAGCGGGCCCTGCACTTGGAGCGGTTGGCCGGTAGCCACTGGCCCTGGGCAGTGAGAGGCTTAGCACCCAGGCCAGCAGTTGTGGAGGGTGCACCAGGTCCCCCAGCCATGCCAGCCCACTGGCACTGTGCTCGAATTCTCGCCAGGCCTCAGCTGCCTCCCCACGGGGCAGGACTCGGGACCTGCAGCCCGCCATGCCTGAACCTCCCCATCGCCATGGGCTCCTGCACAGCCCAAGCCTCCCTGATGAGCGCCGCGCCCTGCTCCACGGCGCCTGGTCCCATTGACCGCCCAAGGGCTGAGGACTGTGGGCACATGGCACGGGACTGGCGGGCAGCTCCACCTGCGGCCCCGGTGCAGGATCCACTGGGTGAAGTCAGCTGGGCTCCTGCCTGAGTCTAGTGGGGACTTGGAGAACCTTTATGTCTAGCTAAGGGATTATAAATACACCAATCAGCACCCTGTGTCTAGCTCAAGGTTTGTAAATGCACCAATCAGCACCCTGTGTCTAGCTCAGGGTTTGTGAATGCACCAATCAGTGCTCTGTGCCTAGCTAATCTAGTGGGGACTTAGAGAACTTTTGTATCTAGCTCAGGGATTGTAAATGCACCAATCAGCACCATGTCAAAATGGACCAATCAGCTCTCTGTAAAACAGACCAATCAGTTCTCTGTAAAATGGACCAATCAGCAGGATGTGGGTGGGCCAGATAAGGGAATAGAAACAGGCTGCCTGACCCAGCAGTGGCAACCCACTTGGGTCCCCTTCCACGTTGTGGAAGCTTTATTCTTTCGCTCTTTGCAATAAATCTTGCTGCTACTCACTCTTTGGGTCCACACTACCTTTATGAGCTGTAACACTCACCGCGAAGGTCTGCAGCTTCACTCCTGAGGCCAGCGAGACCACGAACCCAGTGGGAGGAATGAACAACTCCGGACGGGAGGAACGAACAACTCCAGACAAACGGTCTTAAGAGCTGTAACACTCACCGTGAAGGTCTGCAGCTTCACTCCTGAAGCCAGCAAGACCACAAACCCACCAGAAGGAAGAAACTCTGAACATGTCCGAACATCAGAAGGAACAAGCTCTGGACACATCACCTTTAAGAACTGTAACACTCATCGCGAGGGTCTGCGACTTCATTCTTGAAGTCAGTGAGACCAAGAACCCACCAATTACGGAGACAGTGCCATTTCCTGATACCATCTTATTAGAGGTTTGGGTTTCAACTTATGAATTTGTGGGGGACACAAATATACAGTCTATTATAGCTTGCTAATGAATGTATAATTGAAATTGAGAAGGCAATTCCATAGGAAAGGAATAAAATCACAAGGGTATTTACTTTAGAAACATGGTGAAAAATCTGATTTAGACTGTGAAGCAAGGAAAAATATTCTGAGGGAATTACTACTGAATTACATTACAAAGGGTAATTAGAATTTAGATGGGTGAAAAATGTAAGAATTAAGGAAAGAGAAAAGAAACATGAAAGGTGGCTCAACAGTCAAGGACAAGTTTATTTTAGAGAAATACACCTGAGAGTGGCTTCTGGCCGAGTTTGGTCAGAGGCACACTCTCTTACAGCCTAAAATTTTGAGGATTCAGGGTGGAATAGTTTATCAGACGGTGGTACTGCTTCTGTGTCTTTTTGTTGTGCTTATCTGGGAGGGAGAGTTGTGTGTCTCTTCCCATTCATATTTCTGCAGCAGCAGGCATATCCCCCAAGTCTGCTCTTAGCTTCCTTATGTTAGTGCATGTGAATGGAAAGGAATGTGCTTATTAAGGCCCACTGTTTTACTGGGGCCCATTGTATGAGGGTGAAGTTTGGCAGTTAACCAAGAGACATTCTCCCCCCCTCCCTCTGTGCCTGAGCTGTCTTATCTGTGTTTTACTGTCAGCTGTTTCTGGCTGTGTGGCTGCTTGTAGTTAAAAGAGAAGTGATTTCCTTGAAATGCATGAGGCTAAAAAGGGAACTGGAACTTAAAGAGGCGGTGTTTGTCCGAGATGATGGTTCAATGCTCCTGCTCTGTCAAAAGGAAGGTAAGGGCAGAACCCTTGCCCCTACAAAGGAAAGGCCCTATATTCTTGGATGGAATATTGCATAGGAAAAAAACGCGTGAAAAATTTGAAGTCCGAAAGCTGAAGTGCACATCAAGGGAGAATGTGAGAAAGTGTTTTAAGTTCAAATGAGGCAAGCAGGCAAGTCACAAAGGTTATACCATCTTGTAGGCCGCATTAAGAAAGGCACTGAATGTGAGTTTTAAGTGACAATTATGCAGAGTAAATTAATACATTTTTAATTTAAAAAATTACTTTGGCTGCATTGTGGAAAACAAATGAGAGGATGCATGCTGGTCATGGAAAGCCCAGGTGACAGGCTATTAAAACCTTTCTTGTGGACTATACATATGCTTTGCTTCTGTTCTAAAATGCAGTTAGAACCAGTTTACTATCATACTGTTTCCATCACATGATTATTGAATCAAATAAACCTGTGATACAAATTTGATTGAGCTTTTCATAATTGCCATACTTCTAAATTTTTGAAAATTAACCTCCTGCAGTTTTAAAAGTCTCACCAAGATGACCAAGGACTTTTTTGGCACAGCCAGGAGATCTGTCAGGGTAGTGGGAGAAATTGTAGGAAAAACAAACCTTCTTGGAAGGCTGGGTGGGGATGGGGTTGCAAAGCTTCTGGAAGAATGAGCCTAAGGTGGTGGTTCTTACCCGGGGGCACAGGGCAAGAGGTAAGTACAAAAGAATGCAGGGGAGTTTATCTGAATAGCTTGTTTACTCATGTCTCCAGAAACCTGGCCTTTAATCATCCGCGTGCAATTACCTACAAGTGTGTTGACTCAAGGCCTTTGTCATTAAATCTATACTGAATAAATACCTGCAGAGCCATCTGGTTAGGGCCATGGCTGCTGACTCTTTACAGCAACCTTCTCGGTGTCTGTGGGCAGCCCGGTCCCCTAGTCCATTCTTTCACTGGATATCCGTGTCGGAGGGCATTTGTTCATCCGTTTTTCAGCCAGGGTCTGCGGGTTGGACCTGGCAGCATTACAAGTAAAACTTATGAATTCTTTAGCTATAGGCACATTATTATTTTTTCTTTTTTTTAGGTCTCTGGTGTGAATCCTTATAGGCAGTAGAGTATTACATTTTCTGTCCATGTTTCTTTTACTCATTTTCTTTGACTCCGTGTTTTCATTTCTAGTTCTGATTCTTGGCCAAGTTTGGTTCTTGTTCTGTTTTTTTGTTTTTGTTTTTGTTTTTTGTTTTGTTTTGTTTTGTTTTCATGGCCAGTTAATGATTTGTCATTGGTTACAGCAATGATGAGGAATCAGGTTTTACAGTTTAATCATTTGGTGATTTCTGTCAGGTGACTATTGAGGATGTATTCTGTTATGTGATAAAGACCAAAAAATATGGTTTGTGGGCTTTTTTTTGTTTCTGTGGTATGCATGGTTTTAAGATGGTATCTGGGCTTTCCTCCCCCTGGTGCTACCTTGTGATTATATTACATTACCTAGTCAGACAGAGTTTTGTAGACATATCTTAGATCTCTAATCAATTGCCTTTAAATTAGAGAGATAATCTGGGTAGGTCTAACCTAATCATGTGAGCTCTTTGGCAGCTGGCAGAAGGATACATTAGAGAGAGTCCAACATCAAAAGGATTTGCCACAAGAGAAAGATTTGGTGCAAGCTTTGAAGGTGCATGGGGCTAGGTATAAAGAACTTGAGAATGAATAACATTTAAAAGCTGAGAGCAGTCCTTGGCCAAAAAGCAATAACAAAATAGAGATCTCTGCCCTGCAGCAAAAGGAAAATTGATTCTGTCAACAACCTGAAGAGCTTGGAGGCAGATTAATTCTTAAAGCCTCCAAATATGATTCCTTCCCAGCCAACAGCTTCAGCTTGAATTTGGCCTTGAGAGACCAAGCAGAGAACTCAGTTGAGCCAGCTCAGACTTTTACCTACTGTGAGATAATGAATAGATGTTTTAAGCCACTAAGTTTATGGCAAAGTTTTCCTTAGCAGTAGAAAACTAATTCAGTTTGTCCATTTTATTGTTTGTGATCTCAAATCAATTAAGAAAATACTCTGATTACTGGAAAGGGACTCAGTTTATTGATATTTGAACAAATGTTTTCAGCTTTTCTCTTACACCTGCCTGAAACTTCTGCTATAAGTTTCAAAGAATAAAATGTACAATCTCAGAGCCTACTAAAAAGTACTGTACTAAGTGCTGTCAACTATTGATACATCAAAAAATACAACCTTGGATACAATTTTCCAAGTTGACAAGTCTTAGACCACTTCTTGTAGCAGGGAGCTGAGTCAGGATTATTAGGAATCTTTGTGGTCCAGAAGCACCTAACATTGTGAAAGTAGACTGCTGACCCATGATCCAGTAAAAAAAAATAATTTATTACACAGAGATGAAGGAACAAATAATAATAATTTAATAGCGGAAACTTTTGAATTTTTATATTTATTTATTTTCTAATCAATACATGAAGGATTCCTTTTTATTTTTCCTTGATCAATCTGTAATAATCATTTTTGGTCAGTTGTGTTTTTATTAACTGAAATTAAACTTTAAAATGTCATATAATTCTCAGTGACTTCTCAGATTTTTGAAACAAATACTTTTACTGAATATTCTAACTTCTCACAGCAATTTAGTTATTTGTGTATGTTAAGTGGGAATCTGTTCTTTTTCTTACCAGGACATATAAATTATGCAACAAATGTTACAGGATCTTTGGTGTGTTGCTCTTCTGTCTGAAAACTTACGTGGCCAGTGGTGCTTTTGCCCAGCTTTTTCTTGGGCCTACTTGGCTTTTCTGCCCACTTAGCCTGGCAGGCTACACTCAGCTCATGCTCCTGGCCTGAATCCCATTCCTACCAAGGGTGAGCCAGGTACAGAGCAGCAAGAGGTGGGTGAGTGAGTGAGTATGGCATCTGGCCACTGCACAATCAGGCATGCTGGCTGCTGAGTGGGGCAGGCAGCTCCAGGTGCCAGCATAGGCACTGACTCTCTGGGAGGCTGCAGTTGCACCAAGCACACTGCAAGCAATTTCCCTTGCTGGCACCGTGGAATGCAGTGGTGTCTGGAAGCTCGGAGATGCTGGGGTCTCCCAGGGCCTCAAAGAGGGAGTAACAGCCCTGGCTCAGGGAGTTCCCAGATCTGGGCTCCCCAAAGAGCTGCAGCTCTTCTCTTCCTCTCTTTGTCCACACCGTGGTGAGCAAGGGGCATGTTTCAGCCCTGTTTCTATTGTAGTCCTTCTAGCCTTGCCATTTGGTGGGCCCTAAGTTCTTGCCCTGCAACAAGAAAGAATGAGGCACACAGACAAGTGGAGGGTGAGCAAGATGAAGAGGAGCTTTAATGAGCAGTAGAACCACTCAGAGGTCTGCTATTGGTAGCTCCTTTCTGTAGGCAGGGTGTCCCAACAAGTGTTCAGCCATCAGCAGACAGTAGGAGGCCCTGGGGTGGATGGCTCCTCTTTGCTGGCAGGTGCCTTTTTGGCTCAGCAGCTCTTGGCAGAGAGGAGGCACTGGAGTGGGTTGCTGCTCTCTGCAGGCACATCATACATGGAGTGGGAAGCTCCTGTCAGCTGCTGGTCATCCTAACATTCTCCAGTTATCAACAGAGAGGGTAGCTCCTCCCTGCAGTTGGTCATCTCATCATCTTGCCTGCTCTGGCTGAGCCTGAGGCTTTTATTGGCCTCAGAGTGGGGAAGTGCATGTTGATTGGTCCATGGCAGCCATAGGTGGACCCAGTAAAAAGCACCATGAGATCCCCCTCCAGTCCACAGGACTGGCAGCCCAGCCCCCAGGCTTCAGGCCTTCCCTAGCTGAAGGTGGGGCTTCGGGAGACCCATCCCCTTATGCCTAGAAGTCTTTCTGCTTTCTGGGGCTATCCATGCATCCCAGGCTACTAGTAACAAAATGCACCTGCAGGCCAGTGCCAATCTGCCCTCAGTGCCCCCCTGGCTTCCCCTCCCATGCTTGTCAGTGCCCAAAGCTCAAAGGGGGCCAAGGTGGCAGGAGGCTGGTGTGTCAGCACTGCACTGCCCATGCACACACCTCATCAGGCTGGGACAGCACGCAGGGTCAGCCACAACCCTGCTCTGATATTGGAGAAAGTGCCAGGAGTGGGGAGAGGCCAGGCAGTGGGAGCAGATGCCCCTAAACATGCAGAGACTTGGTGAGGGCGGCTTTCCCAAATCCCGATGACGCAGACTGCTGTGACACTGGGTCCAGTACTTCAGAGGGTGGCAGTGCACCCAGAGAGGGCAAGGTTCCTGCCTGATCCATGGAGCGAGAGGGCTGGGCCTGCCTCCCTGCTGCAGCCGGCGTCTTGGTGGCAGCGACTCTAAATGGTCCTCTGCTGCCATCAATAATGGCCTTACCTGGAGTGTTACTTTCGAAAATAAATTGTATTTACTAAGGAATGAAAAGCCTTTCATTAAGGAACAAAGATTGTATTTTAAAAGTAAACCCAGTACTTACAAAATCCTTTCAGAAATAAAACTAGCTTGATACTTGTTTTATGGATAAAGGGTCCCAGCTTCATAGAAGGTAGGAAAGTTCCCTTTTGGGCAGGGCAGAATTTTCAAAATCTCTTAAGGATCTCAAAGAGAAAATAACTCATGAAAATCTTGTGTGTGTGTGAAATTTCAACAATAGAGTTTCTTGGGCTTGGTTTCCTACGTTTAGGATGAAAAAGCAAATAATAGAGGCATCATGAAAATCCAACTCTATATTACTGAATGAAATTTCCAGTTAGAAGTTAATTATCTGTACTCATAGTCTCCCATAATAGACTTATATGACAATAAACACCTCTTGTTTCACTGTGAAAATAATCAGGGCAAACAGGATCAGCTTCTTGTGCTATAGAATAATCCTTGACAAATTTATATGAGCAAAATGGGCAGATTTTTAGAAAAATATTAAAAATTGATCAATGAAATGGTAGACTGACATAAGGATTATTTAATTATACAAGAAAATGTACTTGGAGTTCACTTTATATGTACTATAAAGAGCTCAGAATCCACACAATTACATGCTAACTTGTATGTTTCTGTTTGGTAGGGAATATAATCTTAAAATTTACAGTTTTATAATCTTGCAGGATAGAAATATGCTTTATATTTAACTTAGTAAACCTGCTTCAAAATGCCCTTTCTGGGATATTCTAAATACCTTATTTATCAAAAATGTTAGTTGAACCAGCTTTATCTTCTTATTAGTCCCTGCAATAAATCAGGAGTCAAATAAAATATTTGACATGTGCTCACTTTGTATTTACATAGGAGTCACGTTTTTAACTTATTAGAAAATTGTAGTAACCTGATGTGGTGTCCCTGTAAAGGGAGTAAAACATAGATTCAAGAACAATTACACAGGTAAAATTAGGAGAAATTGGTCTGCCATTTGATGTGTGGTTTTACGGTGAAGGAGAGGACAGATACAATTTCTAGGTTTAGACACATGGATGGATTTGAATACAATTCAGTCAACTATAGACTGGTAAAAAAAATAGGAGCAAAGTTGTTAGGAGAGTAGGAAAGTGGAACAATGAAAGGTAATGATTCTTGTCATAGACATCTTTGAATTTGAGGTATATTAAACTTTTCATGTTAAGATTATAAATTTGCTCTTGGCTATTCATGGATGGTGCTCAGAGTAGAGATTTAGGATGCAGATATAAATTAAATAGTCATATATATCTATGTCTTGGTTGAAATTGTGGATATGGGCCATGGAAAAAAAGTGAATCTGGAAAATTTCATTCATGGCCTCTATCCAAACACTCTAGGTAAAAGTGAAAAAAGATACTCAATTAACTTAAGAGGAAACGTAGGATTTTTTTTTTTTTTGGCTCATGTAAGAGAAACATTCAGTAAAACATCTCCTTTTGGGCTGGGATTAATGCACACAGCCACATAATATTAGAAATCTATCTTTTCAGCTTTGACTAAACTTTACTGCCTTAATTTTGGGCAGGCATTATGGAGTGTGATGAAGATGGCCTGGTAACACCAATATTACTTTTGACAAGAATAAAAGAGTTTCATCTTCAACTAAACATTGGCATTGGAAAAATAATCAGCTGAGGATATGAGGTAATCAGCCCTGGTCACCTGAGCACCTCTGTTGGTAGGGAAATCATGATCTCCTGGTTGAAATCTCTGTCAGATAAAACATGAGAAGTTCCTCAGAGAAAAAGTAGTTTGTCTTTCTAGAAAATAACAGAAGATATCTTCTCTCAGGAAAAAGCAGAAATCTACCACAGGGGATTATTTGTTTTGGGGGAATAAAATGGAAGAAATTAGCTACATAGAGCTGAAAAGAAAAATCTGATCAACTGCTAACAGTAAAAAATATATGTATGTATAACAGATTGGTGTAGATTTTTATAAAGGTCTTTGAATAAATAATTTTATTGAACAATAGCAACAACAACAAACTAACTCACTACATAATGAGTAAATAGTTCCAGTATTTTTAACAAAAATAACTACTACTTTTATCAAAACTAAAATTATGATGGTCCTAAACAAAAGTGATTAACCACAAATTCTAGCTAAAAATGTGTTTACACCAACAGATAAACCAAAGAATTTTGGTATTAGCATTATGGTTTACCAGATAACTCAGAAAAAAGAAAATACTGAATAAGTACAAGTACACTTTCAGTGTATTGTTGAACTAGAAAGAACATGAAAATCTGCAGATGACAAAAATTAGAGGTAATTTAAAATCACAGTGACGAGCTTAAATTAGGATTTGCGTTGCCCTGATCGTGGTTGAATGTACTAGGTTAAAAATATCCTGAGGTTACACAGGAGCCACCCAGGAGAGAATAGGCATTTGGCACATGAAAGAATGTGATGGATGAAGCTAGAGGTGAAATCCCCCACTTAAGACATAGTCATCTTAAAGCGCTGCATCTTTAGCAAATGTAGTACATATTTAGGGTGTCTCTCCCAAAAATCAGCTCACTGGCAAAGAGATGACAAGCAATGGCATGGTTTCTAAATTCTAGACAGTAAAACACAAACAAACAAATGAAAAGGCTATCGTGAAAATTTAAAACCAAAGATTTAGGGTATGCATTTATACTATCTGTAAATTCTAGGAAATCTTAATCTGAAAAACTAAATTTGAAAATGTTTGTCATTGGGATCCCTCACATCCTAACAGGAAGAGAGAAATAGGATAGAGAAATTCATTCATTCAGGCCCCAAGGAGTTCCTGATTGCATTTACCCAAGGAATTGCTCTGCAGGCTCCCAGCTACTTCAGACCTTCAAATGCCCTCTCAATCTCTCTACACATTTTTATGACCTTGATCATTTATGTGCAATCATAAAATACAGTGCTTATTCATGATATAGGGAAACAATTGCATAGTTCATAGAACAGAAACATTCTCTAGATATTCCCTCATTACCAGGATACTTACTGCATTAAAACAGAGAGACAAGACTGCACCCACTTCCTTTCAGTTCAAATTTCATTTCTTACTAATTAATTGCATTTAAAGAAAGTCTGTCAATTTGTATACTCAAAAATTTCCTATAACTGTACATTACATTTCTCTAACCCTGAATTTAGTCTTTATGGTGAATATAAAATGTGGTAGAGGCACTTAATTCCTAGCACAAATGACAATAATTTTTTAAGAAGCAGCTCCAGGGTTATTTAATGAAAATTGGTTTATATAACATTTAATTTAATACACATTGTAAATGCTTTAGCGACAACTCCAGTGAAACCACATTAATCTTTTATGAGCTGTAGGTGATATATAAGAAAAAAAATCATACAGATTCATAATAGTACATGCAATTATAGTACCATGTTATTTTATATGCGAACTGAACTAAGAATTTATATGACAATAGAAATGAAGCAGATTGATCACATAAATTTTTATAACTTAATTTCACTGTAAGATAATCTGAAAAAGTCACATTCTTTATCCATCTAGTAATGTTTTAATCTCTAATATGTGCCAGACATTGTGCTAAGCAGCCAGAGATAATCTTCCTAAGTATGCCATTACTTGTTTCTTTTGCATTTTTTCAGTAAGCATATGATTCTGATATGTCACTAAGATAATTTTAGTATTATTTCAGACCTTTTAAAGAGGGGTGGGGGTGACATGGGTTCATCATCATGCGTTCTCACATATTCAAATATCGGTAGAAAAGTTGCAATCTGGAAAGCAAGTGCACGCTGCCTGGGTGTATATCACAGAGTGATATTTTCATTTGCATGCCATAGTGTGATGGTGTGATGCGGTTTTGTGGGCTAGGCATTTTCACTTGTTGTTACAAAGGTCAAACTTGGTTGATTCAAGGAGATTTTGAAGGACTTCATTTGAACAACATATCCACAATAATTCTATGATGTGTCACCTAAGGCTATTCCAAACCATTAAGTTAAGGCAGAAGTACAGTTGGAGAATCTGAGAGAAGAGTGAAATGTGGCTCTTACACTTGCTGGTTGTATTAATTTCATGGCTGTATTAATTTGTGAGACTGTAACAAACTACCCCAATATATGGTTTAAGGTTACAGAAATTTATTTTCTTAAATTTCTGGAGGTCAAGAGTGAAATAAAAGCGGGGCAGGGGGACTTACAGAACTAAAATCAAAGTGATAGCAGAGTTATCACTAAAGCCTCCAAAAGTCAAGCACACTATTATAATAGACAGCCAGATGGATAGATAAATATAATGATGATAAATGATAGAATACAGTGTGTGTATGTATATGTGTACATTATTACTAATTTAAAATGCCTAGAAGCTCTTTTTGGAAGCTCTAGGAATGACTTTGTTGCCTCTTCCAGGTTTTAGAGGATGTCTGCATTCCTTAGCTGGCTAGTCTCTTCCTTCAAAACAAGCAGTATAATACTGAATTTTCTCTCTCTCTCTGACTTCTGTTCTTCTGTCATTCTGTCATCACATTTTCCTCCTTCACAGAACCTCTTTCTCTGATTCTGACTTTCCTGTCTTTCTCTTATGAGAATCCTTGTGATTACATTGGACACATTCAGATTATCCAAGATAATCAGCCTATGTCAAAATCCTTAATCGTATCTGATATGGTTTGGCTGTGTTCCCACCCAAATCTCATCTTGAATTGTAGTTCCCATAATCCCCACGTGTCGTGGAAGGAACCAGGTAGAGATAATTCAATCATGGGGCCTGCTTCTCCCATCCACTTCTCCTGATAGTGGTTCTTACGAGATCTGATGGTTTTTATATGGGGCTTCCCCCTTTGCTGGGCACTCATTCTTCTCCTTCCTGCCACCATGTGAAGAAAGATGTCTTTGCTTCCCTATCTGCCATGATTGTGTTTCCTGAGGCCTCCCGAGGCATGCTGAACTGTGAGTTAATTAAACCTCTTTCCTTTATAAATTACCCAGTCTTAGGTATGTCTTTATTAGCAGTGTGAGAATGGACTAATACAACATCTTTTGCTCTTTTGCCCTACAAGGTAATATTCATAGATTCAGGTATTAGAATGTGGACATCTTTGGAGGCCATTATTTAGCATGCCACATTGTGTGAACTAGGACAAGTTACATAAGCTTTCGTGGTCTTAATTTCCTCATCAATAAAATGAGTTATTAATAGCATTTATGTCCTGAGTAAACTGAGTGTGTATGTGTACATATGTATATATAAAACTGTGTGTATATTACTCATGTATATATACACACATATACATCACTGTGTTATATCATTTATCATCATTTTAATTATCCATCTACCTGGCTCTCTACCATAGTACTGTGCTTGACTTATAGTTATTAAGGAACACGTATTTTAGACTTCGAAAAAATATTATATTAAATACTATTAATAATAACAATGATAGCATCCTGAGCACTTATTTGCTCTCTATTTAATTTTATTTATTGTTTGTCTCCTATCTCACTCCCATTAATCTTCACCACTCCTTATAAATTTAATATTCTTAAGTTTTTACGTATCCTTGAGAAATATGTAGTGGTGCTTTGAGAGTAATTTGTTTTTAATTTATATAAATGGCAATTTGCTATCATATTCATTATCTTACATTTTTCACACGCTATGTTGTTAGAGAGCTCTAATTAAAAGCACAGTCTTTGAAAGGATATAACAAGAGTTTGTAATGGTGCTACCCACTAATATTCATGTGATGCTGGAAAAATTGCTAGCATTTCTGTTTCTCGATGTTTCTAGATTATTTCCTCAGACCACATCTCTGATATTTAACATGTTTTTTCTTCTGGTGATAGACAACTAAGGCTTCTCTAACTCACTACCTTAAATGGAACTATAATGAACTTGTTTATATGTATTCCATTATGGAATGCGCATCAACTATTATGAAAGTGAGATATCCTAGTCTTTAATATATGCACATACTTAATTTCAATAACTAACGCCAATTTGTCTTCATGTATTCATAAAAATATATGTTCAAATTCACAGTCTTTTTATGTCCTAATCAACTCCTGATTATATGACACTTTACCCTCTGCCAAAGTGATAGGTATATATTGGTGAAATATCTTATTTTAAATTTGGGCTTTACTTACTTCTTGGCTATTTGAGTATTTAGTTAAGCATTTGTTAAAAATTCAAGTGTTTACTTCTGAGATTTTATTGCTTTATGTTCATTTTTGGGGGTTTACTTTTTTGATGTTATTTTGTAGTTTTTAATAGATTTGTACATGATATCTTCAGAGTTGTTATATCAATATTCTCTCAGTGTTTTATGTTAATTTTGGCCATTATGTCATTTGAATTCACGTTCCTCTGTGGACTTATTCCTTATTTTCATTTTAACACAGTTGTGGCTTTTCATAGAGCCAAAAGTTTTTTTCCATGTTATCAAAATGGACCTTTTTTCTATAATAAAAATACATTATTATTTCTTTTTTTGAGACAGAGTCTCACTGGGCCGCTCAGGCTGGAATGCAGTGGTACAATCTTGGCTCCATTCACTGCAACCTCTGCCTCCAGCGTTCAAGGGCTTCTCAGGCCTCAGACTCCCAAGTAGCTGGGGTTACAGATACACATCACCACGCCCTGGGCTAAATTTTGTATTTTTAGTAGAGACAGGATTTTGCCATGTTGGCCAGGCTGACCTGGAACTCCTGGCCTCAAGTGTTCCACCCACCTTTGCCTCCCAAAGTGCTGGGATTACAGGCATGAGCCAAGGTGCCTGGCCTAAAAATGAATTCTTAAGGAGCAAACAACCAATAATAAACCACCACTACCATACATAATAAAGAAAAACAAGCTCAGCTTCAAGTCTATGAAAAAAGCAACTTTAAGGTGCATCACTCCAAAAATCTCACTTTTACCTAAAATATATGTAGTGCAAAACCAGAAGAATATATTCGAAAAATGCCTATTTTATTTTCATGTAATATAAGAAGGCATTTATTCTCTCCATTAATTAAGAAGAAGTTGTTTGGTGGAGTCAATAGAATGTAGGAAAGATTGCATTAGAAGAGAATCATGATTGTCAAAGAATAACCACATTAGGAGTAGTAAGAGTGGAACTGACAGTTTAGAAAACCCAATTAGAAATTCACAGACACACTTGAAATACCCTCAAAACACAAAAGAGGAAAGTGGAGAAATGCAATTGAAGAGAAAATGAAAAGGATATGAGGGCCAGATCTTAGAAATTCAGCATAAATATAATAGATGTTTGCAAAGCAAAAAATACACCAAATGAATGAGGCAATAATCAAAGTTACACACCTGGGGAAAATAGTTGTAAATTTTGAAAAATGACTACCATATTTTAGGAAAATTTCAGGAAAAAGTTTATTCATATATATAAGTACACACACATATACTTATGTATATACACACTTATTACCTATATACATACAGTTATTTTCGTTCTGCAATATCCAAGGAAAAATAAAAAGACATATGATTGCAAAAGAAAAAGTACTAGATTTTTCTTTACTTTTTCTAAATATTAACAGAAAGTAATAAAAAACTACAAGATTCTTAAAGAAAATTCTATATCTGTTCTAAGACTTTGCAGTAAACATATTATAGATTTGAGTTGTTTCAAATATTACCAAATAATCATAAGTTGTACAGATTATTATTTAGAATGCACACAAAAATGTGACTTGAATCTCATTTATTTAAATGAAGAACCCAATCTAATCATGACACATCATCAGGAAAATTGTATGAAGAGGGAATTATATAAAGCTCAAAGTTCACATATGGATATAGGTGAAAATCTTTACAGTATAATGTGAAATAAGATTGAGAAGTAAATTGAAAATTAAAATCACTATGTTAGAACATTTTTATAGAAATTTTATTAAAGAATATACATCATTACATTAAATAAGAAAAAAAATCCAAATATACGTGACACAATTCATAACATTTCTTATAAAATAATTTAACAGATAGAAGCAGATATATTTTTATACATGATGAAGATAATATATAATTTAATAAACATCACATTTATTGGCCTAATAAAAACTGGACATATAAAAGTACACTTCTGCCTGATGTAGTGGCTCACGCCTATAATCCTAGCACTTTAGGAGGCCGAGACATGTGGATCCCCTGAGGTCAGGAGTTCGAGACCAGCCTGGCCAACATGGCAAAAACCTGTCTCTACAAAAAATACAAAAATTAGCCAGGTGTGGTGGAGGTCACCAATAATCCCAGCTACTCAGGAGGCTGAGGCAGGAGAATCACTTGAACCTGGGGGGCAGAAGTTGCAGTGATCCAAGATCACACCACTTCATTCCAGCCTGGGAAAAAGAGCGAAACTCTGTCTCAAAAGAAAAAAAAATTATGCTTCTATGTATATAATATTTTTTTCCAAGAAGTTCCAAATAAAGAATAGAAAAAGGGGCAATGCTATCTATTATTACATAAAAGGTGAGTTTGATTAAAAGTTAGGCTCTTAAGTTAGGTCACCTATATTAAAATTCTAACTTCAACATTTAATCTCTGTGTATTCTTTTTTTTTTTTTTTTTTTTAGCTATTCTTTTTTTTTTATTATACTTTAAGTTTTAGGGTACATGTGCACATTGTGCAGGTTAGTTACATATGTATACATGTGCCATGCTGGTGTGCTGCACCCACTAACTCGTCATCTAGCATTAGGTATATCTCCCAATGCTACCCCTCCCCCCTCCCCCCACCCCACCACAGTCCCCAGAGTGTGATATTCCCCTTCCTGTGACCATGTGATCTCATTGTTCAATTCCCACCTATGAGTGAGAATATGCGGTGTTTGGTTTTTTGTTCTTGCGATAGTTTACTGAGAATGATGGTTTCCAATTTCATCCATGTCCCTATAAAGGACATGAACTCATCATTTTTTATGGCTGCATAGTATTCCATGGTGTATATACTATACTACAAGGCTACAGTAACCAAAACAGCATGGTACTGGTACCAAAACAGAGATATAGATCAATGGAACAGAACAGAGCCCTCAGAAATAACGCCGCATACCTACAACTATCTGATCTTTGACAAACCTGAGAAAAACAAGCAATGGGGAAAGGATTCCCTATTTAATAAATGGTACTGGGAAAACTGGCTAGCCATATGTAGAAAGCTGAAACTGGATCCCTTCCTTACACCTTATACAAAAATCAATTCAAGATGGATTAAAGATTTAAACGTTAGACCTAAAACCATAAAAACCCTAGAAGAAAACCTAGGCATTACCATTCAGGACATAGGCGTGCGCAAGGACTTCATGTCCAAAACACCAAAAGCAGTGGCAACAAAAGCCAAAATTGACAAATGGGACCTAATTAAATTAATCTCTGTGTATTCTTAAACTGACTTTTAAGCCTCAGTTTCCTCATCTGAAAAATGGAATAACAATTATACCCACATCTTAAAATTATTCTAATAATGAAATTGAACAACCCATGTAAAGTCTTTAAATGTGATTTTTTTTTTTTTTTTTGAGATGGAGTCTCGCTCTGTCACCCAGGCTGGAGTGCAGTGGTGAGATCTCGGCTCACTGCAAGCTCCGCCTCCCAGGTTCATGCCATTCTCCTGCCTCAGCCTCCTGAGTAGCTGGGACTACAGGCTTCTGTCACCATGCCTGGCTAATTTTTTTGTATTTTTAGTAGAGGCAGAGTTTCACCTTGTTAGCCAGGATGGTCTCAATCTCCTGACCTTGTGATCTGCCCTCCTTGGCCTCCCAAAGTGCTGGGATTACAGGCATGAGCCACCATGCCCGGCCTTCAATGTGATTTAAAATATTATTGTTGTAATTTTTATAAAAAATTAATAAACCGATAACTCAACCAGAAAATTCAGAAATTTGACTAGATACCCTCATTTTCAAAAGCTTTTTATATATGCTAATTTCAATTAGCAAGTAGATTAAAAAACACATTTATTTCATAACTTGTGTTTGATGATACAAACAAAACTTTTGTTATTGATGTCTAAATTATTATACAAAAATACAAGTTATTGCAGAATTATATACAAATGTAAACAAATGGAAATATTCAATATATTTCTAAACACTAAGACTAAGTATGTCTATCATCAATTATTTCTATTTAAACCTCAATGGGAAAATTATTTTCTTGCTGGTTATTTTGAAGTTTAACTTAAATACTCATTTCCAAAATTCATTTGTTAGAATAAAAAGGTAAAAGTAAATAAATGAGAAATATTTAAGGGGATAGATTATCTTTTCATTTATTACCCATATAAGTATTAAAATATTCTCCATGCAATATAATATTTCATAATTATTAACACTGTAAAAAATAATAAAATAAGAAGCCACAAACTATCAGCAGAACCTGCCCTTGATAATTCAACATGGGTCCTTTTCTATTTTCCCTAAGTGTCAGCCAGTCTGAGAATTAAAGGGAAAGAGTACAAAAGAGAGAAATTTTAAAGCTGGGTGTCTGGGGGAGACATCACATGTCGGCAGGTTCTGTGATGCCCCCTGAGCCATAAAACCAGCAAGTTTTTATTAGCAATTTTCAAAGGGGAGGGTGTGTACAAATAGGGTGTGGATCACAGAGATCACATGCTTCAAGGGCAACAAAAGATCACAAGGATCACAAGGCAGAAGGTCAGGGCAAAACTAGAATTGCTAATGAACTTCCATGTCTCACTGTGCACGCATTGTCAGGGTTCAAGAGCAGAGAACCGGTCTGACTAGAATTCGCCAGGCTGGAATTTCCTAATCCTAGCAAGCCTGGGGGCACTGCAGGAGACCAGGGCATGTTTCATCCCCATCTACATCTGCATAAGGCAGACATTCCTAGGGTGGATATTTTAGAGGCCTTCCCTGGGAATGCATTCTTTTCCCAGGGCTGTTAATTATTAAGGTTCCTTACTGGGGAAAGAATTCAGTGATATTTATCTTACCCGTTTTTGGATAAGAGAAATATGGCTCTGTCCTGCCTGGCCCAAAGGCAGCCAGACTTTAAGGTTATCTCCCTTGTTCCCTGAAAATCTCTGTTACCCTGTTCTTAAGGTGCTCAGATTTCATATTGTTTAAACACACATGCTCTAGAAACAATCTGTGCAGTTAATGCAATCATCACAGGGTCCTGAGGTGACATACATCCTCAGCTTACAAAGATGACAGGATTAAGAGATTAAGGTAAAGACAGGCATAGAAAATCACAAGAGTATTGATTGGGGAAGTGATCAAAGTCCATGAAATCTTCACAATTTAGGTTCTTCTGCCATGGCTTCAGCTGGTCCCTCTGTTCAGGGTCCCTGACTTCCTGCAACACAAACTCAACACCCAACTCAATACAGAGTATCATAACACCGAGGGTCCCTCTGTGCTCTGAACTCCCAGACTCTTGCCTTATGCCAACTATAGAAGTAACAACTATTCTGTAACTTATTTTTTTATTCCTTGCTTTTCCTTAAAAAATGACCACATAGCACATGCCTCTACACAAAATTTTAAGAATTATTTAATCTAAAATGTATTTGAAATATGATACCATACTCTAAGAATTCTTCACGTATATGGCTTTTTTTTTCACTGAATATGGTTTCTAAGATACATCTAAGCTGATCTTTCTAGACATAGTTATTTGCTGTATAATTTGATATTTTTTGATGGCCTCACAATGCATTTATTCATTTTCCTATTGACGGACATTTGCAATTACTAAGAATGACAAGCTGAGCATTATTATACATATTTACTCGTGTAAATATGAAAGAGTTAATGTACATGAAATAACTGAATGAATTGCTTGTCTTACAGTTTGCTGTTGTGTGTGTGAGTGTGTGTTTGTGTGTATCTATCTTTAAAATTGTTTTCCAAAATTGTTGTACAGTTGGCCCTCTGTATCTGTGGGTTCTGCTTCTGCAGATTCCTCCAAACTTAAATAAAAAATAGTTGAAAAAATAGTAACTATACAACAATAAAAATAATACAAATAAAATACAGTATAACTATTTATACAACATATTTCACATGAGGATATATACTTTCTCCTACTATAACTTGACTAAAACATCTATTTTGCCACATCATTTTGCTTTAATATCTATCAAAACATTTGAGAAATATCTCTTATTTTCTTTTATGACCTTTTTTTTAACTCTCTACCCATAAGTGAAAATAACATTCCAGGATAGAATTGAAAATAATGAACATAATGAGTACTTAAAATCAACCAATATCAAATCCACAAAATTTAAAAGAAAAACAGACTGACAAAGTTGCATCAAGTTTTATTGGAATTAGATTTAAAATATCATAAATACCATCAGGAGATGCTCAACAAATCATGTAATAGGAATTTAACCTTCATGAATAGGAGTTAGTCATTAGTTTCAAGGTTTGTCAAGAATGGGAAAGGGGCCATTTTAGAATGTCAAGCACCAAATTTGAAGAATTCACATATTCCTTATATTTAATCTGACAAAATAGCATATGGTATGCAATCTGATATTATGACCTACATTTCTGGATTATAGAATTTAATTCATTATAGCTATATTTACACTAGAATTGTTAGTTGAAAAATCACATGGGTGCCTGCCATTGAGGAGAGATGTGTTGCAGGCTGCTCTGCCCTCCTAATGAAACAGTTCTTGGAAATAGATATCAGATATGTGGGGTTTTTACCCTTATTTCAGTATATTCTTTATCAAAAAATTACTTTTCTTATTTCAGCATTATCAGAATAATGGAAAAATGCAGTAATTTGTTGTTTATAAAAGTGATGCAGAATATGAATAAAATTCCTGTATTGTTGCTCAAGTCTTAGAAGTACTAATTGCTAACAAAAAGCACAAGTCACAGTTTAATGTCTCTTTACTTGTCTGTTTCCAACTATGAAAAATACTGATGCAAAACATCTAAATCCTGTAATGATTTGATTTGTATCTTTTGTGTTTTGGCGTAATAGAGTGTGTCTGTTCCTAATTTTTTCATGTTGGGTCAACATGGCTTAGAGTGCAAAAAACCAGAGTACTTCAAAATAATAAATTTCCTGAGTGCTTGAACCAAAATTTCTTTTTTCTTCCTTTCTTCCTTTCTTCCTTCCTTTCTTTCTTTCTTTCCTTCTTTCTTTCTTTTTTTTTTTTTTTTGAGATGGAATCTCTCTTTGTGGCTCCAGCTAGAGTGCAGTTGCACGATCTTGGCTCACTGCAACCTTCACTTCCCAGGTTCAAGTGATTCTCCTGCCTCAGACTCCCAAGTAGCTGGGACTACAGGCGTGCACCACCACACCCAGCTAATTTTTGTATTTTTAGTAGAGATGAGGTTTCACCATATTGGTCAGGCTGGTCTTGAACTCCTGACCTCGTGATCTGCCCGCCTAGGCCTCCCAAAGTGCTGGGATTACAGGTGTGAGCCACTGTGCCCAGCCAGAGCCAATATTTCTTAGAAGTACCACATGCACTTAAGAGGTAGAAGTTGTAGTGAGAGGTGACAGCATGCTGGCAGCCCTCGCAGCCCTCGCTCGCTCTCGGCACCTCCTTGGCTTCGGCTCCCACTCTCGCGGTGCTTCAGGGGCCCTTCAGCCTGCTGCTGCACTCTGGGAGCCCCTGTCTGGGCTGGCTGACGCTGGAGCCGGCTCCCTAGGCTTGTAGAGAGATGTAAAAGGGAAAGGCGTGGGTGGGAACGGGGGCTGCACACGGTGCTCGCAGACCAGTGCGAGTTCCAGGTGGGCATGGGCTCAATGTGCCCCACACTCAGAGCGGCCGGCCGGCACCGCCAGCCCTGGGCAGTGAGGGGCTTAGCACCTGGGCCAGCAGCTGCGGAGGGTGCACTGGATCCCCCAGCAGTGCCGGCCCACCGGCGCTGCACTCGAATTCCTGCCGGACCTCAGCATCCTCCCTGTGGGGCAGGGCTCAGGACCTGCAGCCTGCCAGGCCCGAGCCTCCCTGCCGCCGTGGGCCTCTGCACCGCCCGAGCCTCCCCGATGAGTGCCGCCCCCTGCTCCATGGCACCCGGTGCCATTGACTGCCCAAGGGCTGAGGAGTGTGGGCACACCACATGAGACTGGTGGGCAGCTCTGCCTGCAGCCCCGGTGCAGGATCCACTAGGTGAAGCCAGCTGGGCTCCTGAGTCTAGTGGGGACTTGGAGAACTGTTATGTCTAGCTGGAGGATTGTACACACACCACTCAGCACCCTGTGTCTAGCTCAAGTTTTGTAAATGCACCAGTCAGTGCTCTGTGTCTAGGTAATCTAGTGAGGACTTGGAGAACCTTTATGTCTAGCTAAAGGATTGTAAATACATCAATCAGCACTGTGTGTCTAGCTCAAGGTTTGTAAACACACCAATCAGCACTCTGTGTCTAGCTCAAGGTTTGTAAATGCACCAATCAGCACTCTGTGTCTAGCTCAAGGTTTGTAAATGCACCAATCAGCACTCTGTATCTAGTTAATCTAGTGGGGACTTGGAAAATTTTTGTGTCTAGCTCAGGGATTGCAAATGCACCAATCAGCACCCTGTCAAAATGGACCAATCAGCTCTCTGTAAAACAGACTAATCAGTGCTCTGTGAAAATGGACCAATCAGCAGGATTTGGGTGGGGCCAGATAAGGGAATAAAAGCAGGCTGCCCAATCCAGCAGTGGCAACCTGCTCGGGTCCCCTTCCATGCTGTGGGAGCTTTGTTCTTTAGCTCTTTGCAATAAATCTTGCTGCTGCTCACTCTTTGGGTCCGAACTGCCTTTATGAGCTGTAACACTCACCACAAAGGTCTGCAGTTTCACTCCTGAGCCAGGGAGACCATGAACCCACCAGAAGGAAGAAACTCCGAACACATCTGAACATCAGGAGGAGCAAACTCAGGACACGCCGCCTTTAAGAACAGTAATACTCACCGCGAGGGTCTGCGGCTTCATTCTTGAAGTCAGTGAGACCAAGAACCCACCAATTCTGGACACAGTAGCACTGCACTCACAGGCATTTAGGAGCAGGCCTTTGAATATGTCATCCATTATGCTATACCATTGTATGCCTGTCCATTCTTCCAAAGTACATTTGTATTAATAGTTTTCATCTAAATACCTATTAGAATGTTACTAATCAATGTGTAGTAGATAAAGCCTGTTTTTTTTAAAATACTCATTTTTTTTCTAATTCTTGAAACTATCTGTTAAATAATTTGAAACACACTCTGATCTAATTCTCCTTTAAAAAGACATGTAATCAGTTAAAGTTATGGGTCCTTTTAGAGAAATGGGATAATTTGATTTTTAGACAGCATAGAATATAATGTATATTTCTTTAGAAGGCAAGGAAAAGACTGTCACTTTAGACTGTACCATATTCATAGAGAACACAGAAGTATTGGTAACATTCCTGTGTTGATGCTAATAACAAGCAGTCATCATGATGTTTTAGGGGCACTGCACTTGAACAGCATTTTCATAATTAGTATTCCAACATAACAAAAATAAGTGAACCACAAGTTATAGAGAAAGGGAAATAGACATAGAGTCAGAAAAAAATGCGGAAGCAGAAAGATACTGGACAGTGTGTCATAGGCAATTATTATTTTTAAAAAAGGAAGAAACTTTTCTGAAAATCAATCTAAGTCATTATAGGTAGGGGGTCTCTATCTCTGTCTGAAACGAATATTGCTTCCTGCTGTTTCTGTCAAGAAAAGAGACATTGTGATTTCCAGTGTAATTTCAAACCTTGTGATATGAGGTTGGCAGTCTGTTCCTCCAGGATGCTGGAAGATCTCACACCTGAATGAAAGGCAATTTCACCTCTGTCATAGGGTGACGCTAGAAGATGTGCTGTGCACAAGGAAGGATAATACAAAATCTTATCTTACAAACACAAAACATTGCAAGATGCTTATTGAATCTTAACTTGGAATTATTTTGTTACATTATGTCTCCTGTGCTTAATAGACAGTCCAGAAAAAGGGATGAGTGGGGAAAATTGCCAGGAAATTTGCCAAATGTAATTAAATTAACTGCTAAATAATTTAAAATAGTTACCCAGATAATGACAATAAGAGAAACTATTGTATTATGTTGCAATATGGGGGAGAAAATGTAATAATTAGCTTCAAAATCTATGAAAACGGGACATACTTAGTTGTGAGCACACAACCAAGAGTCTAGCAATTAGGTAACTTACCCGATGGAAGGACAATCTTTAAAAATTTATTTTAAATGCAAGAGTAGAGAGCAGCTGTTTTTCCTTGTAAATTTCTTTAGACAACATTGACTGGCATACTTTGATACATAAATTTTTAAAATGTAAGATTATGGATACATTGTTTTAATATTTCCAATTTCCTACTCAAATAAATTTCAAGTAAATGTCCAGCAATTCCCTTCCTAGTTATATTCCCCAAACAGTTGAAAACAGGGACTCAAACAGGTACCTGTACACCAATGCTCATAGTGGTATTTTTAAAAATTCACCAAAAGTCTGTTTTTGACACAACCCAAAAGTACAATAGATGAATAGATACAAAAATGTAGTATATTCATACAATGGGAGGTTATTTAGCCATAAAAATACATAAAGTTCTGATACATCTTATGATATGGATAAACCCTGAAAATCTGTTAAACAAAATAAATCAATACTCAAAAGGATAAATATTGGATTATTTGGCTTATGCTGGATATCTAGCAGACAAATTTTAGACAAAAAGAGTAGCATAGAGGTTACCTTGGGCAAAAATCAGGGAAAAATGGGGACCCACTGCTTAGTGAATTTAGCATTTCTGTTTAGGATGTTTAAACATTTCTGGAAATACATAGTGGTAATGGTTTAACAACATTGTGAATACATTTAATGTCTTCAAATTGTGCACTTAGAATGTTTAAAATGGGAAAATTTACATAATTTATATTTTACTGCAAAAACCAATAAAAAAGGATACATGGCAAAGTCTTCCTCCCTCCCTGAGCATCACCCATCACAATTGAGAAACAATTTTTATCATTTTCTCCTAAAGCCTTCCTGAGTTTCTTCCTACTTTTAATTAAGCAATAATTTAAATGTTCTCATTTTTTAACATTAGGAATGTAATAAATGGTGACAATTTCAGCAATAACAGCAAAATAAAGATCCCAAGATACACAACAAACTATACTAATAAGCTGGTTCAAATCAAGACTTAGAAACCATATAGTGAGTAACACAGTAGGCACATAATTAGGGAAAAAGTCTATTTAGTGCCCTAGAGCTAAAGGAGAATACCTATGGAAGGACAGCTTTGAAAGTGCCTCCCACCGCCCCTCAAACCACCACTACCCAGACTCTTGAAGGCTGGTGTCTAGACTTTATTGGAGAAGGTGTAGTTTTACCCATTGAATATCAGAAATATTCACCAATTTGACTAGGCCAAAAATTAGCCTGAAGTCAAGTCACTGGACAGGAAAAAGAAACACTCGAGATAGTAGGAGGGGTGCCGTTCAACAGCAACTGATGACACAGGCAGCAAGTGGATGTCAGAGACATGGAGAAGAATTCAGGATGCCAAGGTAGAAAGCCTTTCAGGCACGGGTTTCTGTGTTGAGAGGACAATGTGAAGGTGATCACTGGGCCATTTTGGGGCTGCAGTGTCACCAGGAGACCATATATTCTGGCCAACACCAAAGCTGGAGTTGAGCTTCACCTGATGGCTTCAGCCTGCACTGTTGACTCAACAGGGAAACCGGAGAGCCCTTTCTTTTGCAATATCCCTCTAGTGCCCTCTACTGAGAAAGCTGAATAGTGTGTTCACTCTAAAGTAAGGATGCTTAAAGGAATTCTGTGCATTTTGAGAGACAGAGAGTGTGTGTATAAATTTGGAGCTGAGAGGCAATAAATTGATACGTGGGGCAGATACTATGATTAAACTTCCTACACTCACACAAATTCAGCTTAAACTCTGGGATAGTGGAAGAAGGAGGGTAGTTTGTATAATTTTAAAAGTAGACAGAAAAACAAGATTATTCCTTTTTGGTAGCAGATTTTAGTGAATGTGGTGTTTTGGGACTGACTAACCATATCACAGTGATACCAAGCAAAGAAAACAAGTCCCAATAGATGTCAGACTCACCCCCAAATTATGTTCAATTAGGCGCCCCCCCCCCTTTCAAGGGAGATAATTGAGAATAAGTGATATATAGGTTAGGACTGATCTATGTGATTCATTTCCTTCTGCTATGTGATATGTTGAAGTAGAAGAACCCGTTTTCTTCCCACTGACTTCAACTACCTTGAAGTCTACATGAAAAATGAATTCATGTGCCAAACTTTTCTTTGTTCTCAAGTATAGTTTTACAAACTCAGGGCTGTTTTATAAATCACGTTCATGACTAAAATGACAAGGAATAGCATTTATGCACACAAATAATAACCTTGATTAATATACCATACGAAAGCACCAGTTAACTCTTTTTTCCTTTTTATGGTGCTATCATAAGAGGTCAGATTCTTAGTTATAATTCCATGTAGAAACAGAAGCTACTGGGTGTAATTATTAATTGTTCCTTGTATTATAATAAAAATCTCATACATCAGTTGCCCTCTCTGAAAATTTGATATGGAGATACAGGCAGCAATTTAAGAAATAGAAAAACAATGTATTAGAAATAGACAATGCAAGTGTACCAGTTGTCTACATTTTAGAGATAGAAATGATATGAAATGTTTGCTCATTTTAAAGCAGTTTTTAATTTTTATTTACATACAATAAGTGCATTATTCAATGTCGTTAGTAAATTTATAAAGCTATGTAACCAAAACCACCATCTAGGTTTTCTGTTTTGTTTTGTTTTGTTTTGTTCTTGAGATGGACTCTTGCTCTGTTGCCCAGACTGGAGTGCAGTGGCGCGATCTCGGCTCACTGCAAGGTCCGCCTCCTGGATTCACGCCATTCTCCCACCTCAGCCTCCCGAGTAGCTGGGACTACAGGCAACCGCGACGGCGTCTGGCTAATTTTTTTGTATTTTTTAGTAGAGACGGGGTTTCACCGTGTTAGCCAGGATGGTCTCGATCTCCTGACCTCGTGATCTGCCAACCTCGGCCTCCCAAAGTGCTGGGATTACAGGCGTGAGCCACCGTGCCCGGCCACCACCATCTAGTTTTAAATCATTTCTGTCACCCCAAAATGTTCCTTTGTGTCTATTTTCAGTCAGTCTTCACTCTCACCCTCAGCCCGAGGCAGTTACTGATCTTCTGTCTTTATAGGTTTGCCTTTCCAGGAAATCCCTTATAAATATAATAAGTCTTTTGTTTCTGCCTTCTTTCATTCAGTGTAAGGTTTTTGAGGTTTTTCTGCATTAGATGGATGTATCTTTAGTTTGTTCCTTTTTATTACTGAATAGTGTACCATTGCATAGATATGCAACATTTTGTTTACCCATTCACAGTTGACAGTCACATGGATTTTTTCCTGGGTGTTTTGTTGCTATTATGAGTTACCATGATGTGAATATGCACCTACAAGCCTTTGTGTGGACATACATTCAATTCTTCTGAAAAGACATGTGAGAGTGAAGTTGTAGGTTCATATAGTTGGTTTATGTATAATCCTTTAAGAAACTGTCAAAACAGTCTTCAAAATGGCTAAAATTGGCCGGGCATTTTTGCCCGGTGGCTCACGCCTGTAATCCCAGAACTTTGGAAGGCTGAGGCAGATGGATCATGAGGTCAGGAGATTGAGACCATCCTGGCTAACACAGTGAAACCCCCGTCTCTACTAAAAATACAAAAAAAAAAAAAAAAATAGCAGGGCATGATGGCAGGCACCTGTAGTCCCAGCTACCTGGGAGGCTGAGGCAGGAGAGTCGCTTGAATCCTGGAGACGGAGGTTGCAGTGAGCCGACGTGGTGCCACTGCACTCCAGCCTGGGCAATAGAGCAAGACCCCATCTCAAAAAAAAAAAAAAAAGGCTACAACTTTTACATTCCCACAAGCAATATTCAAGGTTTTCAATTTCTCCAGACATTCTCCAAACCTTATTGTTATACTTATATGAGGGAGGAGGAGTGGTGTGGAGGATAATAACAGCTTTATTGAGATAGTCACATATTATACAATTTACAATTTTAAATATACTTTAATATATTAACAAAGTTGTGCAACCATCACTACTACTATAGTTTGCAACACTTTATTATTCCCCCCTCAAAAAGCCATTGGCAACTGCTTCTGCCAAACAGCACAACCCCAATTTCTTGAGGACAATGTCCTTACTACGCATCCTGGCACCAGCCAGATGCTCCAGCAATGAGGTCATGTGAGCTATTCTCCACACAGAAGGCTGAAGAGAGGGCAATGGGTATCTGGATCATATCAAAGAACCATCACCTCTTTATTCATCAAAGAGTTTGTTGATTGTTAAAAGTGTCCAATCAGTTCCAGAGTTCCTAAGTAGTTAATTCCAATCACTCTTTCCAGTAAACTGATTTTTTTCTTGGTGGTGCAGGTGACAAGCCCAACTTTAAGAGCCTCTTACTCTCTCATTTTGCATGTCTTTTTTTTTTTTAATCCTCTCAATTGCTTATATGCTAGAGTGAAGAAGTTTTAGGCAGATACAGTCCTACATTCTTAATACACAGACCATTTCCCAGGAAATGGCATTGAGGAGCAAAATTCAAATCAGGACCCCAAGTTTTTGGACAAGGCAATGGTGATAGGATTTCTAGATGACAACACTGTGGCTTTTTATCCCGTGAAGCCACTGTAAATATTAAGAGCAACCTTGGCTGGTGCCTTCAAGAACATGTTTGAAGAGTTCAGTATTTAAAAAAGTGTATCTTAAGTGTCAAGATGAGCTAATTCAGTACTTCATATCAATAAATACAGGTGTGGTGAAGGGCAGGAAACACTCTCTCATGATATTTTAGTTGGATGATCAATTAACTTTTTCTAAAATTTAGTGGACAGCCACCTGACTGGTAAATACTAGCTGATATTTACAGGCAGTGATGTAGGAATTATTGGGCATCTTTCTTCGATGTATAACAAAAGTGCCTTTTTTTCTTCTTAAAATTAATCTCATTCAGCACCACAGTCTGAATTTTAAACCATGGAATTGGATAAAGTGAATGTGGTTGTATTAGTGCATTTTCATGCTGCTGGTAAAGATGTGGCTGAGACTGGGCAATTTACAAAATAAAGAGGTTTATTGGACTTACAGTTCCATGTGGCTGTAGAGGCCTTACAATCATGGTGGAAGGTGAAAGGCACATCTCATATGGCGACAGACAAGAGAGCTTGTACACGCAAACTCCCCTTTTTAAAACCATAAGATCTCATGTGACATATTCACTATCACGAGAATAGCATGAGAAAGACCGGCCCCCATGATTCACTTACCTCCCACCAGGTCCCTCCCACAACACATGGGAATTGTAGGAGTTACAATTCAGGATGAGATTTGGGTCAGGGCATAGCCAAACCATATCGGTGGTTAAAAACTTCAGAATAGGATGTGCACAGCACAACTCTAGGGGGTGCTATTCTTGTCATAATAATTATGGCAGTCTTCAATATTTCTTACAATATTTTTTCAGCACATAGTTACAAAGTATCAGAAAAGGCATGTAATATTTTTATTGCTCTAATTCACATGGGGTAAGGAAGATGCTGCCCAGTGAAAAAGGTTTTGTCTAATGGTTGTGTTAGTCATGGATAGATAATGATAGGTAATGTCTGATCCTCTGTCCCAAATTGTGCTGCTTTATGCTCTGAGTAATTTAATCTAAGGCTAAAGATGGAACACTAGTAGTAAAACTTGACTTGAGTCCACAGATCTATTAGACCCCCCGACACTGCCTCTGAGGTTCAATCACAGAGTATGGTAATTTTATCAATGAACACATGAAGACAATTGGGGAAGAAGCCACCTTTAAAAGATACATAACATCTCATGAGCTTGGAAAAGAAATACATCTCTAGGGCATTATTACAAACACACAAATAAGGAGGTAATTAAAAAGACACACGAATATGAAAGATTGTTTCTGAGAACGGTTTGCTCTGAGATTCAAAAAAGAAAGTTCAAAGAGAAACATTTTTTTTTTTAACTCAAAATGAGAGCAACATTAAAAAGGAAAATGGAGATTAATAACATAAACTAATTATTTTGGAAAAAAAGAAAACTTTAGGGGAAATGTAAAAATCTGAAAGATCAGCTTAGATAAATATGAAAGGGAATAGGAAATGCCCTTCACTGCTCTTGTTGGTGGGTCTAGTGGAGACAGAAATTTTTTCTTTTAATTGATAAAAGATGAGTGACACCTAAAATATATTTCACAGAAAGAGGGGAAAAAATCACAGAGTCTATGGAACTATCTCTCTCTAAGAGGATATAAGTTCATAAAATTATTTAGAGGCCTTACCTCAACATATGAGAGAAAACCAAGAACCAATTTTGGGAAACAACTCTTGTGTAACTGGAAACCCATATTGTGTAGACATAAATAGGAATGGAAGCCTAGGAAAACCTAGATTCAAGCATTGTTTTAAAAATATGTTGATGCAGTATTTTTAAGATGCTATGAAATCATATCCACAAATTTATTTAGTAAGGTAAAAAAGGAAAGCTTAGAGAAGATGATGCACACTAAAGGGAGTTAAGAACAACAACAAAAAAATCGAGAGTACATTTTGAAAGAATGAGAGGGTAGAATTGTTTTATTCAGAGAGGGATGATTGACAGAATTTGTCTGTGCAATGGATGGTTTGGACAGATGAAGAGATTATTATTTTCATAAATATGTATTATTGAGGATGGAACAAGACCATATTTGGAGAATTGTTTTAGGAAAGAAAAAAGATTGATGTGCTTTATGCCTGTAAACATGATGTAGTGGAAGAGAATTACTTAAGACTACTTAATAAGTAAAAATTATCTATCTATCATTGATCTATCCATCTATCCATTGATCTATCTATACAATTTGGTTTGCTCAAGAGGAGGCAAGAAACTGGATGAGGCAATAAAGCAAAATACTGTAGATACACTCCATGGATCGAGTAAAATGACATTTGAAGGAAAGAACATTTCTGCTGCCATAGGTCCGAGAGTTCAAAAATTCGAAATTTGAGAAAGACTAAATTTTCACAAATGGTAATTAAAAGAGATCACATTGATTGTAATTGGATCCCTAAATATCACATAAAACAATCAACAGGTGTTTCAGTTGAGGAATCTTTGAAGTGTCCTTAGACACCTGAGTTAAATGTGGAGGCAAAAGCAAAATCATCACAGGGCGAGGGTTCAAATATTTGAGGAATTCTACAGCCAGAGACTAAAGCAGCCACTGTGACATAGGATTAAAGTGCTTGGGAATATTTCTGGAAGTGGAAAAATAAATAGAATAACAATGGAATGAGGTTGGTAATGAGAAAGATTAAGGAAATGAATTACAGTTAGACAATTTTCTTTACAGATGTAGCTTACCCTGTTCAAACAAATGGATGGAAGCTGTGTTAGTAAACAGGGCTCACACTTAATTTCAGGATCTGCTTACTGGAAAAACAGGATTAAAAAAGAAATACTGGAATAAAATGTGTTGAAATATTCAGAGTAGATTAATTGAGGAAGGAATAAAAATTAATTAATGACTCTTTAACAGAGGCGGCATAATTACACATTTTAAAAGATGTCTCCATTGCTAACAACTCATACAAGCATCTATATGCCTTGGGAATTTTTTAATTCATTTCAAATGTTGCATACATTTACCTTGCTTCCCCATTAATGCATGATTATTATCTAGTGATTTTAATGGGCTATAATTTGAACTCAAAAATATCTCTCCTAAACTTAAAAAAATTTTGAAAATTGCTTGTCAAAAATAAGGTAAAACCTATTTTAGAACAAAATATGTTTCATATATTCAAAGCAGACTGTACCAGTATGTGTGTCATTTAAACTACAAGGGAAAAAAATGTCTCCAAATTAACCAAGAATTTATGTAAAAATTTTCATAGTGCAAACCCTGGTTGTGTTTCCTAATTGCTATTGTTACTGTGCTTCTGTGTTCATTTGCACTAATTTCTAAATCTTTCTAAATAAAAAGCTACATGATTTATCTATGTTTATTATATGAACTCGGAAACAAAAAAAAATAAATACAAACCATTCTCAATCTCACCACCTAGAGCTATTACTAATGTAGTTATTATTTTATATGAAGTTACTTTTTTTTAAGACCCTTGAGATCTAGGTAAGCTTGCCTTTGACCTGTGTATTCCACTTGTAAACTAAAATTAAAATTCCAAGCCCCCACAACCCACTGGATGGACCCCCTACAGGACCAGGGAAATCCCAAGAAACCTGAAAAACTAGTTCAGGCCTTGATGAGAAAAGGGGCTTGGACATACATGCCTGTTATAACCCCTCTCTTTGGCCTTTAGACACAATTGACCAGTATTAACATTTAAATAGAGATCAAAGATCATAAGACTGACAAAAGTGACTCTGTAGCAATAGGATACCTGACTCCAACCTGACTCTGGCGTGGCATCACATAATAGACAGCAGGTCCAGTGAATCAAAATATTTTACCCCAAAGTATATTTTTCTTTAACACATTTTGAAATGGCCATGCAAAGCTGTCTTTTGTGGGCGAAATTTGCATTCTGCAGAGAATCTCTTTCCCTTACTAGGTCTTTTCTATAGAGTCTACTCTGTATTTTAAGGTCCCATAAGATGTATTTACCATCTATTCCTTCTGAAGCCTGTTACATGCAGGCTTTATATACACAACAAGAACCTTGGTTTCCATAATCCCCCACATCCTAACTCAAGCATTTCTTTATGTTGACTTCAACTTCTTGGGCAAAGCTTAACTCTTTCAAACAATTACCACCGGAAATCTTTAAATCCACCTAGAATCTAGAACGTGCCTTCGGTTTTAAGATGTCCCACCTTTCTAGGACAAACCAATGTATACCTTACGTGTACTGATTTATGTATTTGCGTGTAACTTCTGTCTCCCTAAAATGTATAAAACCAAGATATAACACAACCACCTTAAGCACATGCCCTCAGTACCTCCTGAGGCTGTGTCATGGGCCATCGACACTCATATTTGGCTCTGAATAAGCCTCTTTAAATATTTTGCCGAGTTTGGCCATTTTCATCAATGCTCTGAACCATTGTGGTAATTCCTAGGGCCAACATTGTCTCTGTGTCTGGTTTCATGTACCTACCATGCAGTATTTTTGTTCTAAAATTTAATTTCTGTCCTACAATTATTAGCCCAGGTTTGAAAATCAGGCTTTTCCACATGGCCTTTCCAATAATTTCAGCAAGAAAACTTAGACTTCAGTAGTCTCTCTCAAAGGATTTGTCCATGTGATAGTGAGAAGGGTTGTAGAACGGGTAGCTAAAATTGTTTCCTATTTTTAGCAGTGTAAATGGGCTTAATTTCAGTATTATGTAGTTTGATTTATAAAGTTCATTAGAAAATGAGTATTAGGGCTCTCTAAAGGGGGCAAAACTAATAGGATATATGTATTTATGAAGGGGAGTTTACTAGGAGAATTGACCCACACAATCACAAAGTCCCACAATAGGCCATCTATAAGTTGAGGAGGAAGGAAGCCAGTCTGAGTCCCAAACCTCAAAAGTAGTGAAGCCGACAGTGCAGCCTTCAGTCTGCATCCAAAGGCCCAGAGCTCCTGGCAAACCACTGTTGTAAGTCCAAGAGTCCAAAAGCTCAAGAACTTGGAGTCCAATGTTCAAAGGCAGGAAGCATCCAGCATGAGAGAAAAATGAAGGTTGGAAGACTCAGCAAGTCTAGTCCTCCCAACTTTTTCTGCCTGCTTTATCCTAGCCATGCTAGCAGCTGATTAGATGGTGCCCACCCAATTTGAGGGTGGGCTTGCCTCTCCCAGTCCACTGACTCAGATGTTAATCTCCTTTAGCAACACCCTCACAGACACACCCAGGCACACCCAGGAACAATACTTTGCATCCTTCTATCCAGTCAAGTTGATACTCAATATTAACCATCACAATGAGGAACAGTGTTAGGCATATAATAAGTGGTATCCTTAAATATCCTTAAAACCCTTAAGTTTTAATTTTTATTTCGGTCATGCTATAACTGTCGTTCTCTCCCTGACTCCTTCTCATTCGATCTCCCCTCACCCCTAGCCTATGTGACTGTCTTAGGCTCCTACGTTCCCAAATGTTTGTCTGACTTTTTTTTTTTTATAAATGTAATTTATCTTTTATTCAGTATGAAGAGTTTACACTGTAAAGAGTTTTGCTCTTCTCTTTTGAGCTCTTTGTTTCTGCCAATTCCAACGTCTTCAGATTTCTCCCTTCTGCCAGTAATACATTTATTTAGACATCTTTCTCAGTTCTCTCAACTAAGGTGAATTTCCATACCAGCTATCCAAACATTTTTTACCCTCGTGATTGGCATACATATAAAATGATAACTTATGTATCTTTTCTGTTTTTTTAGCTTAACTATACATTATGAAACTTTCCCACAACTATGCAGCCACATATATCTACAGTAATGTAGGGTAGGCATCCAGCAGGACATAAAGGCAATCACAAACATAAGGTTTTCTTGAGATTGAGATCAGAGAAGTTTTATTTTTGGTATCACTGAGTTTCATAAAAATAAGAAAATATTAACACAAATGTGTGCCAAATATTGACATCTAGCTTTTCATTAAACAATTTTTTATAATGTATCATATTATACAACAGTGTTTTAAAACTAATATTAGGCCATCACATCTAAAATTGGTCTGTAGTACAAGATTTGACTTTCACAGGATTGTATAGTGACGTGCTAGTCTTATTTTTATTCTCTACATAGAAACATAGGTACTAATGTGAAACTGATGTATCTTTCATAATTCTTTCATATTCAGTATTATTCATTAATTACAAAACAAGTTATTTGTATAAATGACATTAAGAAAAAATTAAAACAGACATCATTTTGATTTAGCTCTTGCTGCCTCACTCTGTTTTCCAGAGACAACATTACTTGGAAAAAAACAGCAAGAAAATAACTGCTGTATAACTCAATTTCCTGTGACAAAACTACGCTGTTCAAAATCTGACACCTTTTAGACCCAGTGGGTAATGCTCCTCGACTAGAAATTGAGAGGTGTGATCTCTGTTCTTAGAGGGCCTGATTAACATGGAAAACAGTAGCACTTGAAACAGGCTCACTGGGTATCATTTTGCTTGAATTTGCCTTTCTTTTTTTCAGCAAGTTTTAATAATGCATTTGACTTTATAAATTAGTCAGAAATACCAACAGCATGCATTCACTGTCATTATCTATTTTTTATGGCTTTGATTTGTATGATTAAAACATAGCCTAATCTTCAAAAGTCTTTTTATGCTTGATTTCTTTTGAGTATAGGTGAGTGCCATAAAAACATCAGGTATGATAATCATAGAATACAAACCAAAATGTTTGATTTAAAGTACTATCATTTCTATATATTACTTAGCCACGTAGTAAGACTATAAACCTTTAACAACTGAAAGTAAGTGAATGAAACATCACCTCTTTTTCTGAATCTTTCAAGCAGTGACTTCTAGTTCAAATTTATGTTTTTGTCAAAAAGACAAGAAAGATGAAAATACCTAATGGAATTTGGCTGAGGTGAACGGTACAGACTGTGCCAACTTGGCATTTGGATTTAAAAAAATCAAATCGCAGTGTTTGACATAAGCTGATTTAATATTTTAGTGTTTAAATGGAGAGACTTTTTTAATCACTGTGAAAATTGGTTTTATCAGGCAGAATAGGCTAGGTTATTGATTAGTCCGTTTTCACACTGCTGATAAAGACATACCCGAAACTGGGCAATTTACAAAAGAAATAGGTTTATTGGACTTACAATTCTACATGGCTGGGGAGGCCTCACAATCATGGCAGAAGGCAAGGAGGAGCTAGTCGCATCTTACATGGACGGCAGCAGGCAAAAAGAAAAATTGCAGAGGGCAACTCCCATTTTTAAAACCATCAGATCTCGTGAGACCCATTCATTGTCATGAGAACAGCATGGGAAGGATCTGCCCCATAATTCAGTCATCTCTCACCGGGTCCCTCCCACAACACCAGGGAATTATGGAAGCTACACGATGAGATTTGGATGGGGACACAGAGTCAAACCATATCAGTTATGTTGCAGTGACAAACAATCCTCACATTTCGGTGGTTCAGTGTAACAAAGACTTAATGCTCATTCATATTACGTGTCTATCACAGATTATTTTTCTCCCTTTGGTTTTCATATTGACTCTAAGACTGAAGTGATGACAAGACAGATGCTCATGACCTTGGCAGAGGCAAAATAGAGCTCTGGAGGGTCTTTCAAAGGCAGTTCAATACTTAAGACAAAATATTATCTTATTTTGTCTTACTCTACTATCTGTACACCTCTACTGTACTGTCCTGTACTGTACACCTCTACTATCACTCCTCGGCCAGCACTAGTCACATGGCCTTACTCAACCACAAGGGGGCAAGAAAACACAATTCTGTTTACTGTCTGCCAGGAGATAACCAGAATTGGTAAGTAGAGATTCATTAATGCTAAATTTGATCTGTAACTATTAGTATGCTGAAACAGGCTCATAGCAGTTTGGAAGAGTTGGTTGTGCATGTCTCTTCCCAACTCCTTATTCAGTGATGTCACTCTAGAAGCTTGAGTATTTATATCATGGATATTGGCAAACACTACACATTAGGATTTTGTTTTTTTTTGGTCCTCTTGAGAGCTAACTGTTAAGCATTTACAGCTCATCAGTGTTACCCTATGAAGACAAAGACTAGAAAGTAAGTCCAGTAAAAGAAGAACAAGTATTTCTATCTTGCTCATATCTCTAAAAATTTCAAAGATACCTGTAATGTATTCCTGTGTTCCCTACATTTACAGAAAGTGTTTAAGAAAACAATCTAATTGAAAAATGATTTGTTTCTGCCTAAGCCCTTTCTTGAACTACAATCCTCGGGTAATTATAGGTCCCTGATATCCTCCTTAGTTAAAATCGACCAATTTTAGCTTCTTTGTAAAAAGTAACATATTGAGACCTTGTTAAAACTGCACATCTTTAAACTCCATTATATTGTAGACTAGAGCTGCATATGTTAGCAAAAACCCTTCCAGTACTGGGGAGAACTTATTTTCAAGGGTGAGCTAATGTTATCTCCAATGCCTTACAAATTGCGTTGTAACACATTAAGTTAAAATCAGAGGAATTCATTATTCAATTCACTGAAATTTTAACTATATCCAACTACTGCAAAGTTATGTTCTCTAGAAATATTCTTTCATAAGTAAAAACAAATGAATAAATATTCCCAAAATTTTTTATAATTTCTTACTTCTGACATAGTTTTATTCTCATTATGTATTCTCTGTTCAAATAAAAATTGGACTGGACAAGTTAACACTTGTCCAGAAAGATTGAACTCAACTCTAAGTAGGTTCAGTAGGTAGAAAAGTACAATTTGAAGCCCAGAAAAACACTGGAACTAAGTGGCTGTCTAAAGAATCAAATCTCTAAATAAGTTGGTTCTTGAAATTGATGCTAGGTACAACTCTTCCATAACCGATTAAGTGTCATGATTTAGTTATTAATGGTGCTTGGATTAAAATATAAATAGAAAAACTAAAAAAATTGACTTAAAAATTTATTTGGAAGTTAAAATGACTCAGAATAGCCAAGATACCCTTGAAGGAAAACAAAGTTCTGGTACAGACAGATGACACATAGTAGAAATACTTCCATGCACAGATGGTCACTCAATTTATGACAGAGGTGGCACTGTCATAAATCATTAATAAAGAGATCATTAATAAAAAGATGGGCTTTTAAATAAAATACTGCCAACAAATAAACAAATGCTGCTTAGAATATTGAATATCTAAATATGGGAATTATTGACCTAGGCTCTTGTATCACACTATACATGAAAATCAGTTCCTTGTGCATCAGGATTTCACATGTGAAGAGCAAAATTACAAGTATTTTAGAAGATAATAAAAAAGAATATTTTGTGACTTAAGGTTCCATGATAGTTTTTTAAAACAGATCACAAACAGCTGCTAATTAAAAAAAAAAGGTAATGCATTCAACAGCATTGCAAATCATTACACCACAAAGGCAGTGTAGAAAACACTGACTGTGAACAAATATTTGCAATTTATACATCTGAAAAAATAACTAATTATTAAAATATTGAAAACTACATTCAATAAGAAAATGAGAGAGACTCCATTTAAAAATAGGCAGGAGCCTTTAATGGGCATTTTACAAAAGAAAAAATCCAATTAGGCAGTCAACAAGTGAAAAGCTGTTTACCAGTTACTAAAAATTCAAATTAAATCACACTGTAAAGCCACTGAATACAGATAAGATTAGAACAAATTTAAATGTTTAATTTGGCTAGAAAATGGAGCAAGAGGAATATTCATATGCCATTGTGACTTATAAACTTTTATCACCATTTTGGAAAATTTTTTAAATGGTCTAATGAATTTGCATTCTCACATAGCCTACAACCCATCAATTTCAGTCATAAATTTATATGTTAGGTAAATTATTATATATTTGCACTGGGGTGTATGTAGAATACATATTGCAGCATTATTGTGTGTAATAATGCATATAATGTTTAAGAGTACAGTATTTGGAGCCAGACAACATAGATTTATATCTGAGGTCCATCACTAATAACCTGATACTGATATCATTATATTTAATAAGAACATAGAGTGAATAATATAATAGAATATCATCATCATAAATTTCATCAACAACAAAAATAAACTACAGTTACATGACACAGCATAGATAACTCTAATAAATAAAACAGAGCAAAAAATAATTAAACATTATTATACACAGTGCAATTCCATTTGTATAACATTTAAAGACAGGAAAGATAGATATAGTTAAGGGATATATACAGATATAGTATATCTAAAACAAAGTGAAAAAAAGGTATAAAAAGTGACAACACAATGAATACTTCTGGGAGTGGCAGGCTGATGCAATCAGAAAGAAACAGCATCCAGGTTACTGGAAAGTTACTGATTTGTGAACAAGGTGGTAGATACCTGCTTGCTTTATTATTTAATGCTTTAATATGCTTATTTACTATGTATTTACTACCCTACGTGGATGATATATTTCACAATAAAAAATACATGAGCAATAATAAATGACAGCCCAAATTAATTGCAGCAAATATAAAGTTATCTCAACAAAATAGAAACTTACAAACCCTTTCTTCACTGGTAAAGGAAAGAATGGTCAACCAAGAATTAGGCACATGTCAATAGGTGTGTGTTGCATATTATCAGCATGGTTCAGAAAAACATAGTGGGGAAAACATTTCTTATTTAATTATTTTCTTGCTTTGTAGACCTAGTGAATATAGTTATGGTTACCTTTAGTGAAATGTTTCAGGTTAATAGTTTTTTTCTTAACAATAATGGCATTTCCATGACTTCTGAATTCTTTATTCCACTAAGCCTGGAGAGTTTGCTTTCAAATACAGATGACATAAAGTATGTGCTATGCTTACTATAAAACCAATTTTTGTGTGTGAAGAAGCCATATTTAAAGAGAAGACAGCTTCAGCTTATTACAAGTGAAGTTTACAAAGGAACTAATTATCTAAACGTTATTATCTTAAGCTCAATTTATAATTAACACAGTACCCCAGCTGAATTGGGAACTGAAATTATTTTGAGCCTATACCTTGCATGTGAGCCAGATAAATTGATTAGCATTCAGAGATGCTTCACCCAGCACTAGTCTCAAATCAATCCTGAGGTTTCATTGCCATCATTCAGTAAACCTGGGTGGCATCAGACACTTGAAATTTGTTTTCTTAATAATTTAATATTATGTTCTATCAAAGTTTCAATAATTTTTAAAAAGTAGATTTTAGCTTAAGTTCTAAAATAAAACACTTGTTTACAGAGCCTGTCACTCTATAGTCCAGCATATTATACTATACAGATATAAGTATAGTCCCTAGATTCCTGTGGCTTGTACAAAAGGAAAAAGATATATATATATATATATATATATATATATATATATATATATATATATATATAATATATATATATATATATTTTATTTTTATATATAGCTTAAAGCTATATGCAGTCTGGTTTATATGGCTGCTAAATGATACCACCAATCTAACCACAGAACAAATGAAGAAATTATTGTTCTCTGTTATATCCCTAAAAAAGCCCATTTACATTGCTGTTTGAAAATTTTGGAAGCTTTGAAAAACAGTGCCTCTCAATATACAATTTGAAATTTTTTCATTGATGGTAAATAAAAATAAAGTATTGAGAAGCATAACCTTAGAATATATGTGTCACATGCCTGAAAATTGCTCTGGACAAAACAGATTGTCATGAATATCAAGGAGAGTAAAAGAATGCAATGAGAATTTCTTTCAGTGTCCATATCCACAGTTTTGTGAGAGACACTGAAAAATGTCTGGTTCAAAAGTCTTCCTCTAAAGAAATCAAGCTTCTAACAGGGTAAAAATGTGCCCAAGATAACAAAGGTTGTTAGATACTAAGGACAAGAATTTGAGACTTCCAAATCCTATTTTTGAGCTTTCTTTGACAGCATATTATTAAATACTGCATTCATTATTTTATGAAGATATGTAGTTATTTTCCAGGATTAACATTTTCTCTAAGCTTCTTTTGCTCTTTTTTTGGATGTGTTTTTTCTGAAATAAAATCTGAATTGAAATATCATTTTAGTATTATATAAAATGTTATATAAAAGCATCTTGTCACAACCAAAGATTCTATTCTGAACTCAGCCTTGATAGCCATACAGAAATAGCATGATGACTCATCACCAGAGGCTCCCTAGAAAGGCTGGGAGCTTGTTTAAAAGTTAATAAAATTTCTTCACCTTATTCTCATTAGTCTTGGCTGACAGTCTCAATCACAATTCCATGAAGACTAAAATAGAATCATGGAAATTTTGAAGGCTGCACGACTAAAGCTAAAATCTACCAATGCAGACATCCAAGCCTATTAGCTTGTAACATTTATTGAGTGCCTACTATGAGACAGGTGTTGAAACTCGATGACAGTGATGAATGAAACACTCTCCCCCTCAAAAAACAGAAAAATTCTGCAGTCTAGAGACAGAGGGAATACTAACAAGTATCTGCTGAGGGCTTACAGGTTTACCAACAGGCATAATCTATATCACCTTATTTCACCCTCACTTAGTGATATATATTTTTATTCCCACTTCACTGGTGAAGAAATTGAGGTACTGAAGACTTAATAGAATTACCGAAGTCAACTAGTTTCTAGAGTTTTTTAACCTTACATATGCCCCATATACGGAAGATAGTTAAATAAAAAATTAATCAGCTTTAGAGGAATTATTTCCTGTAATCTGATATTTTACAAGTCATAAGATTTATTTCAATTTTAAATAGCAAAATTAAAATTTTCAGCTAAGATATCAATCCAAAATTCCCACCTAATTACACATAAGTTCTCCTGTGTGAGCTTGTCTTATTCTGGCATCTCCAGCTTTTACCAGGCTCTGGGATCTATGCCAATCCCCAGAGCTGAGTATCACTCATTAGAAACTTTGTCATAGATATTTTAAACTGGAAGATACTTTAATTTTTTTATAATTTCAACTTTTATTTTAGATAGGGTTGGTATATGTGCAAGTTTGTTACATTGGGTATACTGTGTGATCCTGAGGTTTGGGGTATGGATCCCATCACCCAGGTATTGAGCATAGCACCCAATAGGTGCTATTGTAGTCCCCAGTGTCTATTATTCCCATTTATGTCCATGAGTACCCAATGTTTAGCTCCCATTTGTAAGTGAGAACATGCATTATTTGGTTTTTTGTTCCTGTGTTAATTCACTTAAGATAATGGCCTCCAGCTGCATTCATATTGCTGCAAAGGACATGATTTTTTTAATTTTTTTATCACTGTGTAGGATTCCATGATGTATGTGTACCACATTTTCTTTATCCAAGCCACTACTGAAGGGCACTTAAGTTGACTCCATGTCTTTGATGTGAATAGCATTGTGCTGAACACAAGAGTGCATGTGTCTTTTTGGTCAAATGGTTTGTTTTCTTTTGGGTATATACTCAGTGATGAGATTCCTGGGTCAAATGATAGCTCTGTTTTAAGTTCCTTGAAAAATCTCCAAACCGAGGCCTGATGTGGTGGCTCATGCCTGTAATCTCAGCCCTTTGGGAGGCTAAGGTGGCGCATCACCTGAGGTCAGTTTGAGACCAGCATGGTCAGCAAGGTGAAACCCTGCCTCTACTAAATATACAAAAATTAGCCAGGCGTGGTGGTGAGTGCCTGTAATCCCAGCTACATGGGAGGCTGAGGCAAGAGAATAGCTTGAACCGGGGAGACTGAGGTTGCAGTGAACCAAGACCGTGCCATTGCACTCTAGCCTCGGCAACAAGAGTGACACTCCGTCTCAAAAAAAGAAAAGAAATCTCCAAACCGATTTCCACAGTGGCTGAAACTAACTTACATTCCCACCCACAGTATATAAGTGTTCCCTCTTCACAGCCTTGCCAACATCTACTGATTTTTGGCTTTTTAATAATAGCCATTCTGCATAACTTAGAGGTGAGAGTGGTGGGGAGTAAGGAATAAAATTTGGATTTCATCAATTCTTAGCAGATACTGAGATGAACTTTTCTACTACTTTCTAAATACATGTTAACAGATTATATTTATTAATTTAAAAAGTATTTATTGGGCCATAATACAAATTCCAAGTGTGTATGTGTATGTGTGTGTGTGTGTATATGTGTGTGTATATATATATATATATCAAAATTCAGTGTCTCAACTACTCCAAGAAATCAATTGAGCTATCAGTTGAATACAATTGTTCTTGTCTTCAAATTCAAGTAATAAAGAATTTAAACAATGCAGGCTCATTAAAGAATGGCAAGTTTAAATGATTGGATACTTTAAATGAATAGAATCCTATATTAGCTGTACTAATAGCTAGAATGTATTTAGTATGTAATAGATGCTGGACATATGGTAAACACTTTACAAATTTTTCCAATTTATTCTCAAAACAAGCTGATGGAATTGGTACTAATGTTACTTTCATTTTATAAATGCAGAAATTGAGATTCAAGGGGCTAAATAATTTGCTGAGTGCCACATGTAGTTTACTAAGATGTAGAAACACAAAACATATCATTTTAATAGAAAAATCAAACAGACCTCTTTGTTTTATTTCTCCAAAGAGAGTTGATTATTTTCCACAATCTAGTAAGTTTACTGAATTAAATGTCTGTTGCTACTAGCAACAACATGGAATAAAAACTGCTTTCTCTAAAGGCATTATATGATTTAGAAGAGTAGAAAGTATAAATAATTTAATTTTATTACATAAAGAATTGGTGCAGAAAATCAAATTTTTTTACAAGCTATTTCAACAAGCTCACTTTTAGACCCAAGACAGAGAAGGAGAAGGTTCAGACTAGCATATGTCATCCATCCTTGTTGATCAAATTTGCAGATATTCAAACAAGGTCAATTAAAAAGTAAGAATGGATAAATGAATCATATTTCTTTAATGCCTCTCTTTTTAGGAGCCTTCAAGAGATGGCATCCAATTTGTCAATTATAATAATTTCTGAGATATAACAGTTTATTTGAACAGCCACAGATCTTTAATGTTTCTATTAAGTAAAAATAGGTTTTAATAAAATATTCATTATATAAAAGATGTTGCAAAAGCCATAGAGAAAGCCCTTCACAAGTAGTGAATTTTAGCTTTAGGCTTGATTAAAAAAAAATAGGACTTAGTTTATTTGCTATATTAGATTGCTAAATGGAGACACGCTAAGTTGTCATAAAGTATTTGGAACTGTACTCAAAGAACTACCTGCTGCTTCTGTCAAGAATAATTGCAATTAGAAAAAACAATCAAAAATCTATTATTTCTTCTAACATGGTCTTGACAGGCAACTAGTCATGAGATCCACAAACATTATTCTTCTACTAATATTCCTAGGTGTCTAGGCTGGAAGAAACACAGTTCACAACAGAAAGCAGGGCTCCATACTATCATATGAGGTGCAGTAAAGAAAACAGGTTCAGGGGTAAATTCTTCCTGACTCTGACATCTGTGTTTATTTTCTGTAACTCTTTCAATAAACAGAGGACTTGCAGATAGAATTAGGGGTTTTCCCTTGGGTTGAAAGATTTTCCTTAGGGAGTGTAAAATAGAAGAAAACAAGAAGAAAGAAAATATAGAAAATACAAGGAAACAAGAAGAGAGAGAAAAAGATAATGGATAAAAAGTGTAATTTCCCTCTGATTCTGGAGGACACATGATTTTTCTCATAAAACTGGAAGAAAAAAAATCAGAATGATAAGAATTCTTGTGTCTTGGGAAAATATGTTATCCTTAAAATAAAATCAGAAATTGAAGAAGAAACTCAAATGAGGGTGCTAATTACAAGAGGCTATTGTCAGGTAGTATGAAGTGGGAACATTCCAGCAAAATGAAAGCTTATGTTGTCTACCAGAGCAGTTAGCAGCATTTCAGTTCTATTTTGATATTTTATTTTTGAGAATCATAAAAATGATGAAAATAGTATTCATACATAAACATGTTGTCAATATCTTAGTAAAGGAAAATAAATCAATGTTAAGAAATATAAATAAATCTATAACTCACCTATAATGGAAATGTCCATCTAAATAGCGAATATCTGTCAAATAACACTTTCAAAAATTCAACTATTTAGTTTATAAACTTCATTGAGACAGGCAAACAAATAATGTTAAAGTAATGAGAAAACACTCTCCCAATACACACCTTTACTAAAGAAAACACTTGACAAAGTCTCTAATTTGTTTGATATGATTGCCATAGTTCCAGAAGCTGTATGTTGAACAAGCACGATTCCTGGGGTTAGATAACCACATAATGTTGTCTCCTACTCTTCCATTAAATGCACTTAGCGCTGATATAATAGTTTTTTGACTTATTTGAAACCTTTGGCAGAATCCATGTACTTATTGGTTACTCTTACAATAGCATTCTAATTAGACTTTAAGTTTCAAATCATGGTTCATTTTCTGAAATGAACCTCTCCAGTCTCAGTTACACTTCTAAGAAATGGTCACAAAACTGGAAAAGTCAATTTAAAAAATAAAAATTATAATAGGATCAAAAAACATCAAATAACTCTTAAATGTATTAAACACTGTGAATGACATATACCCTAAACTATTTATCATTACTGACAGAAATTCCAATAACCTCTTTAAATCAGGCATATATCATACAGATTAACTGAAGGTTAAACTGTTAATTCTCCACAATCCACCCTTTATATTAAATGCAATCCCAAATAAAATGCCAGCAGATTTTGTTATTGAAACTGACTATAATATTGATTTAAAGAGGTGATTATAAAGTTCATATGGATATGCCAAAGGCAAAGAAAAGAGACCTAAGTTTGAAGACGAAAATTGAAGGAATTATTCCAAAGCTTCAGTAATTAAAGCAGTGGAGCGTTACTGCACAGAGACAAATAGACCAATGGAACAGACTGTAGATTCCAGAAAGAGGCCTACACATATGCATTCAGTAGATTATAAGAAAAGTGCCATTGAAATGCAGTGAGGTGACAATGTTCCTTTCAACAAAATGTTTTGGCTGTAGTGGGGTTTCAAATTTGGAAAATAAATTAAACCTTGACTTCTGCCATACATCATATGTACCAATGAATCTCAGGCACAACATAGACCTAAATGTGAAGGTAAAATTATAATGCTGGTAAACATAACAAAGAAAAATATATTCATGAAATCAGGATATGTAACGATTTCTTAAACCAATTTAAAAAATAACCATGCAAAGACATAAATTGATAACATTAACGATTAAAAAGTGCATTATTTTTAAATAGAGCAAACCTACACAAAATGTGAGAAGATATTGCAGTCCATATGTGTGAAAAGAAGTTATATGTAGAATACATAGTTTTCCAATGAGTCAATAAAAATGATAAATTATTCCTTTCCCCCACGAAAGAAAAATGAATAAAATATTTGAACAGGTAATTAACAGAAAAGGATATCCAAATATCCTACAAGAATATCAAAAGATGTTCAACCTTTTTTAGTCAGAAGAAAAATAAAAATAAAAAGAATCATGAGATGATCTTACAAGAACGGCTACAAAAGAGAAAAAATATATACTGATAGAATACTCAGTAATAGTGGAATGTGTAAGAATTGAAACTCCCAAAAGTTGTAGGTATTTTTAATTGTTAAAATTCTTTTGAAAAACAACTTAGAAGTGTCTACCAAATGTGAATATATGTATACCCAATTTTCCAGCCATCCCACTTCTAGCCATTCTACTACTACCCAAAAGGAATATGCAATTGTGTACTAAAAGACATGCATTAGAATTTTCATAAGACTATTTATCATAGCTGAAAAAATGAAGACAATTCACTTGGCCATTTGGCAATTACCAATATATTAATAAATATAATGTGGATTATTTGGATAATGTAGTACTATGGATCAATGGGGAAAAACTTAGTGCAACATGTAATAAAAATAATGAATCTCGCTGAGGTAATATTAGGTAAAATAATAAGTAACCAGTAATTATATACAATTTTATTGTATTTATATAATTTTCAATAATTGGCTTAATTAAACTAATTGAGAGAGGTAAGAAAATGTAGTTTATATGAAGAGGGAGCATGGGGGAAAAATCTGGGATTCTTAAATACTTGTTTGTAGTTATAATGTTTTTTTAAATCATCTTTTTTCTGCTAGTTTCACCATTTTGTCATTTATGGATCTATTTCTCAACAGAATTTTCTTCTGATTGAGTCACATTATCTTGCTCTTGGCCTGCATAGGAAGTTTTGATTGGAAGATTCATGCCTTATTTTAAAAAGCATAGTGCTTTGTTTCGGAAGACAATTGAGTTATGTGCTGAGTATGTTGACACTTCTTAGCTCTGTTTTTAATATTTGCTAGGGTGAATCTAGAAAAGTCTTTACTCCAGAGATAGTTCACTTCCACTACTAATTCATGGTTCATCTGGGCTGTCTCTTAATGCTCTGAGTGATCATTGAGGTTATTTCATTTTGTCTGGTATGAGATTGAACATCTCCCCACCTTGTATTGTGCTCTGGAAATTTTCAGTTTAAAATTCTCTGGTTGTTCTTTGTCTATCCTTGGGAGGTTCAAATTTCTCATGTGCAATCTAATCTTCAGGAAACCCTCAAAGAGGACCTTATGCAAATTTCTGGAATCCATTTTTTGCATAGCTCCCAAGTGCCCAGAACATTATGCTGAAATTTCTAAGCACCTCTGCGCCTCTAACTGCTATTGCCAATTCCTCAACTCATTGAGTTCCCTTGTTCAGCCTGGAATTCTTCTCCTTGTATTGTGTCCTAGAAAATGCCTTCAGGAGGAAAGCCAAGATGATTCCAGGGCTCACCACATTTCTCTCCCTTCTCTAAGGGATCATAGTCCTGCATTGCCTGTTGTCCAATGTCTGAAGAGTTATATAGATATGTACTTTTAAATTTTTATTGTGGAAAGTTAAATCTGGTTCTAGTTAAGCCATTTTGTTCATCAGCAGAAGTCTTTACCCTTACTAATAGATGTTTTAAATTGTTTAAGCAGTTTTTTAGCATACGAAACATGTTTTTAGTTTCTTTGTTTTTTGACTCTTAATTTTCTTAAAATCAGATATCTAGTTGAGTCCTATTTGATACATAGTTAAAACAATTGTTTTGAATTATTTACAAAGTAATCAAACTTTGTGACCCTCTATTTTTTGCTATCTATCATTTCTTACTAGGTTCTTCATTTATTAATCTTACCCATATATTCTTTGTGGAGGAATGATGGTATCCAAACTCAATTTGTTAAAACTTTCAAACTATGTATAAAACGGATAAATATAATAATAATAATTTTTATCAATTCTACTTACAGACAAAGTAAATACTATTTTCAAAATAGCATGGCATTATTTAAGTCACACAAGTCAGAGATTGGATCCCCGCTCTGTCATTATAAACTTTGTGTACATTAGCAAGTTTTAACCCTGTATGAACTACTGTGTTCTTGTATCTAAAACCAAAACACTAACCCCTTACTTTATGGGATTAAAAGAGATAAAGTATGCACTTAGTAAATAGTCATTATAATGATAACACCCCCATTATGTTTTACTGTTATTCCTATGTCAGTTGCAAATTCTTTGAGAGGTGTGTTACCTGACTTCTCAGTATAAAAGAAGAAAACAGATCCTTTTTTTGTCCTTATAAAAGAGATATATTTTTAATTGAATTGTTAATGTTGTAGAGATATCACAATCATCAGAGAATTTAAATACATCATCTTGTTTTTTATTAATTCCTCTCGAGGTCAACAACTCACATGCATAGACAGCCATTTGCAACTGTATAGTTTCTGAGCTACTTCACCTGCCTTGGGTCTTTGCTCCAAACACCAATATGTGTCTTGAGCATAAGGAGCAAGACCACAGATAATTCAATACTCTACACAGAGAAATCAAGTTAATCAGTAATGTATATGATCTCAAAAAGATAGAAAAGATGAGTTATACTAAGAAATGAATGGCGTTGTTTTCAAGGTTCCTACCAAAATGCAGAATCTGCTACTTTATTATCCTGACACTTTATGTTAATGGTAACATAGTTCAACAAATTAATACATTCTTTTGTGGACTGCACATGCATTATGTTAATGCAGATATAGAAGCATAATCACAAAAGACATAAACTGCAGCAAACTTGTCTGATGTTTGCAAGGATAATGTTACAGACTATTAATTCTAGCTGACCTTGTAGGATATGTTAATTGTTTGGTACATTTTGATATAAGACAAAAAGACTGAAATTAAACATCGATAAACTATAAAAGTATAACATAAACATAAACTTCATTGGTCATCTGCTGAATTCAAATTAAAGGAAATATTTCACAAGATTTAGTAATCATCGAGGATGACTTAGGGATAGAAGAAAGGTATTTTCAATTTTTAAAATGTAATGTGTCTTAACCCCCTACCTAACCATGTTTTCGGTTTTGTTGTGATATTTTTAATAATATTGTTGCCTGATAGCTGAATATAAAGGAATATTTTTTGCTAAAATATTTGTTTCTAATTTTCAGCCTCTGAGAATATGAACCACCATCATTTTTTTCTTAACCAATGCTAAGAATGCTCATGTAACAAAAAGAGATATTTGATGTGTCCCATTTCAATCAGATAAAACTTGCCATCATCAGAGGTTTTAAATTTTCTTTTCTTTTTAAAAATATTTTAACTTTTATTTTAGGTTCAGGGGTACATGTGCAGGTTAGTTATATAGGTAAACTTGTGACTTGGCATTCGTCGTACAGACTATTTTATCATCTGGGTACTTAAGTATCTACCTGACAGGTTTTTTAAAAAAAAGAAAAGAAACATAATAAAGTAAAAGGTAAAATGGAAAGTAGAAGGAATGTCTCATTCAAAAAATAATGAGTTAATATTATAGATCAGTATTACAAAGTTTCCATAAGTATTTTTCATTTTTGACTTTCTTTGTCTTTTTTGTGTGTGTCAATCTTGAAAACAATTTACAAATTGTACTAGTCTTTTTCTAAAATCTAGTTCTTGGCTTTGTGGCCATTCTTTATTATATATTTTATTTCTGACTAGTTAATTTTGCTTGTATATTTATTTTCTTTATTACATCCTTTTATTTTAGTTTCTTTTTAGATAGTTGACATATCTTTTATTTCAGCCTTTTTTCTTATCTATTAAATGCATGTAATTCTTCAAATCTATCTCTAAATATGGAGTCAGCATCATCATTCATGTGCCATGTATTTAGATATAGTTTTTTCATTATACTTTTTAAAAGATATTACTGAATTTTCAGTGGCTTTTTCATTGACTGGTGTTATTTAGACGAGAATTTCTTAATTTTCAAAAGTATAAGAATTTTGAATAATCTTCCTTTTTCTATTTTCTGGCATAGTTACAATTTGGTGAAAGAACATACTCCTTGTAAATTAAACATTGAAATGTGTTGAGGCTTTGTATGGTTAGTTGTTTGTTCCATTTCCTGTATGCAGTACGTTGTTTTCTCTGGATCCGGTAAATGTTTGTTCTTTATCTTTGATTTTCAAGAGTTTGATTATGTTGTACATGTGTGGTTTTCTTTCTGTTTATCTTCCTTTTAATCATGGAGTCTTTTGAAACTGTGAAATTATAGTTTTCACGTTTGGGAAAATGTCATTATTTCTTTCAATTTTTTTCACTATATTTCTCTCTCATCTTCCCTGAGTCTCTCAATATGTTAGACAACTTTAGATTGTTACACAGTTTACAGATATTTGGTTTATTTTCTTCAAGTTTTTTTCGCTGGTCTGAGTATTGGATATTTATATTCATTTATTCTCAAATTAATTAAGACTTTTTTACTCTTAAATCTGCTGTTAAAGTTATTCAGTATTTTTTTTTTTTGAGACGGAGTCTTGCTCTGTTGCCCAGGCTGGAGTGCCCAGGAGCTATCTCGGCTCACTGCAAGCTTGGCCTCCCGGGTCCACACCATTCTCTTGCCTTAGCCTCCAGAGTAGCTGGGACTACAGGCGCCTGCTACCACACCCGGCAAATTTTTTGTATTTTTAATAGAAACGGAGTTTCACCATGTTAGCCAGGATGGTCTCGACCTCCTGACTTTGTGATCCACCCGCCTCAGCCTCCCAAAGTGCTGGGATTACAGGCGTGAGCCACCACGCCCGGCCAAGTTGTTCAGTATTTTTTTAAAAACAGTTTATTATTTATTTTTTTGAACAAAGAATTATCACATGGTTCTTTTCCATAGCCCTAATTTATCTAATGAATTTCTTTCTCTTTTGATTCCTGTCTTTATTTTTCTTTAACTCTTAACTCATTGTAGTTTAGGTACAATAGGTACTTTAAAGTCTAATTCCAACATCTGTGTCATGTCAGAATCAGTTTCCCTTTTCTATTTTTGCCTTTATCTATGAATCACATTTTCTATTTTTCTCATTCTCTATGGTTTTGCTCCTTTTTATTTTGTACTGATCATTGTAAATGATATTTTTTGCCATTAGAATTTCAGAAATTTTCAACAGTTGTTCTTATGTTTTGTGATACCACCTTACTCCTGCAAGAATGGCCATAAGAAAAAAAATATAAAAAATAATGATAGATGTTGGCATGGATGTGCTGAAAAGGGAAAACTTCTACACTGCTGGTGGGAATGTAAACTAGCACAACCACTACGGAAAACAATGTGGAGATTCCTTAAAGAACTAAAAGTAGAACTACCATTTGATCCAGCCATCCGGCTACTGGGTATCTACTCAGAGGAAAAGAAGTCATTATACGAAAAAGTTACTCGCTCATGCATGTTTATAGCAGCACGATTCACAATTGCTAAAATTTGGAACCAACCCAAATGCCCATCAATAAACAAGTGGGCAAAGAAATGACTGAGATATATATCTTAGTATTACACCATATATATATATGACAGAATACTACTCAGCCATAAAAAGCAATGAATTAATGGCAATCATAACTATCTGGATAGGGTTCGAGACAATTATTTTCAGTGAAGTAACTCAGGAATGGAAAACCAAACACCATATGTTGTCACTCATAAGTGAGAGCCAAGCTTTGAGGATGCAAAGGCATAAGAATGACACAGTGGACTTTGGGGACTCAGGGGGAAAGGGTGGGAAGGGGGAGAGGGAGAAAAGATTACAAATTGGGTTCAGTGTATACTGCTCAGGAGATGAGTGCACCAGAATCTCACAAATCACCACTGAAGAACTTACTCATGTAATCAAATACCACTTGTTCTCCAAAAACCTATGGAAATATATATATATAGTTGTGTATATGTGTGTGTGTGTGTGTGTGTATATATATAGTTGTTTTCTTATGTTTTCACCCATTTTTATTATTTTGATTTGATTTTTAGTGGAGTTAGTTTCAATGAGTTACTCCACCATTACAGGAGGCAAAAGTCTTCATATTTTGTAACTATATATCAAAATTTACTCAGGTTTTAATTTTTATGAGTCAAATTCACACTGTACTAGTCACCTGTAAGGGTAACAAAATCAGAGATAGTTAAAGGGAATTATAAAACAGATAGTTATTACCATATATGGTAATAATTTGACAAGAAATTAAACTTTCTACTAACAAAAATTGTTTCACATCCTATATTTTGAATACTTAAAATTTATCAGAATACTTCAGTAATTGTTGATTTAAGATTAGAATTAAGCAGTGAATGATAATCATGTCACCGCACCCTGGCTTAGGCAACAGAGCAAAATCCTGTCTCTATAACAGAAAAAAAATGATTAGAATCAATTGTAATCTATTTTAGATGGCATTTAAATAATAAGCAATTTCTTATGACTAATTTTGTTATAATATATCTAACGTATTTCTAAATTATGTTGGCTTGAGGGATTTCTTTATATGTATCTATGTTTTTTCTTCACAATTCATAGATATCCTTATTAAAAATATGTAAGGGTTCTTATGATACCAAAATAGAGATATAATTTACATATCTATAATATTTTCCCCAAATGCCCCAAATTTTTACCTGTATAATTTAATTAGATTGAATTACATGTAAAATAAGACTAAAGCTCATTCTGTCTTGGGGGAAACCATAACTACATATTTACAATAGTTTTGGGCATAGTAATTATACTGTTTAGATATCCATTAAGGTATGGGTCCCCAAGCCCCTGATATTAGTCCATGGCCGGTTAGAAACCTGCCTGCTTATCAGGAGGTGTGCAGCAGGCAAGTGAACAATGCTTCATCTGTATTTATAGCCTCGTACCATTGCTGACATTTCCACCTGAGCTCCACCTCCTGTCAGACCACTGGTGGCATTAGATTCTCATAGGAGCATGAACCCTATTGTGAACTGCACATGGGAAGGAACTAAGTTGCGTGCTCCTTATGAGAATATAATGCCTGATGATCTATCACTGTCTCTCATCACCCCCAGATGGGACTGTCTAGTTGCAGGAAAACAAGCTCAGGACTCCCACTGATTCTACATTATGGCGAGTTGTATAATTATTTTATTATATATTACAATTTATAATAATAGAAATAAAGTGCATAATAAATGTAATGTGCTTGAATCATCCCCAAACCATCCCCCCACCCCCCAGCCCATGGAAAAATTGTCTACCATCAAACTGGTCCCTGGTGCCAAAAAGGTTGAGGACTGCTGCATTAAGCCACATTTAGATTTTGATTTATGTTACTTGTTCTCATAGAGGCCATATAATTATGCATAAAGTTAATAAAATATGAATAATCTATATATTATATTTGGTGCTAGGAGATAATAACTCTCTTTACTTTTATTTGAAATAGATCTGTTGCTAATAATGAATAGATAGCAATATTAACATTAAAAAATAATAATTGAATGTCAGAAGTTTACCTCCTACATGGAAGGGGTTCCATCAGATAGGTGAATTATAAGACATAAAAAGAGATTATCTGAGTGGATAAAGATAAGTGATTACCTTGACAATTAATTTGACTTGGGCTTATCAGTGTATCTATCTTTAGAAATGAAATGAGAATTGACTAATTTCTCGAAAACAGAGGAAGTCTAACATGGGTCAGACCCATTCCAAATACACATTCACAGATGCTGTAATTAATCACTGAAAAGAAGCTGATGAGATGAAGTCATCAGTGGCATCTGCTTTTTAAGTCACATGTGCCACTAGCACAACTAGGCATAAGTGTGAACTTACCCAATGATGATAATCTTATAGAGAGGGCATATGAAAGGGTCATTGTTTTTATATTTCTATACTACTAAAATCCAAACACATCTCACATTTGATGCCAGAAGAAATTTTTCAGAGGTATAAGATGTAAATTTTCTTTGTGTTTGCTAATTTATTAATTAAAATAACTTACATGCTAATCTAGTTTTCACCTGAATAAACATATTTATATTGATAACATCACACGAGATTAGCCTTTTTCTTAAATATGAATGATTAGTGGTGCCTAATATATCTTCAAAAATGTTAAACCTTGATGCACTGTTGAAATAAATTTACCAAGCGTACCAATGTATAAACACCTGTTAATACAATTAAAGACAGAATAAATTACCACTTCTCAGAACTGAACATTTCCAAATGTTCATACTGGGAAAATGTAAATTCAGTCGAAGAGACCCAAGGATAATAGCTAAGCAGGAAATACAGACAAATGTAGTATTCATATATATATATATATTATGTATATGAATTATACATATATAACTATGTGTATACATAAGGAGGAAAGATGTGTGTGTATGTGTGTGTGTATCTTCATCAAATTTAAATTTAAACCATTGATCTGCAAAAGCTCTCTGTCATTGTGATGTTATGCACAAACAAAAATGATTCTGAGACTTTAAGGTCTGACTAGCAACCTGATGACCAACATTTAGTTTTTAATCAGGGTGATGAATGTCATTATGGCTTTAGTCCATGTTTATATCAATTCCAAAATATATTTGCATAACTCCTAAGTCATTTCTGGCCTCCAAATTCTAACTCCCTGTCACTATAGAAGATAAAAAAACTCTCTGGATGTACCTGAATCCCTATATTTACTTTCGTCCATAATACCTAAAAACATCTAAAATACATATTTTCTATTTATGTTTTAATTTGTTTTCCTAAGCCCAATCCCCAACAGTGGCCATGGCAAGCCCTGCCCAAGGAGAGTCTGAGCCCTGACCAGCCCTAACCTGCCCTCATCTGATGGTATTTTTCTACCCACCCTGGTAGTCAAACACAAAAGCCATAAATTATTGAGAGCTTTACGGCCCCACCCATCAGCTGAGAAACCAGAATACTTCCCCTGGACAACTTACGGCAAGCTTATATCCCCCTACTACCACTGCAGCTGGTGTTCTTTTGAAAGTGCCACATCCTGGCTGGAGGCCAATCGACTCAGGCCATTACAACAACTCATGACAGAATAACCCTGCTCCCAGGAAGGAGAAAACAATGGCTAATTCCACTGTCTGCAACATTGTATCTAACCAGAGGTCCTGAGTGTGTCCACATGACAACTTCACTGGTAGCATAACCAGCATTTGAGAAAGCCAACACACTAAACATATCTACAAGCAAGGACTATCACAGAGTCTACTTCAATCTCCTGCCACCTCCACCACAGCAGGTGCTGGTATCCATGGCTGGAAGACCTGAAGGCAGATTACATCACAGGACTCTTTTCAGACATTCCCTAGCACCAGCCCAGAACTAGGTAGCCCCACTGGGTGACTAGACCCAATAACAATCACTGTAGTCCAGCTCTCAGAAAGCCCCACTCTTAGGGGAAGGGGAAGAGCACAATATCTAGGGATCACCCCACGGGACAAAAGAATCTAAACAGCAGGACTTGAATTCCAGTCCTTTTGCACTGAGATAGTCTACTCAAATGAGAAGGAACTAGAAAAGTAATTCTGGCCATATGACAAAACAAGGCTCTATCACAGCCCCAAAAGATCATACTAGCTTCCCAGCAATGGATCCAAACCAACAAGAAATCTCTGAATTACCAGATAAAAAATTCAGAAGCTTGATTATTAGGCTACTCAAGGAGATACTAGAGAAAGGTGAAAAAAAAACTTAAAGAAATTAAAAAGAATAATACAGGATATGGATGAAATTGATATTACAAAGAAAAAACAATTACAACTTCTGGAAATGAAAGACACACTTAGAAGAATACAAAGTGCACTGGAAAGTTTCAATAATACTTTAAGGCAAGTATTAAAACAAAGAACTTCAGAGGTCAAAGACAAGGCTTTCAAATTAACCCAATCAGACAAATGCAAAGAAAAAAGAATTAAAAATGAACAAAGCTTCCAAGAAATTCAGAATTATGTTAAATGGCCAAACCTGAGAATAATTTGTGTTCTTAAGGAAGAAGAGTAATCCAAAAGTTTGGAAAACTGATTTCAGAGACTAATTGAAGAAAACTTCCCTAGCCTTACTGGAAATCTAGACATTCAAACACAAGAATCTCAAAGAACACCTAGGAAATTCATTGTAAAAAGATCATCATGCATGCATATAGTCACCAGGTTATCTAAAGTGAAGACAAAGGAAAGAATCCTAAAAGTCGTGAGACAAAATCATCAGGTAACCTATAAAGGAAAATCTGTCAGATTAACAGCAGATTTCTCAGCAGGAGGCTTACAAGTGAGAAGGGATTTGGGTCCTATCTTTAGCCTCCCCTGAAACAAAATAATTATCAGTCAAGAATTTTATATCCAGCAAAACTAGACTTCATAAGTGAAGGAGAAATAAAGTCTTTTTCAGATAAAACAAATGCCGAAAGCCTTCACCACTACCAAGCCAGCACTACATAAACACTAAAAGGAGTTCTAAATCTAGAAATAAAACGTCAAAATACACCAAAATAGAACTTCCATAAAGCATATATCTCACAGGACCTACAAAAAATACAATGAAAAATGACTAGGTATTTAGGCAACAATTAGCATGATGAATAGAACAGTACCTCACATCTCACTACTAAAGTTTTATGTAAATAGCCTAAATGCTCCACTTAAAAGACACAGAATGGCAGAATGAATAAATTTCCACTAACCAAGTAACTTCTGTCTTCAAGAGATTTACCTAACACGTAAGGACTCACATAAACTTAAGGTAAGGCATAGAAAAAGATATTTCACACAAATGGATACCAAAAGAAAGCAGGAATAGCTATTCTTATTTCATGAAAAAACAGAATTTAAAGCAACACAGTAAAAACACAATGACAAAGAGGGACATTATATAATGATAAAAGCATTAGTCCAACAGGAAAATATAGCAATCCTAAATATATACACAGCTAACACTGAAGATCCCAAATGTATATAACAATTACTACTAGACATAAGAAATGAGATAGATGGCAACACAGCAATAGTGGGGGACTTCAATATTCCACTGACAGCACTAGTCAAGTCATCAAGACAGAAAGTCAACAAAGAAACGATTGACTTAAACTAAACTCTAGAACAAATGGATTTAACAGATATTTACAGAACATTCTACCCAACAACTGCAGAATATACATTTTTTTTTCATCAGCACAGGGAAAATTTTCCAAGATAGACCATATGATAGGTCACAAAACACGCCTCAATACATTTAAGAAAACTGAAATTATATCAAGTATCCTCTCAGAACACAGTGGAATTAAACAGGAAATTAACTACAAAAGGAACCCTCAAAACTATATAATACTTAGAAATTAATCTCTCTTGAATGATCTTTGTGTCAACACTGAAATCAAGATGGAAATTAAAAAATTATTTGAACTGAATGATAATAGTAAGATAACTTATCAAAACCTCTGTGATACAGCAAAACAGTGCTAAGAGGACATGTCATAGTATGAAATGACTACATCAAAAAGTCTGGAAGAACACAAATAGATCATCTAAGGTCACACTTCAAGGAACTAAAGTAACAAGGACAAACCAAATTCAAACCTGGAGGAAGAAAAGAAATAACCAAGATCAGAACAGAACTAAACAAAATTGAAACAAAAAAATACAAAAGATAAACACAACAAAAAGCTGGGTTTTTGAAAAGATAAAGCTGATAGACCATTAGCTAGATTAACCAAGAAAACAAGAGAGAAGATCCAAATAAACTCAATTTGAAACAAAACAGGAGATATTACAACCAATGTCACAGAAATACAAAAGATCATTCAAAGCTACTGTGTCCAGAATTGGTGGGTTCTTGGTCTCACTGACTTCAAGAATGAAGCCACGGACCCTCGCAGTGAGTGTTACAGCTCTTAAGGTGGCGCATCTGGAGTTTGTTCCTTCTGATGTTCGGATGTGTTCGGAGTTTCTTCCTTCTGGTGGGTTCAGGGTCTCGCTGGCTCAGGAGTGAAGCTGCAGACCTTCACAGTGAGTGTTACAGCTCATAAAGGCAGCGTGGACCCAAAGAGTGAGCAGCAGCAAGATTTATCACAAAGAGCGAAAGAACAAAGCTTTCACAGTGTGGAAGGGGACCCGAGCGGGTTGCCACTGCTGGCTGGGGCAGCCTGCTTTTATTCTCTTATCTGGCCCCACCCACATCCTGCTGATAGGTAGAGCCAAGTGGTCTGTTTTGACAGGGCGCTGATTGGTGCGTTTACAATCCCTGAGCTAGACACAAAGGTTCTCCACATCCCCACCGGATTAGCTAGCTACAGAAGGTCAACACAAAGGTTCTCCAAGTCCCCACCAGAGTAGCTAGATACAGAGTGTCGATTGGTGCATTCACAAACCCTGAATTAGACACAGGGTGCTGATTGGTGTATTTACAATCCCTTAGCTAGACATAAAGGTTCTCCACCTCCCCACCAGACTCAGGAGGCCAGCTGGCTTCACCCAGTGGATCCCGCACAGGTGCTGCAGGTGGAGCTGCCTGCCAGTCCCGCACCATGTGCCCATACTCCTCAGCCCTTGGGTGGTCGATGGGACTGGGTGCCCGTGGAGCAGGGGGCGATGCTCATTGGGGAGGCTCCGGCCACACAGGAGCGGGTGGGGGGGGCTCAGGCATGATGGGCTGCAGGTCCGGAGCCCTGCCCAGTGGGGAGGCAGCTAAGGCCCAGTGAGAAATGGAGCGCAGCCCCAGTGGGCCGGCACTGCTGGGGGACCCAGTACACCCTCCGCAGCTGCGGGCCCAGATGGTAAGCCCCTCATTGCCTGGCAGGGCCTGCCGGCTGCTCCGAGTGTGGGGCCTGCCAAGCCCACGCCAACCCGGAACTCCAGCTGGCCCACAGGCTCCGCACGCAGCCCCGGTTCCCACTCGTGCCTCTCCCTCCACACCTCCCTGCAAGCTGAGGGAGCTGGCTCCGGCCTTGACCAGCCCAGAAAGGGGCTCCCACAGTGCAGCGGTGGGCTGAAGGGCTCCTCAAGTGCCGCCAAAGTGGGAGCCGAGGCAGAGGAGGCCCCGAGAGCGAGCAAGGGCTGTGTGGACTGCCAGCACGCTGTCACCTCTCACTACTATGACCAGCTTTATACATACAAATTAAAAACTCTGGAGGAGATGGTTAAATTCCTAGAAATACACAGTCCTCCTAGATTAAATCAGGAAGAAATAGAAACTCTGAACAGACCAATACAAGTAACAAGATTTAAATAGTTATTTTAAAAATTGCCAACAACAACAGAAGACATCCAAGGCCACATGGATTCACAGCTGAATTCTAACAGACATTCAAAGAAGAATTGGTACCATTCTTACTAAAACTATTCCAAAAGTTAGAGAAAGATGGAATCCTCCCTAAATCATTCTATGAAGAAAGTATATCCCTAATAACAAAACCAAGGAAGGACATTAAAAAAGAAAACTACAAACCAATATTCATGATGAACATAGATGCCAAAATCCTCAACAAAATACTAGCTAACTGAATCCAGCAGCATATCAAAATATACCATGATCAAGTGTATTTCATATAAGCAATGCAGGGATAGCTTAAAATATGCAAGTGAATAAATGTGATACATCATGTAAACAAAATTAAAAACTAAAAGTCATATGATCATCTCAATAGATGTAGAAAATGCATTCAACAAAATCCAGCATCAATTTATGTTTAAAGCCCTCAGAAAACTTGGCATAGAAGACACATACCTCAAGGTAATAAAAGCCATCTGTGACAAACCCACAGCCAACATTATATTAAATGGGGAAAAGTTTAAAGCATTCTCCCTGAGAATTGGAACAACACAAGGATGCCCACTTTTACTGCTTTTATTCAACATAGTACTGGAAGTCCTAGCCAGAGCAATCAGACAAGAGAAAGAAATAATGGGCATCTAAATCAATAAAGAGGAAATCAAACTGTTGCCGTTCACTAATGATGTGATTGTATACCTAGAAAATCCTAAATACTCATCTAAAAACCTCCTAGATTTGATAAATAAATTAAATAAAATTTCAGAATACAAAATGAACATACACAAATCATTAGCACTCCTGTAAACCAACAATTACCAAGCTGAGAACCAAATCAAGATCTCAATCCCTTTTACAACAGCTGCAAACAGACAAACAAACAAACAATACTTACGAATATTCCTAACCAAGGAGGTGAAATATATCTACAATGAAAACTAGAAAACACTGCCGAAAAATAAATCATAGATGACAGAAACAAATGGAAACACATCCCATACTTACGGATGGGTAGAGTCAATATTGTGAAAATGACCATACTGCCAAAAGCAATCTATAGATTCGATACAATTCCCATCATCACTCTTCACAGAACTAGAAAAGACAATCCTAAAACTCACATACAACCAAAAAAGAGCTTGTGTAGGAAAAGCAAGTCTAAGCAAAATAAGAAAAAAAGATCTGGAGGCATCACATTACGTGACTTCAAACTATATTACAAGGCTATACTTACCATGGTGCTGCTATGAAAGCAGGCACATAGACCAATGGAAAAGAATAGAGAACCCAGAATAAAGTCAAGTACTTAGAGCCAACTGATCTTCAACAAAGCAAACAAAAATATAAAGTGGGGAAAGCACACCCTTTTCAACAAATGGTGCTGGAAAAATTGGTAATCCACATGTAGAAGAATAAAACTGAATCCTCATCTCTCACCATATACAAAAATCAACTTAAGATGAATCAAATAGTTAAATCTAATACGTGAAACCTTAAAAATTATAGAAGATAACACTGGAAAAATATCTCCTAGATATTGGCTTAGGCAAAGAGTTCATGACCAAATACCCAAAAGCAAATGCAACAAAAGTAAAAATAAATAGGTGAGACCTAATTAAACTAAAAAGCTTTTGCACAGCAAAGTAAAAAATTAACAGAATAAAAAGACAACCCACAGTATGGGAGAGAATATTCACAAACTATACATCCAACAAAAGACTAATATTCATAATTTTCAAGGAACTCAAACAAATCAGCAAGAGAAAAACTAATAATCCCATCAAAAAGTAAGTAAAGGACATGAATAGACAAAAGAAGATATACAAATGGCCAAAAAAAACCTATGAAACAATGTTCCACATTACTGTCAGGTAAATGCAAATTAAAACCACAATGAGACACCACCTTACTCCTGCAAGAATGGCAGCAATTAAAAATTCAAATAATAATAGATGTAGGTGTGGATGTTGTGAAAAGAAAACACTTTTACTCTCCTCGTGGGTAATGTGATCTAGTACAACCACTATGGAGAACAGTATGGATATCCCCTAAAGAGCTAAAAGTAGATCTACCATTTGATCCAGCCTTCCCACTACTGGGTGTCTATCCAGAGGAAAATAAGACATTATATGAAAAAGACACTTGTACATGCATGTTTACAGCAGCACAATTTGCAACTGCACAAATATGGAGCCAGCTTAAATGCCCACCAACCAGTAAATGGATAAAGAAAATTATATATATATATATATATATATATATATACACACACACACACACACACACACACACACACACACACACACACACCATGAAATACTACTCAGCCTAAAAATGAATGAAATAATGGCATTCACAACAACCTGGATGGAGTTGGAAACCATTATTATAAGTGAAGTAACTCAGGAATGTAAAACCAAATATCGTGTGTTCTCATTTATAAGTGGGAGCTAAGCTATGAGGATGCAATGGCATAAGAAATATATAATGGACTTTGGGGACTCATGGGGAAGGTGAGCGGGGGTGAGGAATAAAAGACTACACATTAGGTACAGTGTACACTGCTCGAGTGATGGGCGCACTAAAATCTCAGAAATCACCACTAAAGAACTTATCCATGTAAGCAAAAACCACATGTTCCCCCAAAACTATTAAAATAAAATAAAATAGGCATGTTTATTACTGGCAGCAAGGGCAACAGAAGCCTAGCGTTCATTGCTAGCCAGTCCCCCAAAGTTCAGGAAAGCTGCCTGGGGTGAACAGAGTCTCATCTATGAATTCTCCACTTGTATCTCAGCAGAGGGACCCCAGAAAGTAGCCTTCCCTGGTTTTTACACCCCAGGGATATGTATATAATGGCACATCTGGCCATTTCTTCTTCCAGACAAAGTGCACAACCGGGTGCATTACCTGAAATACTGCCCACTGGAAAGATTTCCCTTTACCACGGTCTTTCAAGGATGTTCTAGAGAGAGGCTGTAATGCTATAGCTATTCACTTTTTGTTGGTACCTGCATGTCATGCAGAACAATTTGTAAACCGTACCCAAGTCTTCTCTTCCTCTCTCAACCGTCCAGAGGGAATGCCCCATGAGGCTATAAGTGAAGATGAGATAGAAAATAATGTGTCAAGATTGGGAACCATGGGCATTTGGCCACTCTTCATAGAGTGTACTTATGTCTTTAGGGCCTTCTAGGGCCTGATCGTGTTTATATCACTTCCATTTGATGATGGAGTATTGCTGTGTATGTCCAGCTTTATGGCTTGGTGAGTCAGAAAACAGCCAGTCCATGATAGGCAGCTCAGGTCACATGGTAACATGGTGACCCATGGTTTTGTGTTCAGTTTATATTAATGTCCAATAGCAGACTGAGGGCTGTTTCTCAGAAGGAGAGTAGATATCTGGGAATCATAGTAGTGCCTTGCTCCAAAATCCTAAAGAATTACGCTATGATTCACCTATAGGGACCTGAGGAAGGCCTCAAACTGCATTTCCATCTGGAATTGACACATTAGCACCATTGGATCTGTGTGATCATATGGCAGAAGTGGTAGAACAACTTGCACAGTAGCCTGGACTTGTTGCAGATCCTCCTCTTGTACTGGGACCCACTCAAAATTAGTAACTTTTCAGGCCACTCCATTAATGGGCTGGAATAACACACCAAATAAGGATATGTTGTCTCAAAAATCTAATTAGGCCACTAGGCATTGTGTGTTTTTCTTGGTTGTAGGAGGGAGCAGATGCAATCCAAAAACTTATAAAGGATATCTCAACAACACTGGACTCCTAGAAATCTTACTGAGTTGAAAAGGTCTATAATTTCAGTCAGATTTATTTCTTTTTCTCTGATGCAAATGTTTTACCAGTAAGTTCAGAGTAGTTGCTACTTCTCACTCACTACGTCTAATCAGCATGATGTTAATCAGTGTAATGGACCAGGGAAATATCTTGTGGAAAGATAAAGTGTTCAAGATCTCTGTGAACTAAATTATGACTCAGAACTAAAGAGCTGATATAACCCTGAGACAAGACAGTGAAGGTGTATTGGGGCCTTGCCAGCCTAATGCAAACTGCTTCTGGTGGACTTATTAACAGAGATAGAGATAAAAAAATTTTCAGGTCAACAGCTTGCACATACCAGGTACCTAAAGATGTGTTGATTTTCTCAAACGGTAAATTTACCTCTTGTACAGCAGCTGCAGTTGGAGTTACCACTTGGTGAAGCTTTCAAAAACCCACTGTAATTCTCCAATATCCATCAGTCTTCTGCATAAGCCATATAGGAGAGTTGAATGGGGATGTGAGGAATCAGTACCCTGCATCTTTCCAGTCCTAAATAGTGGCACTAACCTTTGTAATCCTTCCAAAAATGCAATATTGCTTTTGATGTACTATTTTTCTAGGTAGAAGCATTCTAATGGCTTTCATTTGGACTTCCCCAATGTAATACCCCACGTTCTGTAAGTCAGGAAAGCTATGTAGAAATTCTGCCAGCTGCTAGGTATGTCTATTCCAATTATGCATTTTGGAACTGAGGAAATAACTACAGGATGGATTTGTGGACTCACTGGACCCACTGTGAATGAACTGGGTCTGAAACAAAATTCCATTAATCACTTGACCTTCATTATCCTATACTCTGACTGGAGGGCTAAGTGATGTTTTGAGTCTCTTGGAATCGATGTCAGTTCAGAGCTTGTGTCCAGTAGTCTTGAAAAATCACATTATTTCCTTTCCTTCAAATGCACAGTTACCCTGGTAAAAGGATGTAAGTTCCTTTGGGAAAGCCTGGGAAGAAGATTATAAGTATAAATATTTCATAGTGTACCAAAATTATTCCCCAAGGTGACCCCAGACTCCCTTTTATTTTATTCAAGACATTCTGGCATGGGAAGCAGTTCTGTATTTGGACCTACAGAGCTGAGAATTTGTCTTCTGGAATGCTTTCCAGAAGGCAAATGAATTGTATGGCACTTGGTGTTAAAGCTGCTCTTTGAAGAGTAACACAATCTTCCCATGCACAAGATGATCAACACAGACCTTAGCAGAATCTAGAAAAGCCCAGAGATCCAAAAAGCCCTTGGAATACCACGCAGGATGATTCATCATAGAGTCTTGAAGAAGAACCTACTGAAAAAAATCTGAGAATCATGTTGGAGCTAAACCCATATGTAAAGACCAAGCACCGGAACACCATTCTTTACCCGACCAGGAATCATGAACTTTGCGTGGATAAGGTGGCCGCCGCAGCAGCAGAGGCAGTGCTAGAGGCCAAATCAGATGAGAAGGGCGTTGCAGGCAAGAAGTTTGTGCTAGGGAAGAAAACAAAGAAGGCTGTTTGTGTTAAGAATAAGAAACCTCTGGTGGGGAAAAAGGAAGCAGCTACCAATAAACCAGCACTTGCAAAGAAGCCAGCAGAAACAAAACCTACAACAAAACAAAAGAAATCTGCTGCATAAACTCTTAAATTTGTTTACTCCATAAAAGTCAAATCATTTTTGCAGCTTATTTTGAATACATACCTGATCAAATAGGCAGTTAGAAAAAAAAAGAAAAGAAAAAGACATTCTGTATCTACAGATTGGCTTAAATCTGGTCACTGACTGAGTGGCCATGACTCTCTGGTTTTATAATTTGAGTTAGATTTTTGTTCAGATCACCTGGAACTCTTTTGCTTATATGAATCAATTAAGAATTTAATAGGCTTTGTATCTATTTCATTTCTACGAACACCATGATTTAATAACCAATGTCATAAATCTGTTTGAGCCATAAGTCTGATGGCTGCTTTGATTCTACTGTCCTTTACATAACTACTCACATCTTGTCTTTGGTGGCTCAATGCTGCCACTTTACTCATCCTGTTATCAAATTGCTCTCATTGCATTTAGGTTTTCAAATTCAGTGCCTGCAATTTTTACTATAATGTCTGGCCTATAGGGAAAAGTCATCACTGAGAACTTCCAGGATGCAGGAGCTCCTCTTACAAATTTATTTATCACCGTGTTCATGAAAGTTATGTCTTCTGGACCCTCTAACATTCGAATCATCAGAAGCCTTTGAATTTCTTCCTTTACACTAAAGTAAATGTGATCAGGCATCTGCAAATTGCTCATAGTGGGCCATCTTTGATCCATGTTTTAGCCAACCAACCAAACTATTAGATTCCTTTCTAACTCCTCAAGCTGCACTATTAAATGCAATATCTCTGCTTGAGTACCCATATCAATCAATTCAGCCTGATACAACTTCTTATTATGTCTACCATTATGCCACATTCTTAATATCCAGTCCTACACTTATTCTCCAGATTTCTGCTTGTATAAATTAGAAAACTCAAGGAGTTATTTCAGAGTGTAGTGCATCTCCTCATGGCCCACACTTTTACCTCTCCTAGATTGGCTTACTTGAACTTAAGTATACTTATATATCTAGAAGCAAAGAGGGATAGTGGAGGTGGGACAATCAGCATTGTCTTGCATTGTAACCGCTTCAAGAAAGGCCAATACTGTTTTCATAGTCAATTGGGGCTAATCCCCTCAAAGGTGGGGATTTCACTCAAGCAGGGAATTGATAGACCACTGTCACTGAGGTTGGAAAGGCTACTTCCACTGGAGATGGAGAGACCACTTTTGCTGGGAGTGGGAAGACCTCTTCCACTGTCAAAGAAGACTTTTCACAATTTAGGTATTTAATATCCTCAGCTTCATTAGAGTTCCCTGACATCTCCCCACTACAACTCACAGGATCCCATTCTTTCCCAATCATCACACTCTTTTAAATAATAGACTTATTTGAGGCTGGTAGTTCAATTTGCTTTGTAATTCAGGAAATTCCAGAAAAATGTCTTCTGTTGATTTTCAACAATTTCAGCCTCGTTGCTACAGGAGAGATGGCTTTCCTTCAGGGCAGACCTACAAGCTCTTAGACTCCTTATGGAGTGCTTGAGCTAAGAATTTGAATCCCTGGACTTATATTTTTCTTTCACCCCTTTTGTCTCCCAAAGTTAGGGACAACCAACCAATGTCATTGTATTCCTTAGTTCCTCAAAAATATTTGAAAGTATCATATACAGAGTTAATTAGCTCCTTGTTTTTCATAAGTAGTTGACTAGGAGTATTCAAGGCATGTATTTTGCCTATCTCTGTAAACAGTTCACACCAAAAACTATTATTCCTCTCTTTATTACTGGAATATAGCAATTAACATCTTACAATCTAATCAGATTAGACAGTTGTATTGCTATAAAGGAATACCTGAGGCTGGGTAATTTATAAAGAAGAAAGTTTTATTTGACTCATGTTTCTGCATGCTGTACAGGAAGTATGGCACCAGTGTCTGCTTCTGCTTCTGGTGAGGGTTTCAGGAAGCTTCCACTCTTGGTGGAAGGGAAGAAGGGAAGGAAGAAAGAGGAGAGAGGTACCAGACTCTTTTAAATAACCAGATCTAGCAGTAGCATATATGTATAAATATATATATATTTATATATATGTATATATATTTATACATGTATAAATATATATATTTATACATGTATAAATATATATATTTATACATGTATAAATATATATATTATATATATGTGTATATAATATATATATTTGGGGAATTGGCTCAGACTATTATGGAGGCCAAAAAGTACCATTGCCACCTGCAAGCTGGAGAACCAAGAATATCAGTAGTACAGTAGTATAATTTAGTCTGAGACTGAAGGCCTGAGAACAAGGGAGACAATGGCATATTTCCAGTCTAAAGCAGAATGGCTGAGAACCAGGAGCTGGGGACCACTGGTATGAGTTAAAGTCCAAAAGCCACAGAACCAGGAGCTCTAATGCCTGAGGGCAGGAGAAGATGGATGACCCAACTCAAGGAGAAAGAAAGAATTCATCCTTCTTCTGTCAATTTATTCTATCTGGGTCCTCAAAAATTGAATGGTGCTGGCCCACACTGGTAAGAGTGAATCATTACTAAGTCTACTGATTGAAATACTAATCCCTTATGGAAGCACCCTCACAGACACATGCAAATATAAAGATTTACCAGCTATCTGGGCATCCCTAAACCCAACTAAGTTGACATATAAAATTAACCATCATGAGATTTATCTAACATCATGCTAAAAAATGTTGACAGAGAAACAAAAAAAAAGGACTTGTTGGAAAATGGCACCAAAAGGTGTGTTTAATGCAGGGTTGCCACAATGTTCAGTTTGTCAAAACATTATCTATGAAGCACAATAAAGTGAAACCCAATAAAATGAGGTATGCCTATAGATTTTCTAGAACTTGAACAAAATGATTAAGCAAGGGGACGTGGCACTACAGCATCCTATAATGGTCTAGTATAGGACGAGTGAGGAATTCACAGAGACGGAGAAACAGTAGTGAATATAAACAATCTTTCATTTGGGCCATATTCCTGCAGTAAGTATTATCACATAAACTAGATTACCACTGTGAGGGGTTATTAATGTGAAAATTTGCTAAATAAAGCAGAGTAACTAAATTATAGCTCAGTTCAACTGTCAGGTGTAGACAGTTCAGCTGTCTCATACATGGTTTATTAGTTTTCTGTTGCTGAATAACAAGTTACCACAAATTTAATGACATAAAACACCAATGTATTATCTCACAGACTTTGTACATCAGAAGTTAGGTTTGGCATAGGCTTCATAAAGCTGAAATCAAGATTTTGGCAGGGCTGCGTTCCTTAATGGAGGCTCTAGGGAATAATCTGCTTCCAAAATCATTCACGTTGTTGGCTAAATCCATTCCCTTGCTCAGAGCAATGAAGTTTCCATTTCTTCACTGGCTGTGAGCCAGAAGTTTGTCTTTTCTCCTAAATGCTGTCTATATCCTTTCTTGTGATTTCCGCATGGCCCCTCTCATGCTTTGAATATCATTAACTTATTCTGCTCCCTCATCTCTTTGATCTTATCTACATTTAAGGGTTTGTGTGATTACATTGGACCCGGTGAGATTATCCAGGACCGTCTCCCTCTTTGAAAATCCATAACCTTAAATAAAACTGTAAAACATTTTTGCCTTATAATGTAACATTTTCATAAATTCTAGGGATTTTGGTGTCAACCAAATTGTCAGGGGTTCATGCTGATGACATATAAGTATACTTTTAAAAACATAATGGGGCTGGGAGCGGTGGCTCATGCCTGTAATCCCAGCACTTTGAGAGACCGAGGCAGGCGGATCACCTGAGGTCAGGAGTTTGAGATCAGCCTGACCAACATGGTAAAACCCTGTTTCTACTAAAAATACAAAAATTAGCCAGGCATGGTAGCACACATCTGTAATTCCAGCTACTCAGGAAGCTGAGGCAGGAGAATCACTTGAACCCGGGAGCCAGAGGTTGCAGAGATCAGCCATTGCACTCTAGCCTGGGTGACAGAGAGAGACTCTGTCTCAAAATAAAAATAAATAAATAAGTAAATAAACATAATGGAATTATCCAAAACACTTAAGCCAAATTTGAATATATATAAAATACTTGCATATGCTTATATACATATATTTATATAAATTCATGTGTATATGCATTTTCCCAAAACATCTAAGTCATTAAACTGAGATGTACTTTTCCATATATCTCCCAATAGCCTCAGCCCAACATTTGATTTCAGTGTATAGAAAACAACAAAACCAAACAAACATCAAAACATGTCTTAAGAAGTCAAACATCTTGGTATAAGTGATTTTAATTTGGCAAGTCATCAAAGCAATTTTATTAACAAAGTATCAAGGAGCCCTTATGATATGTACGTTTAATTTTGTTCCTTTTCCTCATCATGGACAATGATTGTTCTATTTTCTGTTGAAGAGTACATTAGCTGTTTCTGAATTACAGTTACATTTTACTGCTTAAATACAGGGAAGCAAAATTGTTTTAAAATAGGCTGCACTACCTTGTATTTCTCTGTGGGAAATTCTGGGAAGAAATGAAAATGATTTTAGCTACTGTAGTGTAGCACTGCCTACATCAAAATAGAATGATAATTATGTTGCAGGTGGCAAACTACTCAAGGTACCTGCAGAGTACAGATAAAGTGGTTCATTGGCCATCCATTTCCCAGGCGGTTTAGGTTAATCTGCAGAATATGTATCATGCATATTAATCCAAATAGCCCTGAACTCCAGCCAGCTGGATAAAGTACACCTAAATCTGCCTTTAAGAATATGTTTTATAAAACAATTTTTTGGTTCTAATCATTATCCCTGGGTATTTTTAAACCTATCTGGAAACCCAGATTGTTAGTCTAAAATGTTTACCCAGAATTTTCACCGTTGTGAGATTAGCCAACAATAAGGAGAGTAATGATGCCCTGTTTGTGGGCCATGTCAGAAAATGTTCAAAGTATCACATCAAGGCTAAAAATATGTAGACTGTCAGTCTGCGTAATTAAAGCAGGCAGATAGCTTAAGTAAAGTGGAAAATTCCCAATTCCCAAAGAATGAGACATTACATCTTTCTTTAAAGAGACATCAGTGTCAAAAATAAAAGCATAGCTTGGCCATTTCTACAAAAACATTTATGGTCTATATATACTAAACTTTCACATACATTTTAAGATATTGTGCCATTATGCCAGATGGGCTTATTCATTTAATCTGTTGATTACACATCTTACATGATGAGATGATAAGTGGCTTGCGGCTTGGAACACAAATAACAATTCAACAACAGCAAGTATGATGCCAACTACCATTTGTAAATCAATAGCAGCTCTAATTCACTGATGTTCACAGATTTTCAAAGTCTTTTTTACAATTTATCTGATTACCTCTATGCATTTTAGGCACAATATCTACAAAAATTGCATACTATCCAATATCATTTTACTACTTAAAATTAACATTTCTTAAACTATATAAAATATTAAATAAATATTAAATATATTTTATTTGGAAGAAAATTAAATGAGAACTTCAAATATTTATAAGACTTATCTACACACCTCATGTATTATTTAATGATTTACAGTCAAAGTAATTATTTGAATTAGACACGTAAGAAATGCATTTTCTTATATCAGCCTTGAAAATTATACTCAAAGATATAGGAACTTTGTACAGAGCCCGAAAAGTGTCCATGAGTCTCACCAGCGAATACCAATGACACTTTTGGCTAAAGTTACTTGTTCCCATTCCCTACCTGAGAGTCTTATATTAGGAGGAAAGCAAAGTACACTCATTTAAAAAAATATACCTACTGTTAATATATGAATTAATAAATGGAAATTTTCAAATCAGTAGACATTAAAAGGAAATTCAGGAAAATTATTTCTTTTTTTTTTCATTTGACTTAAGGCAACATTCTTATTAAATCCATCTTATTATTTTTTATCCTACACTTTTAGGCTTATTTTCTTGGCTGGTAAAAATCTCTACCCAGAAATTTAACAAAGCACAGTGCTTTATCTAAGCTCTTTAGTCTCTTAAGTTAAAAAAAATAAAAACTAGAATAGTGTTACTTTATATACACAATTTTTAAAAGATGAAATCTGTATAAATTATCAATATATACCCTATAATACTAAAGGAAATATGATTTCTTATTTTTATTTTAATTCTACAACTGAAACAAAAAATGTAACTTGATAGATAATCCCAGGAACGCAATGTTACATATGAATTAACTAAACATCAGCTCTGTTGTAGAATTTTTATTTTTATACTTTTTAAAAATAATATAAAGGAAATCACTTAAAAGCATTCAGTGAGAATTTTTATAGGTTGTATTCTTTGCTGTGTAATTTGTGATTTCATCTGGAAACTCCAGGAAGCTTGAGCATTGCTTAGGATGTGTGAGTAACAGTGAATGATCGACTTATCTGTCTACCTCAAAGGTCTCTGATTGAAAAATAAGCTTTATGGCCTCTAGTCATCAGGTATTCACCATTTGAAATTTGATGGACTCAATTTGCTAGAATAGATGTTTTCAATAGATTTTGTTCAGGGAAAAATTCAGAATTCTAAAATTTTTGTGGACACAATGAAAGGGCTTAACTATTTCAAAAATAGTAAACAAGTCAGTAAAATTTGCATTGCAATCATTATTTTGTCATTATATTATGTCTCATGGTTTCATAAACAATGGAAGACCTTTCTTTGTTCACTAGATCATCTCTCAACCCTGTCACTAAGGATTTAGGTTTTAGCCCTGATTCCTTTCTCTTAGATCCAAGAAATAATTTGTAAAATTAATTTTGTGTCTCTTGTCTCTAACTATTTGTAAGACATCCCAGTCTAGACAAATGTTTGGCTGACACCTTTGAACATTACATATAGCTAGTTGAGAAAACATAAATTTTGAGTACTTAATATTTGGCATCTGCAGAGGATTTTAATACATCATTATCTAGGACCCAATACCTGAACTTATTGCTTCAGAGCTACCAGCAAACATAGAGGACTCATCAGAATTGTACCTTTAATCTTATTTGTTTTATTATTGCTGAAGATATAATCATTCTCTTTAAATATTATTTTAGGATGCATAATGGAGGTTATAATCCTTCCTGTACCTTTTATTACTTTAAAGGTTATGCCCAAAGTGTTTATGAATATTGTTGTATGATCGCTTTTTTAAGTATTTATATTATTTTAAGTGTTTAATATGATTTTTAATTTGCAATATCTATCACTTTATGACATGACTACATATTTCCATTGTTGGATATTTTTAAAATTGATTCTGCATTACTATAGAATATTTAGTTTTAAGCTTAGTACATAACCCATAATTGTGGTCCTTGTCTTTTGCTGGTTGCAGTATTGCCCTATTTTTACATGATTAGGTTGTGGGAGTTATAAACACATGCTTTGAAATGCAATAGGCAATGCTTCCCCACTGCCTCATCCTCATACCTGCTGAAACATATGAACAAGTTTTGTGATAACTCTTAGTCTCTGTTTATTCAGGTTATGCTTGGATTAAGCCCCAAATATTCTGCAGCAGAAAACTGCATCTTTTGAAAATGCGTGCTTTGAATGCTGTTGCAACCTGATAATGTTTGGGTGTCTAACCATGAGATATCAAATGTCTATATAACCAGAACCATCTATTATCAGCGAGGTGTACTCAGACACTGAGTCATAAGATCAGGCAGAACTAGTAGAAAAGCATCTGTAATAAAAAATAGCAAAGAGAGTAGAATTGAGTAGAGAGATAAACTCTATGAACAGGTGATCCAAACTCCTTTGTCTCCTAACCCTAATATTCCTCAACTCACAATGAGTTTACTTTAAGTAGGTAGATTCCCTATGACTAGTTAATGGAAGAGGAAAAAATATAAAGACTGGTACAATAATAAGTTGGCTAAGTATGTTGGTGAAAGTAGAAAATAGACTGTCCCTGTAATATACACCCATGAAGAGCTAGCCCTGAAAGAAAATGATAAAAAAATTCCTATCACTGTTAGAACCTCAGGCAATATATCTGCACATCAATTTAGAGTGGACAGAGTAATGACTCAAGAATATAATTAATGTATTTGTCTAGGTTCTCCAAGGAAACAGAATCAATAAGATATGCTACGTGAGATTTATTACAAAGAAAATTATTATAAGGAATTGTCTCATGTAATTCTGGAAGCTAAGTTTCCAGCTCTATAGTCAACAAACTGAAGAACCAGGAGAGTCAATGATATAGTTCTAGTCCACATTCAATTCTGAAGGCAGAAAATACTGTTTTCTTAGCTCAAAGACAATCAGTCAGAAATAGTAAATCTTCCCCAACCCTGTTTTTAATTCTATTCAGGCCTTCAGTGAATTGGTTGAGGCTTGCCCATATTTGAGAATGAAATCTACTTTATGAAGCCTACTGATTCAAGTGCCAATCATCCAGGAATACTCTCACAGACACACCAAATATCTGGGCACCCCATGCTTCAGTGAATTTGACACAAAAAATTATCCACGTTCGATTTATAAATATTGAAAAATGATTTGACTATGTGGCCAGAAGAATGAAAGGAGCCAAACTGGAATATTGAATGTGAGGAGGTCTGGGAAAGAAGCTTGTGATTAAACCAATGGGAGTTGATACAAAGTGAGTGAGTTTCTGTCTCACATATCAATGTCCACAAGAGAGTATCCTCTACAGAAGAAGTGTGCCTGGAAAACCCAACACAATGAACTGAACATTACTACAAAACAGGAGGCTTTTCAATGTAGTGTAAAAGATAGTATAAGGTATAAAATTAGTATTAGAGATCACCAACCTCCACTTAAACAAACAACTCCTTACACACAGCAAAAGAAAATGCCATTTAAAATAGTAACAATGTTGTTCACAATAAATACATATAATTTTATCTGTTAACATAAAATAAAAAAGGAACAAGAACAAGAGAAAGTAAAATATCTAGTGTATCTACTGATACATCTAAAAATAAAGGTGCGCTATCTCTAAAAGTAAAACATCCATAAAGATCTCACAATAACTAAACAAACTGGAAAGCTACTATATTTGGGGGATACTATAATTTATATAATTATTGGCACCAATTCTTTTTTTTTTTTTTTTTTGAGATGGAGTCTTGCTCTGTCGCCCAGGCTGGAGTGCAGTGGCGCGATCTCAGCTCACTGCAAGCTCCGCCTCCTGGGTTCACGCCATTCTCCTGCCTCAGCCTCCCGAGTAGCTGGGACTACAGGCGCACACCACCACGCCCGGCTAATTTTTTTGTATTTTTAGTAGAGACGGGGTTTCACCATGTTAGCCAGGATGGTCTCTATCTCCTGACCTCGTGATCCGCCCACCTCGGCCTTCCAAAGTGCTGGGATTACAGGCGTGAGCCACTGCGCTGGGCCAATTCTTTTTAGACCCATTAACTAACACCTTTTCACTAGCCCCTCCTCCTTACCCATCCCAGTCTTCTGTACCCACCATTGTACTCTCTACCTCCATGAGATTAACTTTTTGTAGCTCACACATGTGAGTGAGAATATGTGATATTTATCTTTCTGTGCCTGGATTATTTTACTTAACAAATGTCCTCCAGTTTTATCTATGTTGCTGCAAATGATGGGATTTTATTTTTACGGCTGAATAATATGTCATTGTGTAGATATATATACACACACACACTATATATACATCATGTATATACACACACATCACATTTCTTGATTCATTCATCTGATAATGGAAACAGGTTAATCCATATCCTTACTATTGTGAATAGTGCTGCAATAAACATAGAAGTGCAAATATCTCTTCAATATATTCATTTCCTTTCCTTTGGATATGTAACCAGTAGTAGGATTTCTAGGTCACATGGTAAATCTACTTTTAGTTTTGGGAGGAACTTCCATACTCTTTTCTGTAATGACTGTACTAATTTAAACTAAAGCGTTTCCCTTTCTTCACATTCTTGCACTTATCTTTTGTCTTTTTGAAAATAGCCATTCTAACTGGGGTGGGGTGATACCTTATTGTGGTTTTGATTTGCATTTCCCTAATGATTAGCGATGTTGAGCATGTTTTCATGTATCTGTTAGCCATTTGTATGTCCTCTTTTGAGTAACGTCCATTCAGAAAATTTGCCCATTTTAAAAATAAGGTTATTATTTTTTCTTTTTGGTGTTGGGTTGACTTTCTTTTACATTCTGGCTATTAATCTCTTGTCAGATAGATAGCTTGAAAATATTTTCTTCCATTTTTTAAGTTGTCTATTTCTTCTGTTGATTGTTTCTTTTCCTATGCAGAAGCTTTTTAGCTTTGTCTATTTGTGCTTTTGTTCCCTGTGTGTTGTTAATATTGAGTGTCAACTTGATTGGATTGAGGGATGCAAAATATTTTTCCTGGTTGTTTCTGTGAGGGTGTTGCCAAAAGAGGTTAATATTTGAGTGAGTGGACTAGAAGAGGGAAACCCACTCTCAATCTGGGTGGACACCATCTAATCAGCTGCCAGTGATGCTAGAATAAAATAGGCAGGAGACGATAAAAGAGCAGACTTGCCGAGTCTTCTGGCCTTCATTTTTGTCCCATGCTGAATGCTTCCTGCCCTCAAACAACAGACTCTAAGCTCTTCAGCTTTTGGACTTTTAGGCTTATGACAGTGGTTAGTCAGGGGCTCTTGAGCCTTTGACCACAAACTGAGGCCTGCACTGTTGGCTTCTCTACTTTTGAGCTTTAGGGACTTGGACTTATCCACCACTGGCTTCCTTTCTCCTCAACTTGCAGATGGTCTATCATGGGACTTTACCTTGAGGTTGTGTGAGTCAATTCTCCTTAATAAACTCCCTCTCATGAATACCTATATCCTTCTGTCCCTCTAGAGAGCCCCAACTAATACCCTGTGATCTAGAGGTCTTATCTGAAATATCTCTACCCAGATTGTTAAATCAAGTTTGGCCTAAAGTTGCCTCCTTACATATTTTAAGCTCAGCCTAAAACTTTCTCTGTACTATGACCTAAATTGAGATGTAAAGAGACTGTAACCTATTCTTGTGCCAATTACTGAGATTTAGCCAATGGGGGTCAACTGTTCAAACCATGTTCATATAAGGTAAATATGGAGCTGTAACCAATCTGGCTGTTTCTGTACATCACTTCTGTTTTCTGCACGTCACTTTCCTTTTTCTGTCTATAAATATCCCACAATGTGGCTGCACTGGAGTATCTCAGAGCCTACCCTGGCTCATGAGGCTGCCTGATAGGTGAATTGTTCTGTGCTCAGTTAAACTTTCTTAAATTGAATTTGACTCAAGTTTTTCCTTTAACAGATGGTGTCAGAAGTGGGATCCAAAGTAGCACTTCTAATTACCCCCAGTAGTGCCTAGTGACCAAGCAAAGTATGTTCCTGACCCATTGTGTCCATTGCTTTCTCACAGCAACTGGGGATCATGGTAAGTTCTCTTTTGGAAATCAAAGCTCCACAAATTTGTGTTTTGAGTTATCTGAGTTTTTTCTTTTCTTTTCTTTTCTTTTTTTTAACATATTTCTGATCCAAATTGGATTTGGAAGTCATGACAGAAACTGGACCAGGTCCAAGATCAGACTGAATATGATAATTACCTGGCTGGAACTCATTTACAAACCTCTTATATCTGTCTTGGTCTGAAAGAAACTGATAGTAAATGGCAATATTGCAGGGAGTATAAAATTTGTCTTTTGGAAATTTGCAGAGATTTTAGTGTTCTACCCCCTTGGTTTCTTTTTTTTCTTGCATGCTTAGGTAGGGAAACCAAATAACTGGCTAAGTTCATCAAGGGGGAACTAAGAGCCAAAGCCAATATTTGAAATAAAAATTGGATCTTTAGTTTCTGAAGAACTGAGCATTTTCCAGCTAATATGTGGATAAATATTAGGCCCCAGAAGCAGCAAAGTCTTACAGAAATTGCAAAATCTTGCTAAAGATAAGTTGCAGTAAAACACTCCAGATGAACAACACTTCACTGAAGAAGTGTGTTTGAAAATGAGGGCTCCCAAACTAGTGTCTAATACAGGGATGCCTAATGATATGCAGAAGTTTCTAAAAATATTTCAGTATTTTCATTTAAATACTCTTTATAAAAGTTGAATAAAAACCTTAAGCAAATACGTGATAAGAATTATTGAATCTGCCAAACTTTTGGCTTAGTTACTGACCTGCCCAAAGGTGAAAAGATAGCTATTCTAAGTAAAGTGTTTCTAAAAGTTAGGCCCTCAGGTAAAACAGGCTCACTTCTTTTTCAGATCTGTCCATGCTCAGTCCAGGCATAGAGAATGTTTTCTTTGCCTTAGTTCTTAATGGGATCCACCCTTAACTCAGTAATTTTAGCTAAGAAACAGTAGCTAAGTTAAAAAGAACACCTATCAAACTAATATATGCCTTTCTGAAATTTTATTGCCTATCTTGAAACCCTCTTGTAAAAGAAATTTACATCTATTAAGGACATTTTCATTTTTAATGATATCTCCCTTGGTGCATTAGAAACTCTTAACATTTGTTTTAAATTTAAAGAATAAGTCATACCTCTGTTTAAGGTACTTTTCTGGCCATCTTGTCTTGACTTAACTTGTACATGAGCACTGTTATTGCCTTGGTTGAGCAAATGATGATAGAATATTTAGGCCTAAAATCTTAGCTCTGTGCTTATGAAATATATTTTTTTTTGTTTCAACCTAAGAGTTGTCCCTTTAGAAATGCAAATTGGTGCCTAGTTAACAATTGCTTAGAGCAATGAAATAGGTATTGGAAGACTAATAGACCAAATGGGGAAAAGAAAAACTATTTAAATGCAGGAAAATGAAAATCCTTTCTGAAAGCTGTAAGATCTCCTTTTGTGTTTGTATGTCTACTCATGTTATGTGTATGTGATAATATTTGGTAAATAAAGCTAGCTTGAAAATTGTTGATAAAATAGGAATGGTTTCAAAATTATCAGGTAGATATAATTAGAAATGTGCTTGATTTGAGTGTGAGCTGTTTTTGGTTTACAGCCTCTGGATTCAGGGGTCTGGATAGGTGGCCATGTTGAGGTCTGGAGACATATTCTTAGTGCATAGAACAGCAATTACAAGCCAGAATCAAGCCCAATATGCCCCCTTCTTCCTTGCTTTCCCTGCTTGTCTACTGGCTATTTTGGGAGGGGTTGGATACTCCAGGTAGAGTTGACACTATTCTGTCTTCTAACCTCTAGAGCTGGTATGTAAATTCAGGACTCAGGCAGACCCTGACCTTCATAGTCCTCCTGTGTGCCGTATGGCTACTTGGGACCCATGATGGCTGGGCAAACCCAGGAAGGGTACCTATGTAAAAATTCTTTTCAGTAATTTAAAATCTTGAAGCTATGTTATGTTAAATGAAGTAACAGCTAATCATAAAATGTCTTAGTCATTTGTAAGTTAGAACACTGAAATATTAATTATTAAATGTCTATATTTATTATTAATTAATTAATTAATTTATTCATTCATAATTTTTAAATGTCTATAAGGTATATATTAAATGTCTATATACCTTAACATGTTATTTTATATGGGATGGAAAAGCTAAATATATTTATATCTGTTAAAAATAGTTTGAAGAACCCTCTTTGTAAAAACTGATAAAATAGTTTTTATCTACAAATACTGATATAAAATAGTTCAATATAAATTTCTAGGGTTTTCACTAGAAATCAGGGTAACTAAGAGGTAAAAATGTAGTTAACATATACAATTAAAGCTACTAGATATAAAATAAACAATTCTATATACAGAGTGCATAAACAAAAGCAAGATATCATTTTGATGAGGAAAGTTATAAAGGCATAAAAATGTATTTAAAAAAATTTTGTCTGGTTTAAAGTTACTTAAAGTTTTGAAACTGAAGGAATAAAACATAGACAAAACAAGATGAATACAGAAAGCCAGGGGAAAATGTAAATGAAAGGTTTATGGAAATCTTGTGTGGTTAAATGATGCCAGATTTGATAAATTTATTTATGAGGTTTTATTAAAATTAGTTTTAGTATAAATAGTACATTAATGCAAAGGTAAAATTTGGTTTTCTTTTGAAAAAAGTTTTGTTAGTATTAATAAGACACAGTAAAACATTTTCATTCACCTTGTGAGTAAACTGCAAGAAGGAGAAAAAAAGACAGGAAAGAAGAAAGGACAGATTTCTGTATCATTCTGCCTTGGCTCTTTTGACTGTTTGGAAGACTGAGTCTCCTCTATCAAAGAATATAGGCTTTTTTTTTTTTTTTTTTTTTTTTTTTTTTTTTTTTTTTACAAAAACAATGTTTTAATGATCACTTTAGCTAAATAAATGACTATTATTTTAGGGCAACCTGTGATCCTATTTTGATCAAATGTTTTAAACCTTTGACATATTTGACAGGCTTCCCAAAATCAAATTTCAGCTTCAAAATTAAGTCTTTCTTGACCTCTAACTTTGGGATGCTACACAGGGCCCCTGAAGCATCCAAAAGAGAGACAAACAGAATTATTTGACATGTTAAATTACATGGGAAGTATTTTAAAATAAGACATGATGTTTAACCTTCTTCAAATTATATTTTAATAAATATGTTATTAATGTATGTTCCAAAATTGTATGGAATTTCTAAATTTCTAGTATGTCTGGGTATATGCCATCAGTCATAATTATGGTTTTAGTGTTGTTATTGTAGGCCACAGAGAAATAATAAAATTTCCTTGCAAATTGTGTCTTTATGACCATTTAAAGTCATTTTCACAGTTAATTGCTTAATTTTGGTGCAGTTTCTGAAAAGTTCTAAAGCACACAAAATCCTAGACTATGGTGTCTTTAAGGAGGTTCATGAAAGGATAGAAAGCACCCTGACAAGCACCCTTTAATACAGGTTTCTGGTAACCTTAAGACCTTATCATTTGAACAGTGTAAGAATTTTCAGAACTTGAAGTAAGATACTGGTTTATAAAATTGCTAACCCGACCAGAACAAAAATTAAACACCAAGAAAAGACTTTGCCAGATTTTTATGCTAAATCAGCCAGTACTAAAATTGCTTAGATAGGCAATTTGAATGAACTCCATGGTTCCAATCAAATCATCTATAATAACCTTCTAGTTATCAGTAATAACCTTCTAGTTATGCACCTAAATTGGAGAAACAACTGGCATTTAATAGGATATAAGTCCAGTGTTAAACGTGGATTCATGGAGAACCTAGACGGTTGCCTTGTTTTTTCTGAGTCCTTAAAGCTGTTAGTATTAAAAGCTCTGCATTCCATGACTCATCATGGAAGAGAGAAAAGTATCCAAATTTAAAAATATAGATAGATATTGGTGTTGTGACTTTTCTAAATTGCTAAAATAGTTTTTATGGCCACTGTTTGGTTTGTCAAACTGATATTCCTGGGAAGATGATCAAAACATCAGGTACATCTTTGCTATCTGATGGGCCATTTAAACAGTTATAGAGATTTCATTCCATTATAATTTTCAGTGCATGCTTTGTGGTTGTATAAAAGCTTTCCTATGCAAGAAGCCTGACGTTATCACACTAGGTCATTATGCCAAAGTGTATTTTCACCAGGTAAAGAAAGCTTTTCATGGTCCACTGCTGAGGACATTCAACTCCTTCACAGTCGAAAACCTGAAATTTGATTTCCTGAGAACATCAGAGATAGACTTCCCCTGCCATCTAAACTTAAGCAAAACTTCAAGACCTTGAATTTTGAGTTCATAATCTCACAATTCAGAAGTGTCCCTCCATACTCTTGGAACTGCATACCCATTGGAAATCTTAAAGTAAAGCTAACCAGGGAAGATTCTCCCCAGAAGAAGATGACATCCATGATGTGGACAGCTTTCTCCCAAGGTTGTGGATTGAGATTTCTCTGCTGTCATGAGGCTCTTAATCTTTCAGTTTTTGTTTCTTTGCCTATGCTTCTATGAACAATAGAAGTGAAAGGGGGATCTGTTTTGTTCACTCATGGAGCATACTTTAGTTTGTGACAGATTTTGCAGGTAGCCTTATACACGGACAAACTTATGCCTTGAGAGATGTTAAATGAAGGCCTAACGTAGGTGAGAAATTTTACTGATAAATTTGTTGCCTCATAATCAATCAGAAATAGAACATTGTGGTCCACTCCTCTTAACCTACATCATGCATTAAAGAAAGCATTGCCAAGAAGTCTTTACTCTTCTATATGGGCATCATTTTTTTGGTCTACTTTTCCATGGTTTGGAGTAAATGAGGCAATGATTAGAAATTTATCCCTCATAGGCTGGGTGTGGTGGCTCACGCCTCTAATCCCAGCACTTTGGGAGGCCAAGGTGGGAGGATCACAAGGTCAGGAGATGGAGACCATCCTGGCTAACATGGTGAAACCCCGTCTCCACTAAAAATACAAAGAAAAAAATTAGCTACGTGTGGTGATGGGTGCCTGTAGTCCCAGCTACTCGGGAGGCTGAGGCAGGAGAATAGCATGAACCCAGGAGGTGGAGGTTGCAGTGAGCTGAGATCACACCACTGCACTCCAGCCTGGGCAACAGAGTGAGACTCCATCTCAAAAAAAAAAAAAAAAAAAAAAAAAAAAAAAAACCAAGAAATTTATCCCTCATGATAGGCTTTATACCAGATTCTCCTGTAAAGGTTGTGGTCACACAGCAGACTTTACATTCTCTTGTGAAAGTTATACTAAATAATAGAATTACTCTAGTTACTGCCAAAGAGAGAAGTATCTGTGCAGCTGCTGGCACTTCTTGTTGCCCTTGGAGAAAGACATCAGTTATTATAGAGATTAGGTTGTACGGAATTAACAAACTGTTTTGTTACAGAGAGTAGACTCTTTAACTCATTCTTTGATCTATTTTATTTTAGTTAGTTTGTTTCATGGGACCCTGGCTAAGGAGCATACTCCAAACTCTTGGTATTATCCTCCTGATAGTCATAACAATAGTCTCCCTGGTGTGCTGTATTCTCTTAAAAGTTTTAAATGTTTCAGAAAATTTGCAGCTTGGACTCTTGCTTCAGAGGATAGAATCCCCAAGCCTTGGCAGCTTCCACGTGGTGTTAAGCCTGTAAGTAAACAGACGTCAAGAACTGAGGTTTGGGAAATGCTGCCTAGATTTCAGAAAATGTATGGAAATGCCTGGATGGCCTGGCCAAAGTTTGCTGCAGGGGCAGAGCCCTCATGGAGCAACTCTGCTAGGGCGGTGCAGAAGGGAAATGTGGGGTCGGAGACTCCACACAGAGTCCCTACTGGGGCACTACCTGGTGGAGCTGTGAGAAGAGGGCCACAGTCTTCCAGACCCTAGGATGGTGGATGAACTGACAGCTTGCACCGTGTGCCTGGAAAAGCCACAAACACTCAATGCCAGGCTGCGAAAGCAGCCAGGAGGGGGGCTATACCTTGCAAAGCCACAAGGGTGAAGTTGCTCAAGACCATGGGTATCCACCTCTTGTATCAGCATGACCTGGATGTGAAACATGGAGTCAAAAGGAGATCATTTTGGAGCTTTAAGATTTGACTGCCCTACTGGATTTCAGACTTTCATGGGACCTGTAGCCCCTTTGTTTTGGCCAACATCTCCCATTTACAATGGCTGTATTTATAGAATGCCTGTACCCCCACTGTATCTAGGAAGTAAATAATTTGCTTTTGATTTTACAGGTTCATAGGCAGAAGGGACTTGCCTTGTCCCAGGTGAAACTTTGGACTGTGGACTTTTGAATTAATGCTGAAATTTGCTGAGACTTTGGGGTTGGAGGTAATTGAATCATGGGGGCAGGTCTTTCCCATGCTGTTCTCATGATAGTGAGTAAGTCTCACAAGAACTAATGGCTAATGGTTATTATAAGGGGGAGTTTTCCCACACAAGCTTTTTTTTTTTTCCTTGCCTGCTGCCATCCATGTAAGATGTGACTTGCTCCTCCTTGCCTTCTGCCATGATTGTGAGGCTTCCCCAGCCATGTAGAACTGTAAGTCCCATAAAATCTTTCTTTTGTAAATTGCCCAGTCTTGGGTATGTCTTTATCAGCAGAATTAAAATGGACAAATACATTGGTCTTAGGATTCTTTATCATTGCTTTTCATAAATTTGATTATATATCCTTGTGTGGTTTCATTTTTCTTTGTCTTTGCTTTTATTGACGTTTTGGCTGTGTAGGTTTAGTTTTCATAAAATTTGGAAAATTTGGGGCCTCTACTCTTCAATTATTTTTTCTGTTCCTCCACTCTCAATCTGAGAATCAAGTGTGAATGTGTGACAAGTGGAGATTATTTGAAGTATCTCATAATCTGGGATTCCAGTGTACGTTAGATTATTTTATATTACTCAACAGCTGTTACACTAGAACACTGTTCTTATTTTAGTCTTTTATTCCCTCAGTGTTTCATTTTACATGCTATTATTCATTCAGTGAAATTTTCATTTCATATACTGCATGTTTTCATCCCTAGAAGTTTTATTTGGTTCTTTGTCATATCTCGTATTTCTTGCCTCATTTTTATGTTGTTCTCTAAGCCCTCAGTCATATTTAAAAGAATTGCTTTAATGTACTTCTCTAATCACTCCATTACTATGGCTGTTGTTCTGTTGGTCCCTCTTAAGTGATTTATCTCCTTCAGTCACATTTCCTACTTTTGTGCATAGCTAGTATTTTCTAATTGGATGTTAAACACTGGGAGTGTTACATTGTTGGATGCTGAAGCTTACTTTTCTCTTTAAACAGTAATAGACTTCCTTCCATCAGCCATTTTAGTTTTTGCAAGATTAATTTTATGGTCTCAGGGCTTGTTTTTAGGAGGACGTTATGAGCTCAACTTTGTCTCCTTCATATTTGTATGCTGAAGCCCTAACAGTCCAGTTCCTCAGGATGTAACTATTTTTTTTAGGTAGGAGCTTTCAAAGACATAATTAAATTAAAAGAGGCCATCTAGGTAAGGCCTAGCCCAATCTGGCTGGTGTCCTTGTAACAAGAGATAATTTGGACACCAGAGAGAAACTGAGGTTGCTCATGAATTGAAAAAATATCATCTGCAGTCATAGCACTAAAGTAACCATCTACAAGCCATATAGACAGGCCTCAGAAGTAACCAAATCTACTGACACCTTGATTTTGGACTTCCAATCTTAACCACTGTGAGAAAACAGATGTTCTGTTTTTTAAGCCACCTGTGCTGTTTCTTTGTGACCAACCTAGCAAACTGTTAACAACATCAGTCAGTTAAAGTAGCCTCTGCTCTAAGGATAATGCTTTAGCTCTCTAGTAATCTCTGATCCTGTGAGGTCACAACTAAATGCTCTAGGTGTCCACCATTGCTGGTTGGAACTCAGTCCTCTTCCAGCCTTGCGTGAGCTCTTGGATTTGTTGAGCCTACATCTCTCTCGCCATTCTTTGCCTAAATTTATTTAGTTTTATTCTATGAATGTATAGCTCAGTGTTCCGTAAGAGTCTCAAAGGGAATCAGTGCTGATTTTCCAGTTTTTCTGCATGGCTCTCTTGTTTGACATTCCACCCTGAAAATTCCAACTTCTTTACTCTGAAAAATCTGTTCTTGGTTACCTCAAACTTGGTTGTTCTGCTTGTGTTCCCCTTTATAGCTCTACTATCTTTAGTGTGTCTCCAGACATGAATCAGGTTGATTATAAGACTGACATAAAATATTTACCTTAAATTAGGTATCATAGATCTATACTATATGTTGTCCAGTGTCTAGTAAGTGTTATTTAATATATTGTTTCAGTTTTATAATTGCTTATCATGGGAAGTTAAGTCCAATTACTCGATCACGGTCAAAGTGAAAGTTGTCTACATATTTTTGTTGTTGTAAAATTAATAAATGCGTATTGTGGACATCTTAGGGAATTCAGAAAAGCCAAGAAGCAAAAATGAGCAAGTAGAGTTATCATTAGTTCTCTAACATATAGATAATTGATATGTTCACACCAGTTACACAATTGTGTATTCTCCTTTTTCTAAAAATGCTATTGTGATTTTCAAATGTCAAAGATTTTCCAATAATGAAAAGCTTTTGATCAATATTACCCTATAATTTAGCTAGCCTGAATGTTATTCACTAGTTTATTCATTATTGACTATTTAATTCTAATGATGTTTACCCCAGATTCCTCTACCCTGATTACTCAAACATTACATCTGCTGTGAAGCAACTTGAAGATGTATTTAAGGTAACTAATCATTAACCTTATGTTAGAAAAATTAACCTAGCATGACCAGGTAGCCCAGGCTAGTCACAGGAGCTCGTAAAGGCATAAAAGAAGGCATGACAGTCAGTCAGAATGATCTAACAGAAAGGGAGAAATTTGAAGCGTGAGAGAGATTCCCCATCATTGTTAAAGGAAAGAAGGACACATAGAAAAGAAGACAAGGAATATGGGCATCATTAAGAAGCAAAGACCAGCCCCTTGTTGACAGATGGAAGGTAAGTGGGTTCCTCATTACCACAAGTGAAAGAAGCTGAATCCCAGCAACTGAATGAGCTTGGGATCAGGTTCATCCCTGGAGTCTCCAGAGAGGACCGTAGCCTTAATTGGAGTTATAAGCAAAAGCAAAAAGAACGTGGTATATTACACGTCAGTAATTGTAGAGATACTAATCGGAAGTTAGGTGATACATTTATTATAGTTTTAAATGTTTTGCCTACTTTAATGCACGGAAAAGCCAATGCTTATATTTTAGATACTAGAGTGAAAAAATCAGCATAGCAGATTTTGACTCTTGTGGGCATTTTATTTTTCTCACGTTTTCACACACATTCAATTTATTCCAAATTTAAGCTAATAATAGACATATTTTAGATGAAAAAGAAGTGGAAACAGTGCTTGACTGTGAACAAAAGATTAAAATGAAAGAGCAAAAGAAAAAAAACAGCTGAACAGAATAAGTATGTGGGGTGACCTATCTGTGCGGTACAAGTGTTGTTGCTTTTTAAAAATTGCTTACAATTAAAGTAATAAACCTTCACTTTAAAAAAAACATTTTAAAGATTCTCTGGTCTACTTCACTTTATTGCTATAGAAATTGGAAGAAAATAAGCTCTGGTGGTTTACTCAAAACCTTAGTGAGACAGTAATATAATCTGTAATAAAATATAGGACACTTTATTTCTTGAAAAGTAGTGAACTATCCCTTATTTTAACAAAAATATAAATTATATTTCCATAGATTATGCTTTGTTGAAGTGAATTGTATCTACATTTAGTGTTTAACCTGTATGAATATATTACTTTAAATTGTACATAAAATTGTAAACATTAATACAAAATAAAATTTTAAAATAATTTATTAATTACAAAATAAAGCCATGAATTTCTCAACATGCTATATGATTGTTCACCTCCTAACTGAACATAGTACTTGAGTGTTGTGATAGAATGTATTATGAAGATGATTATAATAGTTAAACATAATACACCATGGAATACTATGCAGCCATAAAAAATGATGAGTTCATGTCCTTTGTAGGGACATGGATAAAGCTGGAAACCATCATTCTCAGCAAACTATTGCAAGGACAAAAAACCGAACACCGCATGTTCTCACTCATAGGTGAGAATTGAACAATGAGAACACTTGGACACAGGAAGGGGAACATCACTCACCAGGGCCTATTGTGGGGTGGGGGGAGGGGGGAGGGATAGCATTAGGAGATATACCTAATGTAAATGAGGAGTTAATGGGTGCAGCACACCAACATGGCACATGTATACATACGTAACAAACCTGCACGTTGTACCCATGTACCCTAGAACTTAAAGTATGATAAAAAATATGTATATATACATATAAAACAAACAAACAAACAAAATAATACAGCTAGTTTGGAAACCAGGCATCGATAGACAAGACAATAATAATAACGAGTCCAGACCACTTAACTTAAAATGAAAATCTAAATAAATCTAAATATTTACATTTACTCATATCTGAATTTGTATAGTTAAGTAACATATCCAGAAAAAATTTTCCCTTGAGGTTATTATTAACTTTTGAAGATTTTCCCCATCCTATATTAAGAGGTATCTACTTCAAGATTTCTTTCATAAACCAGTACTCACACTATAGTCAGGATTTGTAATTGAAGTGACCCAAACTAAACTGTGGTAACTGCATTGCAGTTGACAATAACTGTCAGTGTGATTAGAGCTGACAAGGCTAATGTACAGTTTGTGTCTGCTGATACAAATTCCTATATGTTGCCAATGAAGCATAACCTTCTGCTTATGCATAGTTCTTTGGGAAAATAGGCAGACAAATGAAAGGCAAAATGAGAAAAGAAGAGAAGGTGAGAAAGGAAAAGAAATGAGAGTGGGAAATGTTCAGATGATTGGGGCAGGATAAAGGGAGCAAATCATTTGTGGGCTTCAAAGTATGATTGTTGCCATAAGACAATATAGGCTACATTAGTGAAATATGGATTACAAATAAGTATTTGTAAGTATAAGTATTTGTAAGTATGGATTACAAATAAGGTATTAGTATTAGTAGACTTACACAATGTCAATATTTCTGAAGCAGAAGCATAGCCTTAATAATACAAAACTTTTTTAAAAACTAAAGCCCTTTAAAATGTGCCTTGAAAGACTGCTTAAAGAACAGCATTGAACACTAAGTTCTAGATGAACTTTGGTATTAATACTAAGGTTGACAATATGAAATAATTCATTAAGGCATCGTAGTGTTTATGTCATCAATATGTTATAATTCAATAACGTTGTATTATGTTATATTCAGTATGCTTATCTAACAAAGACGGGATGGGCACAAGAGGTATCTTATATATTTATAATAAAACTATAAGTGTTTTTGTTTTATCTTAATTCACAAATGCTCTGGGAAGATCCTTTACAGTCTTTGTCTCATTCTTTCCCTTCAATACATATCTGAAAAATTTCCTGAAATACTACTAAACTTGTATTTTTCTCAAATGTAAATACTCTTACTTCAGAGGAGGGAGCCAAGATGGCTTACTAGATGCAGCCAGGAAAAGCTTCTCCCACCAAGAGAGACCAGACCATCACATAGATTGGCACGCTGAACAAATATTTGGAAAGAAGGGACTCAGATCCCTGGCTGAAAGGGGAGGAAGCTGAGAACCCTGCACAGGGTTGCCAGGCACCAGGACTTGTTCCTGGCCCCGGGTGGCTCCTGGGAAAGGGGTGAGTGAAATAGACGTGGAGTGGCCCACTCTCTCAATGGACCTCTGGAATCCTAGTTATGGGAGACCTCATAACCCCCATCGACACTTGACCTGTTAGGGGGAATTGCACAGAGAGTTGGCAGAGACAGAAATTCAGCCTGCATGGAGCCCAGAGGGTTCGGCATAGGAACAGCTGCAGTGGAGAATGGCCATGGCTGCCCATGCCCCAAGGCTTGCCATGCTCCTCTAGGTAGCTTTAGTCTTTGTCAGCTGCTGGACCTAGATCAAGCAGGGTTATCTTGCCCATGGGACTAGGCCAGTCTGATCTGAGCACTCTCCAATTTGCTGCCTTATTCCAGGGTCCATGCCTACCTGCACTTGCTTGCAGCGTGGCCTCAGCAGCCAAATCAAGGCACTTGCCAGCAGCAACTGTTATAACTCTTTCACCATCTGACACTGCCTAACAGCCAGAGAGCTTCTGTGGGTGAGTTCCTGCCAGCAAGTACCCACTTGTAAGCTTCCCCTAATGGCACTCACTTGCCCACAGCCTCTCTGGTGCTTCACCATCATGCACTCGCCCACAGCCTCCCCTCAGTGCTTTCCCAACACACACACATGGAACCTACTGCTGGTATGCATGTAGGACCCCCACCACGACTGCCTACCCCCCAAATGTTTTTGCCAGCACCTCTCATTATACAGTTGTTGCCAGTAGACTGGGAATACCTTGATCCCTCTAGGGCACCAGGTTCTTAACCTTTAGGGGCCAAAGCAAAAACCCATGGGCCTGGCTCCAGACCCTATGGTTAGAGCACTAGGCACAGGAGTGCTGAGCTGAACCATGCTCCACTGAAGTTCAGAAACAAAGTCAATTAACTAAAACCAACTTGTATCACAGTTAGATCCTCAAGGGAATCAAATATTATATAAACAAAAATCCCCATCCAAGGGACAATTAGAATTCTTCTAATTCTTCAAAGATTAGAAGAATGCAGCCCATACAGATGAGGAAGAAACAACACAAGAACTCTGGTAATGCTAAAAGCCAGAGGGTCTTCTTTCCACCAAATGATCACACTAGCTGCCCAGCAATGATTCTTAACTAAACAGAAATGGATGAAATGAAAGACATAAAATTCAGAATCTGGATGGCAACAAACATCATTGAGGTTCAGGTGAAGGGAGAAACCCAGTCCAAGGAATCTAAGGAATCCAATAAAATAAAAAACAAGATGAAAGATGAAATAGCCATTTTAAGAAAGAACCAAACTAACCTTCTAGAGCTGAAAAAGTGACTACAAAAATTTTGTAATATAATTGGAAGTATTAACAGCAACATAGACTAACCTGATGAAAGGATCTCAGAGCTCAAAGACCAGTTCTTCGAATCAACCCAATCAGACAACAATAAAGAAAATAAAAAAAATTAATAAATAAAACCTCTGAGAAATATGGGATGATGTAGAGTCTACATCTATGATTTATCAGCATCCCAGAAGGAGTTAGAGAGAGCAAGCAACCTGGAATACATATTTGTAGACATTATTCATTAAAATTTTCCCAACCTTGCTAGAGAGGTCAACATGCAAATTCAGAGAACCCCAGTGAGATACTACATAAGATGAACTTCCCCAAGACACATAGTCATCAGATTCTCCAAGGTCAATCTGAAATAAAAAATATTAAAGGCAGCTAGAGAAAAGGGGCACGTCGCATGCAAAGGGAAGCCCATTAGGCTAAAGGCAGAACTTTCAGCAGAAACCATACAAACCTGAGGTGACCAGGAGACTCTATTCAGCATTTGTAAAGAAAAAAATTCCAATCTTTTTTTTTTTTTTTTTTTTTGAGACAGGTTCTTGCTCTGTCACCCTCGTTGGAGTGTAGTGATGCTATCTCATCTCACAGCAGCCATGAACTCTGGGCTTAAGTAATCCTCCCACCTCAACCTCTTGAATAGCTGGGACCACAGGCTAATGCTACCATGTCTATGTAAATTTTAAAAATTTTTTGGTAAAGATAGAAACTCATTATGTTACCCAGGCTGGCCTCGAACTCCTGAGTTCAGGTGATTTTCCTGCCTTGGCCTACCAAAGTGCGGGAATTACAAGTTGAGCCACTGTGCATGGCCCCAATCAGAATTTTATATTCAGCCAAACTAAGCTTCATAGGTGAAAGATAAATAAAATCCTATTGAGACAAGAAAATGCTAAGGGAATTCATTACTACCAGGCATGCCTTACAAGAGGTCCTTAAGGGAGTACTAAACATGGAAATGAAAGACCATTACCTGCCACCACAAAAACACACTTAAGTATATACACAAGTGATACTATAAAGCAACTATACAATCAAGTCTACATAAAAAAAAAAAAAAAAAAAACAGCTAACAACATGATGGCAGGATCAAATCCTGACACACCAATATTGACCTTGAATGTAAATGGGCTAATAACCCCATCTATAAGGCATGGAGTGGCAAGATGAATAAAGAAGCAGGACCCATCTGTATGTTGTCTTTGAGAGATCCATCTCACATGCAATGGCATACATAGGATCAAAGTAAAGGGATAAAGAAAAATCTATCAAGCAAATGGAAAACAAAATAGAGCAGTGGTTGCTAGTCTTATTTCAGACAGACTTCAAACCAAAAATGATGAAAAAGGACAAAGAAAGGCATTACGTAATGATAGAGGGTTCAATTCAACAAGAAGACTTAACGATCCTAAATATGTGTACACTCAACACTGTTGCACCCAGATTCATGAAAGATGTTCTTAGAGACCTACAAAGAGACTTAGATAACCACAAAAGTGGGCAACTTCATCATTCAACTGACAGTGTTACACAGATCAACAGGGCACAAAACCAACAAAGACATTTGGGAGCTAAAGTAGACAAATGACTGAATGGACCTAGCTGACATCCACAGAACACTCCACCCAACAACAACAGAGTATACATTTTTCTCATCTGCACATGGCACATACTCTAAGATTGAACACATGTTCAGCCATAAAATAATTCTCAACAAATTCAAAAATAACCAAAATTATACCAACCACATCTTGGACCACAGCACTACAAAATAGAAGAACTCAATAGAAATAATATCTCATAAAACCATACAATTACATGGAAATTAAGCAATCTAATCCTGAATGACTTTTGGATAAAGAGTGAAATTAAGGCAGAAATCAAGAAATTCTTTGAAAGTAATGAAAACAAAGATACAACATAGCAGAATCTCTGGCATACAGCTAAAGCAATACTCAGAATCTCTGGGATACAGCTAAAACAGTACTCAGAGGAAAGTTTATAGCCCACTAAATGTTGACATCAAAACATCAGGAACAACTTAATTAAATAAGCTAACAGCACACCTACAGAAACTAGTTAAACAAGATCAACCAACCCCGAAGCTACCAGAAGAAAAGAAATAACCAAAATCAGAGCAGAACTGAATGGAACTGAGACTCAAAAATACATGCAAAAGATTTAAAAAACAAAGGTTTTTTTTTTTTTGAAGAATAAATAAGACTGATAGATCACTAGCTAGACTAATAATAATCAGTTTTAAATGTTTATTTAAATGACAAAAGAGGCATTCCCATCAACCTCACAGATATACAAAGAACCCTTAGTGACAATTACAAACACTTCTATGCATATAAATTAGAAAGCCTAGAAGAAACGAATAAATTTCTGCAAACTTACAGCTTCCTAATACTGAACCAGGAAGAAATTGAATACCCTAACAAACCAATAGCAAGTTCAGAAATTAATTTAGTAACAAAAAATCCTATCACCCAGAAAAAGCCCTCGACCAGACAGATGCACAGCTGAAATCTCTCAGACATATTAAGAAGAGCTAGTACCAATCCTAATGAAAATATTTAAAAATATATCAGAGGGGAGGGACCAGCATCATTCTGATTTCAAAACCTGGCAGATACACAATGAAAAAAAAGAAAATGTCATGTTAGTATCCCTGATAAATATAGACACAAAAATTCTCAACAAAATACTATCTAGTCAAATCGAGCAGCACATCAAAAAGTTGCATCACCATAATGAAGTAGACTTTATTCCTGGGAAGTAAGAGTGCTTCAACATATGCAAATTAATAAATTTGATTTATCACATAAACAAAATTGAAGGCAAAACCACATGATTATCTCAATAGATGTAGAACACACTGTAGAAAAAATTTAACATCTCTTCTTGTTAAAAACCTTTAACAAACTAAGCATTGAGGGAACATACCTCAAAATATTAAGAGCCATCTGTGACAAACCCACAGCCAGCATCATCCTGAACAGGCAAAAGCTGGAAGCATTACCATTAATGGCTAGAAGAAGACAAAGATGCCCACTCTTAGCACCCCTATTCAACGTGGTCCTGGAAGTCTAAGCCAGAGCAATCAGACAATAGAAAGAAATAAAAGGTGTCCAAATAGGAAGAGAGGAAGTTGACTTATCTCTCTTAGCAGATGGTATTATTCTAAACCTAAAAATCCTCATAGTCTCTGGCCAAAGGCTCCTAGAATTCACCAATTACTTTAGTAAAATTTCAGGATACAAAGTCAATGTACAAAAAATCAGTAATACTTCTATTTACCAATAACATTCTAGCTGAGAGCCAAATCAATACACAGTTTCATTCACAATAGCCACAAAAAGAATGAGATACCTAGCAATACAGCAAACCAGGAAGGTAAAAGATCTCTACAACGAAAATTACAAAACAGTGCTGAAAAAAAATGAGATGACACAAACAAATAGAAAAATATTCCATGCTCATGGAGAGAAAGAATAAATATTGTGAAAATGACCATAATGTCCTAAGCAATTTAGCAATTCAATGCTATTCCAATCAAACTACTAATGTTAGTTTTCACAGAATTAGAAATGAATTTTATATGAATTCTAAAATTCATATAAAAACAAAAAAGAGCTCAAAAAGCCAAGGCAATCCTAATAAAAAACAACAAAGCTGGAGGCATCACCCTCCCCAAATTCAAACTATACTACAAGCTTACAGTTACCAAACCAAAACCGCAAGGTATTGGTAGAGAAACAGATTCATAGACCAATGAAACAAGTTAGGGAACTGATAAATAAAGCTGCACATCTACAACCATCATATCTTTGTCAAAGTTGACAATCACAAGCAATGAAGAAAGGACTCCGTGTCTAATAAATGATTCTGGGATAACTGGCTAGCCATATGTAGAAGATTGAACCGGGACCTCTTCTTTCACTATGTACAAAACACACAACTCAGGATAGATTAAAGGCTTAAATATAAAACCTAAAATTATAAAGACTTTATTAGAAAACCTAGGAAATACCATTCTGGACATTGCCCCCAGCAAAGATTGCATGATGAAGAAGTTAAAAGCAATTGCAACAAAAACAAAAATTAGCAAGTGGGACCTGATTCTGCACAGTAAAATAAACTATCAATAGACTAGCATAGTTTGCAAATATTTTCTCCCATCGTGTAGGTTGACTAAACAGCCAACAATGGCCTAATATCCAGAATCTATAAGAAACTTAAACAAATAAACAGAAAAAAAAAACACCCCATTTAAAAAATGGGCAAAGGAAAATGAACAGATACTTCTCAAAAAAACATACACAGGCCAACAAACACATGAAAAAGTGTTCAACATCACTATTAGAGAAATGCAAATCAAAACCACAATGAGATATCATTTTGAATCAGTCAGATTAGCTATTATTAGAAAGTCCAGAAACAACAGATGTTGGTGAGCTTGTAGAGAAAAGGGAAAGCTTATACATTGCTGGTGGGAATGTAAATTAATTCAGCCACTGTGTAAAGTAGTTTGGATATTTCTCAAAGAATTTAAAACAGAATGACCATTTGACCCAGCAATCCTATTACGAGGTATACACCTAAAGGAATATAAATCTTATTACCATAAAGACACACGCATATGTGTGTTCATTGCAGCATGTTTTTATAATAGGAAATACACGAAATCAACCTAAAATCCCATTAATGTTGGACTTGATAAAGAAAATGTGACAAATGTACATCATGGAATACTACTGAGCTATAAAAAAGGAGAAAGTCCTATCTTTTGCAGCAACATGGAGGAAGCTGAAGGTGATTATCCTAAGTGAAATAACACAGGAATAGAAAACCAAATATCACATAGTCTCACTTATAAGTGAGAACTAAACATTGAATATACATGGACACAAAGAGGAAGAGTAGACACCAAAATTTACTTGAGGGTGGAGGGTAGGTGGAGAATGAGGATAAAATATAACTACCTGTCAGGTACTAAGCTCACTACCTGGGTAACGAAATCATTTGTACACCAAACCCCAGTGACACGCAATTATCCCGTGTAACAAATCTGTGCATGTACCCCCTGAACCTAAAAGAAAAGTTGGAAGAAACAAACATAAAAATAAATTGATTGATATATTGAGCAGTATTGGATCCCTGCCTTGAAAAAAATTAATAATATTTAATTTTTATTTCAATATTCTAAGAAATTTGGAACATAGTACAACAATAAAATCATCCTTACGATGTTGCATATTGATCAGGGATATACTTTAAAAAACATAGAAGCTGCAGATTTTAATGTTATCAATAATCAGAATTCCAGATATTTGCAGCACTAGTCTTACCAAGAGAATGACCAAAGAATGAATTCAGCCCAGCATTATCTAGTCTCTTAACTAAGAAGTTTCCATTCCCTTCTACTGTTTTCACCACAGTTTTGGCAGAACTGTAATATACACTCATGAAATTTGACATTAGAACGACCTAAATTTGTATCCAGTTTCCACCATTCATTGACTCCATCAACTTGGTCAAGTTACTCAAATAAAAACCATGCTTAATTAAAATTGAGTTATGGGGAAGATTAAATATATCAAGAAATATATGATATGTGAAAGTGTATGCTTATTTCCCTTCTCTTTTTTTTTTCTTCACTTAGCAAAATAGCCCTGTCTAATAGAAAAGATGTACTCCGTTAAATTATGTGGGCCTTAACACAGTCTTTGGAATAATATTTGTGGCATGCCTTCCACCTCATTATTGAGAAATCATAGTCGAGTCTTAGTCCGTTTTCATACTGCCATGAAGAACTGCCTGAGATGGAATAATTAGTAAAGGAAAGAAGTTTAATTGACTCACGGTTCAGCACAGCTGGGGAGGCATCAGGAAACTTAATCATGATAGAAGGTGAAGGGGAAGCAAGGCAGCTTCTTCACAAGGCGGCAGGAAGGAGAAGTGCAGAGTGAAGGTTTTCCCTTATAAAACCATCAGATCTCATGAGAACTCACTCACTATCATGAGAGAACAGCATGGGGGAAACCACCCCCATGATTCAATTACCCCAACTGGTCTCTCCCTTGACAAGTAGGGATTATGGGAATTACAATTCAAGATGAGATTTGAGGGGGATACAAAGCCGAACCATACAGAGTATGGAGGTGTCATATGGGATAATTAAAATCTTCTGCCTTGAGAAAACAAGGGAATCTTTAGAAATCATTGATAGTGAAAATAGCCACTCAATAAACAAATGACATTTTTCATTGTCCTACCCACTATTGGAAGACTTAAGTTGTAAGTATTGATCTGGGGAATGTGTTATATATGAAGATTATTGGCCCCACCCAAACCTCTTGATTTAGTACGGGAAAAACAAGTGGTTGGAAACTGCTTGTTGTTCATACTGTCAAATCCTAAAACTCTAAAGCAGGTGGCTCATGGAGAAAAGGAAAAGAAAATCTGATGTGTGTGTGTACACTTATATAATATATATACACATATATTATATATTATATATGTATACCTTATAATACATATATATGTTATATATTATATATGCACCTACATGTGTATATTTGTATACTATATATTATATAATATTCATATATGTGTATGCACATATATTTATGTATGGATTATTTTAATGAAAAGAAAACTTATACTGCTTAAATATGCTGATTCTCCTTTTGAGTCTAGGTATGGTACTCAGATGGTGAGAACTTAGTTTGGAGCAAAGTTTCTCAAATACTGACATTCAAGCTAATCATTTGGGGAAGCTTATAAAATATTGTGATGCAGTTCCCAAACTGCTGAGTAACAACCACAAGAGATCAGGCTAATGTATGAATATTTATAAAGCCATTCACATAATTCTGAAGCAAGTTATACTTGAGAACCACTGGTCTAGATTACAGAATGACTTTGCCAAAAGCCAAATCTGTAACCCATATCTATCAGAATTGTCAAAAAATTGATACCTTAACCTCAGGGTCAAATTTTCATGTGAATGACAAAAATATTCAGGAATCCATTAATTCATGTACTCATGTACATTTAGAAATGTTCTTGGTATAGTTCATGGTTAATGGGGTTGTTAGCATATTAAATTCAGAAGAGGAATTGCAGACCCCTACAGGGTGCTATAACTGCTCATTGACTATCCTCCCCAAGAGGAAAAATTTAGAAGCCTCATCAGGAAAGTCTGATTTGATTCCTTGAAGTGTATTTTCTGATACCAGACATTAAAAATGGCTTAATTAAATGTGTTTGAAAACATTTGAATGCAAAATGTAACTTTCAAATCTACTCTTTGTCAGCTCTTTATAATCAGAAGAGAGCCTGAAATAAAACATATGGTCAAAAACTTTAACAGATGTAATTTCCATTCTAAGAAATCTAAATATATTGCTACTCTCATTTTTTGGTATAAAAAATGGAAATAAATGAAAAAGTGTATTTTTTAATAAATTGTGAATTATATAACTACCTCATTGGTGATTAATTAGTTGGGATAAGACACTCTAAATTTTTAATCAATAATATAGTATTATGTAACCCAAATGCATTACCAATTGGCAGTACTTTTGCTGTTACAGTAAAATGTATTTCATCCTTAAGTAATTACTGTGTATCCTTTTCTTCATGTAAAACAAATACATAATTAGGTAAAAGACACTAGATTTTGTTCATGTGGCTGGAGATAGAAAATAGAAACAAATTCCTACCAGTTTACTCCTCTCTGGTAGAGGGCTGGAGAATACCTTGAAATTTATCAAACTTATATTAAAAGACTATGTTAAATGCACATATACTACATTCTAGATATTCAGGGAAATTTTTATTATTTGTATATTTTATTTAGGAGGTACAAGAACAGCTTTCTTACATGCATATATTGCATACTGGTGAAGTCTGGCTTTTTAGTGTACCCATCACCCAAACAGTGAACACTGTATCTAATATGTAATTTTTCAACCCTCACCTTACCCTACCCTCCTATATTTTGTAGTCTCCAATGTCTATCATTTTGTAATCTCCAATGTCTATTATTCCCCTGTAGAAGTCTAGATGTCCATGTGTTCCCATTGCTTAGCTCCCACTTTGTACACGATAACATGTGGTATTTGACTTTCTGTTGTGAGTTATTTCAGTTAGGCTCATGGCCCCCAGTTCCATCCATGTTGTTACAAAAGACACGATTTCATTCTTTTTTATGGCTGAGTAGTATCCCATAATAGATATACCACATTTTCTTTATACAATTCTCTATTGATGGACATTTAAGTTGATTCCGTCTCTTTGTTATTGTGGTATTCAGGGAAATAAAAAACAACTGTTTTTTGTATTCAGTAAAGACTGATGAATTCTATGATATATGTTTATTTTCACGTGCTCATGTGTTTATAATATGTGATATTTGTGTTTGTAGTTTTTTATGGAACACATGAGGCTGTATTGTCAGATTGTTTTGTTAACTAATTAGTAAATATGAATGCCTATGTTTCAGTACAGCTTAGCTCATGTCAACTCATTATCCCATATCTAGTACTCTAAGTTTAAAATCAAAATAATAAATAACACTGTGTCTTACTGAGAATCATCTAGAAAACCAAGATAATGCTTCTTGTAAGACCTGAAAATGAAGCTATGTGAGCAAATCTTAACTAGAATATAGAAAATTTTGGTGAATTTGACTGTGACTCAGCTAACTCTACAATCTCCATATAGAAATAAAGATAAAAATTATTTCATACAGTTTTCCAGCCAGTAAAAATGTTGTAAATAGTTTAAAAGAGAATAATTTATGACAGCTGAAAAAATATTTAATGTGTGGTATGAAGATGTGCATAGGAAACGTGATTATTGGTGGAAATATGATTTAAGGAGATGCCAGAAGCCTGTAAAAAAAAAAAAATGTTTCCTTATAAGCACAGGTGCTGAAGTTACCAGCACAGCATTTGAAGCAACCAATTTTATGGGCAAGGATTGGTTCAAGAATTTTAAGAAGCATTTTCATTTGCATAATGTGAAGTTAATAGGAAAGGAGGCAACAGCTGAATACATAACTGAGAAAGTATTCCCTACCAAGGCAGAAAACACAAAGAGATCAGCCATAGACAGAATACATTTCAGTTAGAATTAAAACATTCGGTAATGGGAAAAAATGGGAAAACATGTGTTTCTAAATATACATTCATGCTGTTTGTAGCACACACATACAAGACAGCATCAATCACAATCATTTACTCTTACTATTTTAGCTTTGTCAATTTAGCTTGTTCATAATTAACATTACTATAATGATATATAAATTATAGGATATACTTAATTTAAGTAGGAAAACATTAATTTAATATCAAAATAAATTAATTAAACTTAAATTAACAGTGATATTTTGGATGTTATTCTTTTGAAAATTAATTAAAATATTCACTAAAAGATATAATTTGTATTGGAGTGCTTTGTATATTTTATACATTTTATATATCTATTTTCTATATTGTGTATAATTTTACAAATTTGGAGATCTGTAAAGGTCTTGCAATGTATGTTCACAAACATCCAATTTTCAATATATCTCCTTTAAGCAAACTTGATATATAAATATTGCTGGCTGCCTATTTTTTAAGATAATAAAGTTGCAGTTTCCTACATTAAATAGTGTACCATTTTATTTGACAGTTTATATGTAGATAAATGTGACTTCCAGAGGGATACAAGAAGTTTTCCGCTTCCTAATTACATTATGTATGAAGAATTTTTTCTAACTTTTTCCTCTAAGGAACTTAGTTTAAAATTGTTAATGATTTAATGGCTATTTGAATTATGCAAAGTTAATTTTTTGTATGTGAAACATAGGAGCCTAGATACCTGTTCTTATCCTGAGGAGATTGTTCCAAACCATATCTAAGCCATATTTGTCAGGATAGGGTAAACCCATGCAGTAGTTTAGCCACCGCCACCTTACGGCTTCCCTCTTACAAGGTAAAGCCGCCTCCATTATTCTTCTAGCAGGGGAGAGTGAGAGACTATAACTTCCTAATGACTTATTTTCTGTGTTAGCCTAAAAATGATATATTTCTTCCACACACGTTTTAATGACCAGAAATATACACATGGCCCCACTTAATTAAAAGAAATATTAGAATTTTAGTCTCTTTTGTACAAGGAAAGCAATACCAGAGATATTGGTGAATACTAGTAATCCATATCGCCAAAACTTATCCCAAAGTTACAATGTTCTTGTTTAACATATTAAAATCAGTCAAACACCAAGACAATTACATAAAAAAATAGATAAAATAATAATTGGTACAACTATTTAGTTTATTTATCACAATGAATCTAACAGTTTTGGGGAAGAGGAAAGAAGTACAATATTCAATTTCTTAAAAATTTGTCCTATTTTTAAGATAGGATAATGACTGACTCCTAAATATGAAATTTTCCCACACAAACTCCAACTACATAAAGTCAACTGTAACCCATTTCTAGAGTACAATAAATAGATAAAAATTTCTAGAAACTGGCCGGGCACGGTGGCTCATGCCTGTAATCCCAGCACTTTGGGAGGCTGAGGTGGGTGGATCACCTGAAGTCAGGAGTTCGAGACCAGCCTCACCAACAAGGTGAAACCCTGCCTCCACTAAAAATACAAAAATTAGCTGGGCGTGGTGGCAGGCGCCTGTAGTCCCAGCTACTCGGGAGGCTGAGACAGGAGAATTGCTTGTACCTGGGAGGCAGAGATCACACCACTGCACTCCAGCCTGGGCGACAGAGCAAGACTCCGTCTCAAAAAAAAAAAAAAAAATTATAAAATCTCCAATTTACATAAACATCTACAACCAATATAGCCTATTTTGTGGTCTTTTCTAAGTAGAGAAACATAAAAAATATCCATGACATAGAGGACTTTGCAACAGTCTTAGCAGTAGAAGAACACAGAAAAGAGCATCCTTGAAAGAGAAAGTTTCACTCTAACAGAAAAATTAGAACATGTCAAGTATCTGTGCATCAAAAAAAATGTCTCTTAGGGAATTGAAAAGAAGAGGCTAGAACGTATGTAGGGTCAGAGGTAAAGAAGTGAAAAAGTATGACTTTGCAATGGATGATAGAGTCCACATGAAGGGGAGGCATTATTTAGGAGCTGGGGGACAAAGGAAGAGAAAAAAAAACAATGAAAAATATGGAATCTTCAAAACAAACAAAAATATCATATCAGAAGCAACTCTACCTCTCCGATATTCAAAACACACAAAGGAGAAAGACAACAATTAGTAAAAAAACTTCACTTAATTGTACCAACAGAATGTAGTAAGCTTGAATAACAATCTTAGTAAGCCATTCAAACCACTCAGCCTCATCTGCATGTAATTAACTATAATTACTGTTTCAGAAAAATAAAAGGTACTTAAAAAACACACAAAAATTCACATGGCATCCACTTTAAATTTACTACAAGAAAGCAGAAAGTGTCAAAACTTTTTAGCAGATGAAAATACATACCAACAACAATTATGAAGCAGAAGAAAATTATAATACAGCTCTCAAACATAAATTAAATAACATTAAATAAGCAATGGGAAAAATGAAAGAATGTTATGAATCAGAAAGTCAACATCCTAGAATTTAAATGGACCAGAAACAAGCCACAAAGCGGGAAATGTGAATTAATCTAAAAAATAACATGCTAAGTAAAAGAAGCCAGTCACAAAAGAACAACATATTTTATGTTTCCATTTATTTTAAATGCCCAGAATAGGCAAATCTATAGAGACAGAAGGTAGATTAGTGGTTGCTAAGGGCTAGAGGGGTGCATGGGAAGTGTGTGCTAATGGGCACAGGTTTCATTCTGGGTGATAAAAAATGGTTTAGATTTAGATTATGGTGATGGTTGCAGAATTCTGTGAATATCCTAAAAATCATTCAATCATACTCTTTACATTGTTGAATTACGTAGTACATAGATTATTTCTCAATAAAACTATAAAACAGAAACACACACACACACGCACACACACACACACGAAAATTTGAAATCAAGTTGCCTGACCTGAGGCATGAAATTCAGAGAAAAGACAAAAATATCTATAAACAAAGACTGAATCTAAAAATTCTCAAGGGATAAATAATTAGCCATGGTAATTATTTAGCATGGCTTAGATCTCAGAATAAAAAGGGAATTTGAGGGAAGGAGTAAAAGCAAAGAAGATCACACCAACAACATAAAAGATAAAAATGAATGAACAAAAGCAATAGATTTAGAATGTAGGCAATAAAGACCCGTTGCATGATTTGAATCTCTGAATCAGAAAGTCACCACAATAAAACAGAACTAGTATTTGAAATTATAATGAGAGAAAAGTCTCTAGAAAGATGACTTGAGTCAACATTTTGAAAGTGGGCACTCATATCTCATAAAATTGAATTAGATTTACTAACTTGTAGGCATTTTTGTCTATTAGACTTGAAAGTATAGATAATCATTGATCTTCCTAGTAAAAAGACAAAGTCACAAAGAAAAAATATAAGGAGTATGTATATAGTAACATGTAAACCAAGTGGTAGTGAGGCAATATTGTGAAGAAATTTAAGAGAAGTTAGGGATGTCCACGGATTTAAGTAAAACTACTTTTCAGCAACCTAAGCTTTGGAGACACTCAATCAATAAGACAGCTGATTTTAGGAAGCTTCTAAGCCCTTGTTTCCACCACAGAAACGTTTTTTAAAAAACCAACTAGCATGGCCAGAATAACTTTACAGGAGATCCATAAATCAAAGATCTAAAAAAATTAAGCAAATGTCCAATCAAACAAAAGACTATATTTAAAATAGTAGAAAATCGTGTGGTATTTTTGCTTTCTCTCATCCCACCCACTCCCTAGAACGCTGTAGTTTAAGGAAGCAGAGGTCCTCAGTTAACATCCTCAATCCTGAGAGACAACAGAGCAGACCTAATCTTCAGTGTTAAACTGGCTGTGACTGTTGAGGGATTGATTTCTGTGTTGCCTAATTTGAGAGCTCAGATAACCAAAAGATGCATGGCTTAGATCTCAGAATGCTTAAACATCAGAAAATAAATCATTATAATAAACCACAATAAGAGAATAAGAAAAAATTATACATTATCATCTCAATTGATGCAGAAAAAAACATTTGACAAAATTCAACATCCCTTCAGGGAGAAAAAAAACACTCAACGAGCTAGGAAAAGAAAAAATAAACTACTTCAACATAATAAAGGTCATATATGAAACACCCACAATTAACATCTTACTCTGTGATGGCAGACTGAAGCTTTTTCTCAAAGATTTCAAACAGACAAGGATGCCCACTATCAATGCTTCTATTCAACATAATACTAGAAGTCCTAGATAGAGTAATTAGGTAAGAAACATAAACGGAGGGCATACAAATTGTAAAGAATAACTAAAATTATCTCTGTTTGACAGGTGACATGATTTAATATATAGAAACCCCAAAAGATTCCACTACAAAATAAACAAAAGAGAAAACAACTGTTAGAGCTTATGAACAAATTCAGCAGTGTTACAGAATACAAAATTAACACTCAAAAATCAGTTTCATTTTTATACACTAACAATGAATAATCCCATTTACTATAGCATCAGAAAGAATAAAATACTGAGGAATAAATTTAACCAAGGAGGCAAAAGCCTTGTACAATGAAAATTACAAACTGTTGTTGAAAAAATTAAAGGCATTAAGTGGAAATATATTATGTATTCGTAGCTTGAAAGACTAAATATTAACATGCTGATACAATTGAAAGTGACTTACAGAGTCAACACGATCCCTATCGCAATTCCAAATAAATTTTTTGAAGAAGGAAAAAAATAAAATTAATATGGTGTCTCAAGGATCCTATGGAGAAAAACAACGTTGAAAAATAGAACAAAGTAGGAGGTCTTATTCGTCCTGATTTCAGATGTAAAACAAAATTATAGTAATCAAAAAGGTGTGTTATGGGGTAAATATAGACCAATGGAATAGAATACCAAACCCAGAAATAACCCCTCAAATACGTGGCCAAATGATTTTAGACAAGACTGCCAATAATATTTAATGGTGAAAGGACAAATATTTTTAACCAATGATGTTAAGAAAACTGGATATTCACGTGCAAAAGAATAAAGTTGTGCCCTAACCTCACACCATATGTGATTAATTAACTCAAAATAGATTAAAGGCCTAAATGTAAGAGCTAAACTATACAATTAGAAGAAAACATAGGAGAAACCTTTCTGACATTAGATTTGGCAATTAATGTAAGCTGTATCTACAACTAAGTTTTAGTAAACTAAGTAAATAAACACTAACTCATAAAATACTATTCTAAAGGTCTTTTCTCAAGAATCTAGTAAAGACAAGATATATCCTATTAATCTATGACAAGGCAGATAGAAACTGTGTTGAATGTATTAATACATTTATAAAATCAGGAACAACTTTAGGAATAGTATGTAAATAGTATTTATTCTGAAAAAATAAAAATACTATAGCAAAATTTGGATAAACTTAAAGGGAAAGAAGAAATCGCATATTCTCCCTGATAGTAGGGAATCAAAGAAATCATGTAAAATTTTCCCTAATAATCCAAATAGTAGAAGTTAATGCAATAAAAGGAGAGACAACATTACAAAAATTATGAAAATTAATTTCTAAAACTAAAAAAGTAATGCTTAAAATAAAGGTAAGAAAACATTCCAATCGCAGTTCATCCACATATTATAAACTGTAACATAGCTTAATAAGATAGCTCATTAGCTTAATTAACCCACAAAAGGGAAAATATTTGTAGTTTGGACACCATATCAAAAACCCAGCTCTACACAGAAAAGAGAAATATCTAAAATATTGTGATTCCAAAACATTTAAATAACATGATGGTAAATAATAGAAGGTAGAAGCTAAGATTGTGCTCATATGCCAGATAGAATTCAGACCCATAGAAAATTAGATTAATTAGTTCAATTTAATTATTCTACATTCTATACATATATCAAAACATTACATTGAACTTCATGAATATAATACTATTATAACTTGTCAATTAAAATAATATAAATTTTTAAAATAAAAAAGAAACAAAAGAAAGTCATTGGACCATAGAAATAATACATTTATATTAAACTTAAAATGGAAACATTTTCAATCCTAGGATGATTGGATGCTAATTCTTCTCTGTTTAACACACCATACACTATACACTAAAGACCTCTAACTCCATCCTCTGAGACTGTTTCATTTTCATTATTTTCTGCGCACGTATTTGAAATGCATTCTTTGGGTGAGGCACAGTTGCTATAGTTCACATTTTACTAGTTAAAGTTTGGAGGCTGAGGTTTGACTTAAGCTTCAGGTAAACAAAGTTATTTTTAAAATTCGACTTTAATTTCTTTACAGACAGCTCTTCAAATTTTGTTGAGCTTCTAATCTATTTGCTTCCTGTCCATCTATGCACTGGGAAACATCTAGCTGCAAGCAAAATTATTTTCTAATTGTGATCCTAAAGCCTGCTGTATTTATTTGTATTTTTAGGTTAATCTTCCTCTCTCTCTTTCTCCCATGATGAACATGTTTGAATGCCTTCAGGTCATCTAAAATAATAGGCTTACTTAGGTTAGAATAACTTAATCTGAAATTTGCACGAGGACAGTTATTTTGTTTTCCTGAAACAATCTGTTGCTCAAATCTAAGTGTTGATAGTCCAGATGCAGCCAGATTTTTTCAAATTTTTGTAAGTCTCCGTGAAATATCTTACTGGAAGCAGAAAATACAAGCCAATACACACTGTAATTTTAGTTGTCACATTGCTTAGAACTACAGAGTTAGGAAGCATGTAGCCAATCTAAGTCATCAAGGGCAACAGCTTTAATAAATTTATTGCCAGTACACACAAAGACTACATCTTTCTAAACTCTAATGTCGATTTCTTAGAAATTACTAATTGCTGATCCAATCCTATGTAGCCTATGAGTATACTATAGAATTACATCAGTCCAAAGTATCATGTCTACATTAATTAAGGAAATGCTACCATTCAATAACAAACAAAAATATGTAATGGCTCAATCATAATAGGAATTTAGCTTATATAAAGTTCAATTTGTGCCCTCAATTTATTGGTTCTTCTTTACTAAGAAATGGCCACACACAAAGCTCCTTCCATGTTTTTTTAACATGTCACTGTGCACATTTGCCTCAAGATAGTAGAAGGAGAAAGAAACTGGAGAAACATTAATGAGAAATTTTTATGGCCCATTATTAGAAGTGGCACCATCCCTTCTGGTCATATACTGCCTTAGTTCATTTGGGCTGCTATAACTAGTTAGCATAGACTGGGTGGCTTACAAACAAAACAAAACATTATTTATATAGTTCTGGAGGCTATGAAATCCAAAATCAAGGCACTGGCAGATTTAATGTCTGGTGAGGGCCTGCTTCCTGGTTCATAAATCTTTCAGTGTCTTTGCAGGGCAGGAAGGGTGAAGGAGTTCTCTGAGGTCCCTTTCATGAGGGCACGAATCCCATTCATGACGGCTCCACCCTCATGACCTAATCACCTCCCTAAGGTCCCACCTCCATCCAATTCCATCACACTCAGGGTTAGAATTCCAGCAAATTAACCTAGGACAGGGAATGTGGGAGTGGGGTGGTGGTGGAGGGAACCTTCAGTCTATTGACAATACTACTGGCTCCAAATCTTCAAATAGCAGGTTATGGTTATCCATGCCTAGTGTTAGATCTGAGGTGGCTGGAGGATTTTGTCTGTATTCCTGTTTTACCTTCAGCTTTCATTTGTCTCTGCACAGATCTTATCTTTCACAGAGGTACAGTCTTTTTTTATGCTGTGCTCTGCAGCAGTAGAGGGCTCTAAGGTGTTACTCCATGCTCGGCTTATAATGGTGACAGTTCATTAGGTCCATCCTCAGTCTTAGTAAAGGTCTGTGCACCTGGGTCTTGTAGATGGATAGCGTGTTGTTAGTATTTCTGGCATTCCTTTTTGTGACAGCAAACTGATTTTCCATCTTTGGTGGGTTTTAGGAGGAAGAAAGTTCCCTGTCCCTCTCTAAAAGTATCAGACCTCTGATTTTGATGTTGTTGTTGTTTTAAAATTTTAATCTATTTAGAAGATTTTATGTTTTAGAAGTTTAACTATCTATCTACCTATTTATCTATCTATTTATCTATTTATTTTTAGAGAAAGGGGTCTCGCTATTTTGCCCAGTTTGAAATGCAGTGGCTATTCACTGGTGCAATCATAGCACACTGTAGCCTTCTACCCATGGGCTCAAGCGATCCTTCAGCCTCAGCCTCCAGGGTAACTGGGACTACAGGTGCACAGGTAAAACTCTAGTTTTTAATGGTGCAGGACCCAAGGTCCAGAAGTTTTCCTAGACCTTTTCTAGATGAAAGGACTTTTGCCCTTCTTGAAGTTGTAGACATTTTCCTGATTTAGGGCATCTACAACGGGAATTCCCAATCCTTCCCCCAGGTACCGACAAATTTTGCCCCTATTACTCCCATGAAGGTCACCTCAGTGGCTCAAGGATTTGGATTACTTTGAGAGGAGGGTACCGAAGAGCAGGAAGCATGACCAGAAATCATGCCATACATGCCTATACCACCAACGGAGCTTAATCCCGTGTTCAGCCCTGCCAATCTCTCTAGTGAGCATCTTCAGGTGGCCTGTGAAGAACTCCAGTGTGTCTGTTGCTCCCAGGTATCTAAACTGATAGCCCAACTTCATCTTTAGTAATTCATCACCTTTTAACCAATTTCTTTTCACATGATTCTATTGAAACCAGCTATATCTTCCATGCTCTGACAAAAATGAAACAGTTCACTTTCTCTTTTCTTTTCTTTTTTTTTTTTCTTTGAGACGGAGTCTCGCTCTGTCACCCAGGCTGGAGTGCAGTGGCGCCATCTCGACTCACTGCAAGCTCTGCCTCCCGGGTTCACGCCATTCTCCCGCGTCAGCCTCCAGAGTAGCTGGGACTACAGGCAACCGCCACCACGCCCAGCTAATTTTGTTTTTGTATTTTTAATAGAGACGGGGTTTCACCGTGTTAGCCAGGATGGTCTCGATTTCCTGACCTCGTGATCCACCCACCTCGGCCTCCCAAAGTGCTCAGATTACAGGCATGAGCCACCGCACCCGGCCTATTTTCCCTTTTCTCCTGGGAGGGTTTTGCCACTCAAAATTCAGTTCCCTTGATCGTGCTGAAACAATAGCTCTTTCATAGGTTCAAGAAAATTGTACTTTTTTTCACTGTTAGGATGGGGGTCACACTAACATTCTCTTGCTTTCTACATCTTGCTGGGAAACAGAACTCTCTTGATTATCTACTATTGTCTTTTTAACTACACTGTAAGCTTCAGGAAGGATTTATTTATCACTGTAAAATTGTATACAAGTAATGCCTGGTACATAATAAGACATGTACTTGAATAAATTGTATATTATTTACTATTTTGTTTAATTTATTAAATAGTATCTTAACTATTTATGATATTCTAAAAGAAAAATACGTAATATTTGATTATACAACTATATACACTATTTAACTTTCCCAAGAAAGACACATACTTGTATTTCACTCTCATATCACTGAATTTTATGTTTTTATGGTACTTGTCACTATCATAATCACGTGTTTGCATGAATATGTGGGTATACATATTTGATTAATGTTTCTTTCTCCCACCAAACTGCAAGATCCATAAGCCTGTATTTTTTATTATTGTTTTTCTAACACCTAGAACCATATTAAAAGTAGAATCTCAAATAACTGTTGAATGAATCATTAAGTTACAGTGACATAAAATAAGTATGTAACATCAGGAAAATAGCATAAAAATCATAACAATAGTTTCATTTCAAGAATGATAAAACATTTTAGAAAATTATATTTGAAACAGATGTTTAAAAATATTCCATTCAAACTCTTTGATGTGTAAATGAAAAAGTTAAGGGTAGAAGGAATTAGACAGTTTTTCCAAAGTCACAGAACTCATTAGTGGCCAAGCCTGGTATAGAAACTAGGTCTCCTGACTCTAAATCCATTGCTCTCTTGAGTTGGATGCTCTGAGAAAAAACATTTTAAAACATTGGTCTATGGATTTAAAATGCCTGTGTTGAAAAATAGAGAAAAAGGAAGATATGCTTTGAAATACATCACAGCTGCAATACCCAAACAGATGGCCATGTTGCAGCAGCTCTCTCAGCGAAGTCATGTTCAGAAAAGGCAACACATCACCAGGTCTTGTAATCCCAACGGACAGTAAATGATTTCACAGTGTATCAGGCAGCACAACAACTGACATTTCAATATTTCTTTCTGAAGGGAAGATGAATGTAAAATAGCTTTACCTACATGCTCTAGCTGGTGAGTTCCCTGCTATGCCCTTTATAACATTGCAGGTGGAGACAGCAGAAGGGCATAAATACACCCTGCCAGCCATTCCACATATTCATACGAGCAAAGAAAATCCCAAAGTTTCTATCAATTTCAACTACAACAAAACAGCTAATAATATTTCCTACCATGAACTAAATATGGATTATTATTTAAAACTCTCAACCTACAATCATAAAATAGCACAGAGGCTTTTTTTTTTCATTAAATGATTAAAACTATTGGCTTAAAGTAAAAGTTTAAAGATCTCAGAGAACTAGGAAGTGATAGAGATAAAATTCAAATATAAGTTGTTCACAGTTATTATAATATACATAAATAATGATGAAATAAAATGTAAGAAGTAATTAACTTATTGAGCTCTTAATAATATGTAGAAGCCTTGGTTAGTTTCTTGATTGTTATAGTAAAGGTCTGAATTCTGTCATAACAAGAAATTCATTTTTACTTTTTTCAAAAGTACGAAGGAATATATCATTGCTTTAAAACCACCATCTCCATTAGTTCTGCCCAACCGAAATATAATGAGGGCCACCTATGTGATTCACATTTTATGTTGCCCCCATCTTTATAAAGTACAAAAATACAAATAAAATTAAATTTAGTAATATTTTATTTAATCCAATATATCACACATATTTTCAATCTAACAATCAAAAAAGAACTGTTAATGTTTTGTTTTTATACTTTAAACTCCAATGTGTATTATTTTGCAATTATACCATCATATTTTAGTTTCCAAGTTACTCTTTTCTAATATGTGCTTCACACTAATTTATCCTGCATCTGTATTGTAAACATTATTACAGTACCAATAGTCTTATAAAATGAAATGTTATTCCAGTATGTACAATAGTGCCCCCTAAACCACAGCTTTGCTTTTTAAGGTTTCAGTAACTTCTGATCAATCTCAATTTAAAAACATTAAATGGAAAATATAAGAAATAAACAATTCATAATTTCTAAATCACTTTTATTACAGTATATTGTTATAATTATTTTATTGTATTATTAGTTATTATTGTTAATCTCTGTGTCTAGTTTATAAATTGAACTTTATCAAAGGTATGTATGTGTAGGAAAAATTGTAATGTATACAGAGTTTGGTACCATCTGAGCCTTCAGGCATCCTCATAATGTCATGGAACATATCCTGCTCTGATAAGAGGAGACTACTGTAGTTGTTTCCAAGTTTGCCAATAAACCACATTTGAATTCTTTTGATTTGATAACTATATTTTCCACAAATGTTTCTAGTATAAATATCATCCTTTCCTACTTTCCTTTTTCATATATTATACGTTTTTTAAGTACACAGATTTTGAATGATGTTGCTTTTCTCTGTTCAAGTGCACTGCAGCTTATGCCTAGCTGCTGTAAGCTATCAAGTATAATTGTTATTTCCATTACTTGATGTCTGAGTCATTTTCTGTGTGACTATTCACAATGGGCTATGAATACTGTCTTCATTACCATCTCTTTGACTTATTTAGTATTGCTTCCCAGCCTGATTAATTTTTAGACTGTATAGCATATTTATTTCTAAATTATGAAAGTTTTCCTTTCTTACCATTTACTCTAAATAATGATTTACTTTACTAGTGATTTATTTTTTAATGTGAGAATTTCAAGAAAACAAGAAAGAAAAATCAATGAAGATGAAAAAGAGTAGAATATTAAGGAAAAGGCACAAAGGATGGAGATAAAAAGGAGAGATGAAGAAAGAGCTAGGTTCTAAATGGAGCCTTTTTATTTTCTGAATATTTCCCCCACTAGCTGGGTGGTACTCCAGCAGCTAAGGTGTATTATGAGATAGCTATGTACCAGGCACTATTCAAAGTCTTCTATAAATATCAACCAGCTTAACTCTCAAAAGTCTATGAGGTAGGCAAATTTATATTTCTACTTTATAAATACTAAATAACTAAACTATGGTACATATAGTATAGCCTAAAGTAACTAAGCAATTTTTTGTGAGTCATGCAGTGAGTGCCAGAGCCAGGATTTGGCCCCAGTGTTTGGTCCCAGACACTGAGCACTTAATGAATGTGATCTTCTGTTTCCAAGCTACTGTAGAGTTGGGAAACTGTTTATATAGCAAAGTATACTATTTAGTGATAGTCGATATTTAGAAAATTAAGTATCTCTTCATTAGCTATGTGGCTAAATGCTGACTGTAGATATGCAATATTATTTTCCAACAATAAAATGTTTCTTTTGTAAAATTTGCTCAAATAGTGAACACATTTTAGGTTTTGTCCACGTGTTATTTTTATCATCAATATCACAGTATCTTATTTGTTTTGATTTAAAATATTTATATTTTGAAAGACTACAGAAAATAAAGTTATCAAGAGAAAGAGATTTTCTATGAAGTGGATGCCTATAATTAAAGTCACGAATTGCACTTCTACTCAAACAAGACCTTTTAAATAGAACTGTTTTTAAGTTGGGATAACTCAAATATGATTTACAGAGAGTGACATTCATTTTTATAGGTATACGAAAGCAAAAAATCATTAGAATGTATGTTTCAAGTTACTACTTCTTCAATTAACTAATGAAGAAAAATAATGATTGGAGTCTTCAAGAACAACTTTAATGTGGAGGTTAAAATGAATTCTTTTTGCTTCCCCAGAAAAAACATCATCCTCCTCTATGATCTTCTGTGTTCAGTTGCTTTAGCCTTTACCCTTTTAATAAAGGAAAAAAATATAAGTCAAAAATTATGGATAAAAAAGTACTAAGAGAGGAATGTGTACAGTAGCAAAAAAATATTAAAAGGATGTTAAAAATTTTAAGGAAGAAGGGAAAATAAAATGACCTAAGAAAACACATGCAATTTATTTATTCAATTACTATTATGCACTAATGTGTGCTTGGCTGGGAACCACATAACATATGAGTGAAATAAAAATTGGTAAAAAAAATTATAACATAGAAATCATACATAGCTTTTTAAAAAATCGTGGTTCAAAACTGACTGCCAAATGTCTTAAGACAAGTTTAAACAATTAGAAAAATTAAGTTGTCCAGATTTCAGTCCTGTGTTATTCAGCTGGAAACTGACATAGATAACAAACAATTGCATAATGATAAAAAATGAGATTGATTGTTTTTCACCAAATGATCATTTAGTGGAATGACATAAACTGTGTTATGAAAAATATGTTTCATGTTCAAGTATATTTGGGAAATACTGGGCTATGCAAAGTAAAACACACATTTTCACTGCTGGATTACCCAAATGCTTTACTACATTGATAAATAATGTGAATCTCCAAGAATGTTGTTATATCAATCAATTTTTGTATTGCTATAAAGGAATACCTGAGGCTATGTAGAAATACCTATAAAATAACTTATAGAGAAAAGAGGTTTAATTTGGCTCACGGTTTTGCAGGACGTACAAGCATGAGTTCAGCTTCTGGTGAGGGCTTCAGGAAGCTTATAATCATGGTAGAAGGTGAAGGGAGCCAGCATATCACAGGGTAAAAGAGTAAACAAGAGAAAGAGAAGAGGTGCAGTACTCTTTTAACAAGTAGAACTTGTATAAATTCAGAAAGAGAGCTCACTTATTGCCACCAGGATGGCACCAAGCAATTCATGAAGAATCTGCCCCCATGAACGACACACTTCCTGCAGCCCCTAGCTCCAACACAAAGGATCACACTTAGCTACATGAAATTTGGAAGGGACACACATCCAAACAATACAATTTATATAAGATAGTTTATTTTCCAAACACATTTGACCTCAGACCTCTAGAATTGAAGAAATGTCATTCTTTCTTACGGGAAATCAAATATACATAAACAGAAAGAATACTGAATTTGTGGACATAACATTTTGATTTTGAACTTCTAACACATAATTTGAATTATCATTTAATTTTTTAAATGAAATTCCTTCACTAAGCTGTGAAGGGTGAGTTTTTCTTATTTAGTATACATTCATATTCCACACTTCTGATTTTCATAATCAATAAATCAGTCATTTTTATGACAATTTTCACATATGACATTAACATTTTATATAGTAAAGATTCTGCCATAAAATAGCTATATTAGTTGGTATAAATCACTTTACCCTCTCTGGGTCTCAACTTCCTTACCCCTAACATCAAGAATCTTGCATGAGATAATTTTTAAGACACTTTATGGCAGTCAGTTGAAAAACTGGTGTGGATCCTTTAATAGCTCTCATTCTACTTAAAGGTAAAGCTTATAGATTACAGAGAATCTCCCTACATCTACATTGACATCACAGAAAGCATCTTATACAAAATGTATTTAATAGTTTTGATGTCTACTTTCCATACTATAACCTACCACTTGGTTTTCACCTTAACATCAGAGGATTTGGTTTGATGTTTTTGTTTTTGTTTTTTGTTTGTTTGTTTGTTTGTTTTTTTAGTAGAGACAGGGTTTCACCATGTTAGCCAGGATGGTCTCGATCTCCTGACCTAGTGATCTGCCTGCCTCAGCCTCCCAAAGTGCAGGGATTACAGGCGTGAGCCACCGTGCCCAGCTTGGTTTGATGTTTTGTCTTTACTTTCTGCTTGGCTCCTTTTCTGTTTTGCTCTCAAATGTAGTTGTTATGGTTTAAATGTGTCCCCACCAAAATTCAGGTACTGGAATTTTATGGCCAACGTGATGGTATTAAGAAGTGGGGTCTTTAAAAGGTGATCATGTCATAAGGGCCCCTACCTCATAAATGGTATTAAGATTCTTATAAAAGAGGTTTCATGCAGCATTCAGCTGGCTTGCCTTTCCGTCTTTTGCAATGGGAGGACACAGCATCCTCCCCCAAGAGGATGCAGCAACAAGCTGCAATTTTGGAAGCAGAGAGCAGCTTCCAGACAACCAAACTGCCAGCACCTTGATCTTGGACCTCCTGGTTTCTGGAACCATGAGAAATACAATTTCTGTTCTTTATAAATTACCAAGTCACAGGTATTTTGCTATGGCATCAGATAAAAGACTAAGACAGTAGTCATTCCCATTTATTTTTTGAATCCACACCAGGCTGTTCCAAAGTCAGTTCACAACTACCTTCACACCCAGTTCAGTCTCCTACAATCCTTATCACCTACTCAATAGCCCAAGCAATATCCATCTAGAAGGAAAGAATAAATAACCACTGCCCATCTGATCACTGATGAAACCAATATGGTTATCAGTTAAGTACCATGCCACATTTTGAAGAAAATAATGTGGCTGCACAGCCGAGAATCAAGGATGTGTTTGTTCACTGTTTGTGTGGTAAACTGAACAAAATACCATTTGGGGCCTAGAATTAGTGTTCAACAGTGAAATTGTTAACAAAAAATAAGAAATTTTTGCTCACAGTGACTGGAATTTAAATACCAAATTTGTTGCATACTATCTGCCTGGACTTGAGCCACCTAATTTGCTGCTACTCTCCATGTCTGTTACCGTTTCTATATATTTGGGATAGTAATTCATATTTCACAAAGTTAAGGTGCATGCAAGTGAGAGAAATATTTTTTAATGCCAATTTCTGTGCTTAGCATGTAGATGGTGCATAATAAATAATACTTTTTTCCTTTGTTTTTATGAACTTTGTTTTCTTACATCATGAATCTTTCTACTTCACTTGACTTCTCTAAACTCAGCATTTAATCGGCCTGATAATATTTTCTCCTGAGCTTTCCAGCCCTCCTCTTTTACCACTTAAATTCTTTTTTGACTGAGCATTGCTCTCTGAGCTCTTTTTTGACTGAAGTTTGGTATTGTCCTGCTTTTACTAGAATAATCATACCTCTAATATGTTTGCTAAATTTAACTGCCACAAATATATCCAGTGACTGTTCATGTATAATATATGGTATTTTATTGCACAGACATAGTTAAAACAATGTTTCAAGCCTCAAAGCAAATGAAATTACCATGCACTTCAGATGACTGTGTGAGAAAGACATTCATACTGCTATTTTACAGATCAGTTAAGTTCACAGAGGGTCAGGGAAATGATGTGAATTCCCAAAGGGCAAAAGACTTACCTTAAGACTTACACCTATATCATATAATTAGCCTCAGGTGTGTAAAAAGGACCTCAGAATAATCCTCAGTCCATGGTATATTACCATCATGGGGCCCCTCTTGTATTATTTTCCTTCCCTGATCCGTTTCTCATTCCTATCACTTTTAAAGTGCTCTAATAAACACAGAATGTCTCAGATTCCATGTCAAATAAAAACTTGTGACCCCAGCTGTCAGCAGATAGACTCCAGCTATTAACATCTTTAGAATATGATTCAGTTGTAATGACTCTTGCCAAGAGGAACCCATATTGAGCAACCAATCAAACCAGGAGTCCAAAGACCTGTCTATGTTAGCTCCTGGTGAGCTCGCTGAAATTTTGTTGATATCACATCACAGTTATTTGTATTCCTTGGTCCAAATCTGCTTTCCCTTCCCACTTTCTATAGATCTTGATCCCTGCATAGCAAACTCCATCACAGCATCTGTTTCCAGAGAACCCAACGTATTGCAATAGGAACCAATGTTAATGCGTATGATGTATGTAAGCATACCTGTTTCCCCAATCTCACAAACAAAATGTGTTATTACACTTTTTACTTTTATCTAAGTATGAATATTATTCTGCACAAGCAGAGGCAGATACCTGGAAATTACTCAAACTAGATGCCAGGAGTATGTTTTCAAGGGGAAAGAAAAAATATATGTAACACACACACACACACACACACACACACACACACACACACGACAGCCCATCTCTGATTGCAGCATTTCAAAAAAATCTCTTCCAGTTCCAATGACCATTTTATAACACTTTATACTTTACACATTCCATTATAAGCCATAGAGGCAATACATTGACAGAAGGGAGCATTGTGCCAATTCCTTTTTTCTTTTTGTCATTCTATTTACCTCTTCCTTAACTTAGGACATCATGCTTTTAATTACAAGCTTTACAAGCTTTTCTCCCAATTTGGAGGTGCTTAGATTTATACATCTCATCCAGATGTGCAAGTTTCATATTTAAGTGAGTTTCAGCATTCTCCCATATGTTTGAGGACAATTTACTGTCTACTGTCTGTCTGCTATCTATCTAGCTAATTCTCTGTTCATATCTTCTTTTCTATTTTGATATCAGATTTTGGCCATTATATGTGTATTAGGCATGATATTCTTTCTTTCCATAGAATATGTTACAAATATTTTTCTTGCAGTTTCCTAAAGTGTCTTAACTTTGAACTTTGTTCATAGTATTTTTGCCATGGCAAAATTTTATTTTATCCTGTTGGAATTTTTAATGTTATATTTTATTGCAAATGGATTTTAAGCCATAGGTTTTTTTTTGCATGAAGAATAAAAAGGACTACACTGATATCTTATTAAGCATGAAATCATTTTATCCTTGACATTTCTGTTTTTGGTAGTTTATTCTATATACTATCTGTTACTTATTCAATATTATCTTTTTGCAAATAACTACTCATTTGTCCCAGCCCCATTCAATCAAAAGTCTACCTTTGTCTCAATGTTTTGAGATGCTACCTTTAACATATACTAGGTACCACTCTGTTTTAGTTATAAAGATTTTAGAGTATATTTTGTTTTGTAGAGTTATTAGTTCATTCTCACATTGCTATAAATAAATACCTGAGACTGGGTAATACTTAAAGAAAATAGGTTTAATTGGCTCACAGTTCTGCACACTGTGCAGGAAGCATGGCTTTGTAGGCCTCTAAAAACTTACAATTATGGCAGATGGTGATGGGGAAGAAGTCATGTCCTATGTGAATGGAGGATGAGAAAGAGAGCAAAGAGGGAGAGGTGCTACACACTTTTAATCAACCAGATCTAGTGAGAACTCACCAACAACAGCAAGGGGGAAGTCCACCCTGATGATGCAATCACATCCCACCAGGCTACTCCTCCAAAACTGAAGATTAAAATTTGACATGAGATTTGGGTGAGGACAAAAAATCCAAAACATAATATTCTGACTCAGCCTCTCCCAAGTGTCATGTTATTCTCACATTGCAAAATACAATCATCCCTTCTCAACAGTTCCCAAGTCTTAACTCATTTCAGCATTAACTCAAAAGTCCACAGCCCGAAGTCTCATCTGAAACAAGGCAAGTCTTTTCCATCTATGAGTCTGTAAAACCGAAAACAAGTTAGTTACTTCCAAGATACAGTGGGGGACAGGCATTAGGTAAATACATCCATTCCAAAAGGAAGAAATCAACCAAAACAAAGAGGCTACAGGCCCCATGCAAGTTTGAACCGAGCAGGGCAGTCATTAAATCTTAAAGCTTCAAAAAAACTTCTTAAACTCAATTTCTGACATCCAGGCCACACTGATACAAGGGGTGGTCTCCCAAGTCCTTGGGCACCCCTTCTTCTGTGGTTCTGCAGGGTACATCTCCCACAGCTGCTTTCATAGGCTGGCATTGAGTGCCTGTGGCTTTTCCAGGTACACAGTGCAAGCTGTCAGTGGATCTACCATTCTGGGATCTGAAGGACAATGGCCCTTTTCTCACATGTCCACGAGGCAGTGCCCCACTGGAGACTCTGTGTGTGGGCTTCAACCCTACATTTCCCCTCTGCCCTGCCCTAGTAGAGGTTCTCCATGAGGGCTCTTCTGCAGCAGACTTCTGAGTGGACATCCAGGCATTTCCATATATCCTTTAAAATCTAGTTTGAGGCTTCTGTATTAGTCCATTTTCATGCTGCTATAAAGACATTCCCAAGACTGAGTAATTTATAAAGAAAAAATGGTTTAATTGACTTACAATTCCACAGGGCTGGGGAGGTCTCAGGAAACTTACAGCCATGAAGGAAGGGGAAAAGGCACATCTTACATGATGGCGGGTGAAAGAGAGCAAATGAGCGAAGGAGAAAGAGCCCCTTATAAAATCATCAGATCACATGAGAACTCACTCACTATCATGAGAACAGTCCCGCACATGACAGGTGGGGATTATGGGGATTACAATTTGAGATGAGATTTGGGTGGGGACCCAGAGCCAAACCACATCATTCATCCAGTGGTCACTCCCAAATCTCATGCCTTTTCACATTTCAAAACCAATCATGGCTTCTAAACAGTCCCCCAAAATATTAACTCATTTCACCATGAACTCAAAAGTCCACATTTCGCAGTCTCAACTGAGGTAAGTAAATTCTCATCTGGCTATGAGCCATAAAATCAAAAACAAGTTAGTTACTTCCAAGTCACAATGTGGGTACAGGCATTGGGCAAATGTTCCTATTCCAAATTAGAGAAATTTGCCAAAACAAAGGGGCCACATGGAAGTCCAAAGCCAGGAAGGGCATTCATTAAATCTTAAAGCTCCTAAATGATCTCTTTTGACTCCATGTCTCACAAACAGGTCATGCTGATGGACAAAGTGGCCTCCCACAGCCTTGGGCAGCTCCAGCCTGTTGATTTGCAGTATACAGTTTCCTTTCTAGCTGCTCTTATGAGATGGTGTTGAGTGTCTGTGGTTTTTCCAGTCACACAGTGCAAGCTGTTGGTAGGTCTACCATTCTGGGGTCTGGAGGAGAATGGCCCTCTTCTCACAGCTCTACTTGGCAATGCCCCAGTGCAAACTCTGTGTGGGACCTCTTACTCCACATTTCCATTCTACACTGCCCTAGGGAAAGGTTCTTCATGACGGCTCCACCCCTGCAGCAGACATCAGTGGGGACATCCAGGCATTTTCATACATCCTCTGAAATCAGAGATTCCCAAACCCCAATTCTTGACTTCTGTGCACCCACAGGCCCAACACCACATGGAAGCTGCCAAGGCTTGGGACTTGCACCCTCTGAAGCAACGACCTGAGCTATACCTTGGCCCCTTTTAGCCATGACTGGAGCTGAAGTGGCCAGGATGCAGAGTGCCATGTCCCAAGGCTGCACAGAACAGCAGGGGACCTCGGTTTGGCCCAGGAAACATTTGTCCTCCTAGGCCTCTGGGCCTGTGATAGGAAGGGCTGCCGTGAAGTTCTCTGAAATGCCATGGAGGCATTTTCCCCATTGTCTTAGAGAATAACCTTCAACCCCTTGTTACTTATGCAAATTTCTGCAGCTGGCTTGAGTTTCTCTAAAGAAAATGGGTTTTTCTTTTCTATTGCATCATCAGGTTGCAAATTTTCCAAACCTTTATGTTCTGCTTCTCTTTTAAAAATAAGTTGCAATTTCAACCCATCTCATTGTGAATATATAGAACTGAATGCTTTTAAGAGCACCCAGGTTAATTCTTGAACACTTTGCTGCTTAGAAATTTCTTCCACCAGATACCCTAAATCATCTCCCTCAAGTCCAAAATTATAACAATCTCTAGGGCAGGGGCAAAATGTTGCCAGTCTCTTTGCTAAAGCTTAGCAGGAGTTACCCTTGCTCTAGCTCCCAAGAAGCTTTTCATCTCCAACTGAGACAACCTCAGCCTGAACTTCATTCTTCATATTACTATCAGCATTTTGGTCAAAAACATTAAACAAGTGTCTAGGAAATTCCAAACTTTCCCAAGTCTTCCTGTCTTCTTCTGAACTCTCCAAACTGTTCCAACCTCTTCCTGGTACCCAGTTCCAAAGTTGCTTCCACATTTTCAAGTATCTTTATAGTGGTGCCCCACTCTACAGATACCAATTTACTGTATTCACAAGTTTTCACACTACTATAAATACATACCTGAGACTGGGTAATTTATTTAAAAAAATGTTTAATTGACTTACAGTTCCATAAGGCTGGGGAGGCCTCGAGAAACTTAAAATCGTGGTGGAAGGGGAAGAGGCACATCTTACATGATGACAGGCAAGGGAGAGCCAAGGAACGCAGCAGAAAGAGCCCCTTATAAAATCATCAGATCTCATGAGAACTCACTACCATCAGAATAGCATGGGGGAAACTGTACCCACGATCTAATCACCTCTTACCAGGCCCTGGTCATGACACATAGGGATTATGGAGATTACAATTTGAGATGAGATTTGGCTGGGGACACAGAGCCAAACCATATCAGCCCCCATGCCTCAATTCTTGCCCTCTGTGCACCTGCAAGCTTAACATCACATGGAAGCCACCAAGGCTTATGGCTTGCAGCCTCTGCAGCAGCAGCCTGGCACGTATCTGGGGCTCTTTTAGTCATGCTGGAGCTGGAGCAGCTGAGATTCAGGGAGAAATAACCCGATGTTGTGCAGGGTGGTGGATTCCTGGACCAGGCCCACAAAACAGTTTTTCCCTCCTAGACCTCAGGACCTGTGATGAGAGGGGCTGCCATGAAGGTCTCTGAAATGCCTTCGGGGCATTTTCCCCATTGTCTTGGCTGTTAACATTGGTTTTCTCTTTACTTATGCAAATTTCTGCAGCTGGCTGGAATTCCTCCCCAGAAAATGAGTTTTTCTTTTCCACCACATGGTCAGGCTGAAAATTTTCTAAACTGTTACACTCTGCTTCCCTTTTAAATATAAGTTGCAGTTTCAGATCATCTCTTTGCTCATGAATATAAACATGTGAGTTTAGAAGAAACCAGGTCACATCTTGAATGCTTTGCTGCTTAGAAATTTCTTCTACCAGATACCCTAAATCATCTCTCTCAAGTTCAATGTTCCACAGATCTCTAGGGCAGGGGCACAATGCCTCCAACCTCTTCACAAATGCATAACAAAAGTGACCTTTGCTCCAGTTCCCAATAAGTACCTCATTTTCATCTGACACCACCTCAGCCTAGACTTCACTGTCCATATCACTGTCAGCATTTTGGTTACAGTGATTTAACAAGTCTCCAGGAAGTTCCAAACTTTCCCTCATTTTCCTGTCCTCTTTTGAGCCCTCCAAACTTTTCAAACTTCTGCCTGTTACCCATTTCCAAAGCTGCTTCCACATTTTCAGGTATTTTTTATAGCAATACCCCACTTCCCCTCACCAATTTTATGTAATAGTCCATTATCACATTGCTGTGAAGAACTACCTGAGGCTGGGTAATTTATAAAGAAAAGAGGTTTAATTGGCTCAGTTCCACAGGCTGTACAGGAAGCATGGCTGGGGAGGAATCAGGAAACTTACAGTCATGGCACAAGGTGAAGGGAAAGAAAGCAAGTCTTACATAGCTGGAGCATAAGAAAGAGAGCAAAGGGGTAGAGGTGCTACACACTTTTAAACAACCAGATCTCTTGAGAACTCACTATCACGAGACAGCAAGGGTGAAGTCCGCCCCCATGATCCAATCACATTCCACTAGGCCCCTCCTCCAATGTTGGAGATTACAATTCAACATGACATTTGAGCAGGGACACAAATCCAAACCATATCTGGTTGTATTTTTCTTTTTTCATATTTTTCTACATATTATTGAATATTTATTTTTCTATAGGATCTTTAATGTTAAACTAATGTCAATAAAGTATTTATTGATATATTTATTGAAATTGTGTCACATTTTAAGGGAACTACATCTTTATGAAGTTGACTTCTCCTATTAAAAGCAAGTAAAATCTTTGTTTGCTAGGTCTACTTTTGTGTTATTCAAGAATTCTTAAAAAATTTCCTCCAATAATTTTTGTAGATACTTACTTCTATAGTAAACAGAAATAATGCCTATCTCCTTCCATTACACCCACCCACCCCTACACACAAATCATGTCTTAACCCTGATGACCTATGAATATGTCAGGTTTTTACAATTGTGATTAAGATTAAAGATCTTGAGACAGGGTAGATTATCCTGGATTATTGGGTGGACCAAACCTAATCACATGAGTCCATAAAAGTGGAAATCAAACAATGGATCAGAGAGCTATGACATGAAAAGTATTTGATCATGCTGTTTAATTTGAAGGGATGTTTTAATTTAATGGAGGAAGGGATCCAAAGACCAAGAAATTTAGTGGCCTCTACAGGCTAAAAATGACTTTCAAATTAGATCCAGCAAGAAAATGGACACTTCGGTTCTACAACCACAAGAAACAAAATTATGTCAACTTAAATGATCAGTAAACAACTTCCCTAATAGACCCTCAGAAAAGAAGATAGGCTGTGAACACTTTGGTTTTAGTCCAGCGAGATTATCAGATTTCTGATTTATCAAAGTCTAAAAATTTGTGTTGTGTTAAGCCACTAAATATGTAGCATTTTTTACAGCAACAACAGAAAGCTAATTTCTAAGTTTTACAAATTAATATTGCTTGTTGCTATGTAAATGAATTTTTCTTTACCATAATGTTGCTAACTGATAATTGTTTGTATATGTTACAGCTATAGATGTCTGTATGTTAATTTTATACACTGCTAAATTAATGAATTATTTTTATTGTATTTCTTTTATCATAGATTCACTAGGGTTTTACAGAAATAAAATGTCACAACAACTGCAAATCAAGATAATTATATTTCTTCTTTACCAATTCTTATTACACTAAATTATTTATCTTGTGTATTGGCAAATACCTTGAATACAAGAATGAATAGCAGTGAAGATAACTGCATAATTGCCTTTTCAATTCCATACTCCATTAATTTCTACTTTTATCATCATTATCTTCTTACTTATTCTTTCTTTGGTTTACTTTTTTATTCCAGTCATTGAGCTGGGCATTCAATTTTATACTAAAATTTCATCTACACTGGTAAGTCTTAAGTATTATTAATTTACCTCTCATCACTGCTTTAAAATTCCAGATTGTGATTTGCAGTGTTTCATCATTATTTATTAGAAATTCTTTAGTTTCATTTTATAATTTCATTGTAATCCAAGAGTTAATTAATGGATAATTTTGTAATTTCCATAAGAAACATGATTTTTGTTGTTGTTAATTTCTTGTTTTATTACATTATGACCAGAAATATTGTTCATATATTTCTAATTTATTTAATATTGATATTTTTGTGTGAACTAACATATCAATTTGTTGAATATTTTATGAACATTTGGAAAAAAGGTACATTCTTGATTATCAGGGTAAAAATTTGCTATATATCTATAACATCTTATTATATTCTTTAGGTATTTATCCCCTTACTAATATTTTGTCACTTCATCTGTCTCATAGTGATTTATGTGAAAGCCTCTTCTTAGTATTTTGCCTACTAATGTCTCCTTGTATCTTCCCTAGTTTTTGTTTCAAAAATGGTTGCTCGGTTATTTGTTGCATAGATATTTATAAGTGTTATGATTTCCTCATGGATTTTGGATTTTGCATTAAAAATAGCCCCTAATTTTCATGCCTTTCTGATTTGAATCTTAATTGGTTTGATATCTGAATTCCTAGTCTTGCTTTGTTATTTCTATTTGTCATGCCTTTACGTATAGCTTTTAAAAATCACATTGTTTTTGGTGTGTCTTATACATAGCGTATAGTTGGGTCTTGATTTGAAAACCAAATTTAAAATAGTTTTAACAGATGAGAAGAACCTACTCATATTTATTGATGTGACTGACATGTTTTGTCCCAACTACATCATATTATTGTACAATGATATATCTTATTTTGTATATTCTTTAATTATACTTTTTTGACGCCTTTGATTAATAATTACTACTTTATTTCTAATTTTAAAAGTGTTTAGAAGAATTTGTTTTTATTTTAATGCGTATGATTGTACTATTAAAATACATTTAAGTAATTGTTTTCTTATTTAGCCTTTTTACTACTTGACATGTCTGTTTTTATCAGCATTTTTAACTCCCATTTATTGCCTATTTACTATAAGCTTATTCCACTTTTCTTTTTAATGTCTCTCTTATCTTCCTATTTAACCGTTGAATTATTTCTACTTTGTCACAACATATAATATTTGTACCTTAGTTTTCTTTCCTCAGGTTTACTTTTTCTTCTTAGATCTATATTTATTTATATAAATATGATTGCAATCAGACCTTTTACTGAAGTCTTCCTAATCACCTCTTGGAAAAATTGATGTTATCATTTAGACAACTCATCAAAAATGATTTAGTCATTAAAGATCAGTTTGGCTGCATATAAATCTTAGATTCACACTTTCTTTCATTGAGAGTTTTATTTTACTTTTTACATTTTTGTTTTGTATAAGGGTTCATATTATTCCTATTCTCTTCAATGCTTGATGTTTTTCAAATTCCAAATGTTTGTCTATTTACTTGGTATAAAATACCATGGCATGTTCTCATATGCATTACCCTGATTAATAGAGTTTAACTATTTCTTCATATAATTACTCTCTTTTCATGTTGTTATTTTTAGACTTTATCTTTTCATATAATTTTCTAATTGATTTTTCATGCATTTACTTGTTTGGAGGCATTTCATATGCACACTTGTTGTTTAACAATTGTTAAATTGAGACCTGTTTTCTCTTAACAGGTCATATAAAACATTAATCATATCTAAGATATCTTTCACTGAAAAACTATCTTATTTTGATATAATGAAACATTTTTATCTTGTTATTTTGTGCTTTAAAGAGTAAGAATTCCATCTCCTTTTCCAGATGTTACTTATTTTCTTTGCATAGATTTTTAGGTTTATATTTTATACTTAAATCTCTAATTCATCTGAAGTCTACCTTTAGGAGTCCAGTTTTTTTTTTCATATGTCGTGTACATTTTCTTAATACTGTCTAACTGTTTATCATTTTACCATTGCATTGTGAAGACTAATTTATTAATATCTATTTAACCACATACATGCATTTTCAAAAAACATATTACATTCCATTTGTCTATGATATGTTTTCAAAGCATAATGTAGAAAATAATGTTATCTAGAAAAAAAGGTTGCTACCATCATACAGTATATATTTAGTAAGGAAATCAATCGATGCCCTTTCATATTGTATTCATCCTATAGCAGCACTGTCCAATAGAACTTTCTGCAACAGTGGTACATCCATCTATTGTTAATAATATAATGGACAGCACAATTGAAGATTTGTACCAGTGAGAAGTGGAAACATTTTAAAGTTCTGTATTTGACTGTATGGTCATCATTTTGAACTAGTAAATTTATTTGAACTAGAAACTTTCCTGTTTTACTTCACTGTCCCATTTCCCGTTTCCCACATCCTTCTTTCTGCTAGAAGACATATAAAATCTCATGTAGAAGAATGGAACCAAATGCTAAGGAGAGTAGAGAAATTTGAGAGTCCTCTTGAATACGGCTTTTAAGCATTCCGATTTTACTGTCTCTGGTATAATATCAGATCTGGATCTTTTATTTTCAAAATCAATATCTTCCAGATATGATACAACCTATGTTTTCCTTTCCATTAGATATGTGTAGGCATATTTATAAGCTTATAGCACAATACAAAGCAAAAGGAAATGGGATATTATTTTAAGTGTGTTCTAATACATTATTTTTAATTTTAACCTGAATATTGTAAATGTATATATTAGACCCTATTAAATTTTTAAATGAAAAATGTTTGAATCAGTGTCGTCTCCATTTCACACCCAATATTTAGTTTTATATGTATGATCATGAAATACTTTGATTTTTAAAGTCACAATAATTTATGTTTGAGCTCTTAAATAACAGCTAATAAATTCTGTTATTAGTTTCTTTTGGTTTCATCTGCTGGGTTAACTACCATAAATTTCCTTATCCAGAGTTTTTTTAGTAGATACTCAATGACATGAAAAGAGTAGAAATACTCAATTAGCTTTCGTTATCTGTGTTTGAATCTTTGTGCATCTATTGACTTTTATTTTTCAGCCCATGGCAAGGACTTAAAATTGCTCATTCGGAGATGTTGGAAGGAGGAATAATCTGGCCATCCTTCTGATGCTTTATTCACCTCTGCTTCACCACGTTTGCAACATACAATACTAAATGCCTTTTTCTGCATTTTCTCCAGTGAATGTGTGCTTGTTGGATATTGCATATTTTCTTAACTATTGGATTCAAATTGGACACTAACACTCTTTTTTTCTGTTTCATATTGATTTTTACAAACTACTTCCTTTTTATCACAGCAACCACCCAAGAAGCAGCTTCACAAAAATATTGAGGTATCAAAAGCATGTAATGTGCATGATCTGATGTTGAAACTGCCAATTGCTTCCAGCTTGTTAGTTCAAGCAGTGTCTGACAGATGGAAGTCACTGTGTTTCCTTTCTAGTTTTCTTTAATGTTCCAAGGTCTTTCCTAATTCAGTACTTTCATGTGTTCCTCTTGCTGGATGGAACTCTTCCCATCTTTTTTCACATGCTGGCTTGCTCTTTTTGTCCATGTGCTCAACCTACATTTATAATGCATTTAATATACTATAGGATTCAGTTAACCAAACATTTTTTAAAGATATTTGGATATTTGTTCATAAGTGAAAAGAACCTATAAGTCTTAGAAAGAGATGATCAAGCCCTTAAGTATTAGGTGAAATTCTCCAAGAAAAAAATTAGCACACAGGTCTAGGAATTTTGGAGTAAGCAGATTATGAGGCTTTAATTAATTTCTACTTATTAAAAAGTAACTTATTTGAGACTTCTGTTTATTTTCCTGTCATTTTTTATATTTATAGTTTTACATAAATTTATTTTCAGATACATTTGCAAATTTATAAGGATAAAATTTATTTTAATATTATTACATTATATTTTATAAATCAATGTGTTAGAAGCTAATTTGCATTTTTATTCTGAATTTTAAAAATAGATTTGGGAAGTATGAGTGCAGTTTCATTACATTGATATATTGTATAGTGGTGAAATTTGAATTTTTAGTGTAACCAACGCCCATATAGTGTACACTATACACATTACATAATTTCTCATTTCTCACCCCCTCCCATTGTACATTCATATTTTCTTTCTTTTTCCTTTATTAATTTTTCCCAAGATTTATAAATCACGTCAAGCATTTCAAAGAACCAGACTTAGCTTTTATATTTTGCTATTTTGTTTTATTTTATAGTTCATTTATTTACTCACACAAGAATCCTCAAGAATTTTCTAAGCTTATTATGTCTCTTTCACTCTTATTATTTCAAAAAAAATCAATAACATTTAGCCATTCATCACTAATACATAGCTAAAAAAAATCTTGTCAAGTTAACAAATGCCCATTGTCCATATTTTTGTCTCCATTTTGTCCTCCATTTTGTGTTGAGCCCACTCCAGTAAGAAGTTGGCTCCACTTAGTAAAGTGAAATATAATTTGTCAATGTCAACAATGACATCCATATCACTGTACTCAAGATTAAGTTTTAGTCTTCATCTTATATATCTGTGTGTGTATATATGTGTGTGTGTGTGTGTATTTGTGTGTGTATGTGTGTGTAAGAGATGCAGTTGCAGATTTTTGAAGCACATCTTTAACTTGGTTTCTTTGATGCCATTCTCAGTCTTCTGACAATACTAGTCATTCTGTCTTAGACGGTTTGCTTGTTTCTTCCTATCTCTACATATGTTAATACTTAAATGAACTTATCAGGTCTCATGCTAGCCATACCATTTGTGTGGTGATAATTGCCAGTATCATTCCCTTTAAATTCAGACTCATATTCAATTGCCTATTCAGTATCTCCATCTGATTAAGTAATAAACTTCTTGTATTCAACACCACCTAAGTCAAGCTCCTTTTCCAACCCTTCTGTGCAACTTTTTCTATCTATAGGCTTTATCATCTCAACAAATTTCTCCACGCTTCATCCAGGTGCTGAGGACAAGAAAAAAAATAATTTGGTCATCCAAACTGTCATAGATCTTGAATGACAAAATAATTATGACCTAAGGATTTGAATATATAAAAATATAGTTTAACAAGTTAGGTTTACTACATTTCAAAAAGCTTCACAAAAGTATTAACCTTTTAAAATGCAGATTGCTTGATTTTTTTTTAAAGCCACTCTTTTCTCTCTTATAACACAAAGTAGAAAATTTGACCTAAAAAAATTATATAATGGAAATATTCAGGTGTTTATGTATTTGAAAACTCTTGTGCCCACATATAGTCTTATTTAAAGAATAATAATTTGGGTCAAGATGATACAAGGGGTTTTTCTTTTGGCAATGCCATGAGAATTACATTTGCTCTACATATGGCAATATTTAGCCTACTGTCAGATATCCACACATGGAATTTTGTCTTCCATGTGTAAGCGAGATATTAGATATCCTAAAACCAAGAAAATCTATCTGAAAACTTTATACTATATGAACTCAGGAAAACCACTGTAACTTAACAAGTTAGAAGAATCTAATTATTATAGCATAACTTTTACATTAAAGTCATAAGCACAGTCAATAAATTAACAATGTTGACAAGACCAAACAGATGGGAATCTATAAAGTAGCTATAAATTGCTGTAGTATTCACAACTTGTATTTTTGACTGTGTTTCTATTGGATTTCACTATTTCTATATAGTTATGAAGCAACTGTTTAAAACAGGCAGTTATTGGAAACCATCTGAGCACAATGACTATGCTTCTGAGATGGAAAGCATTAAGATGGCATCACTTCATATTCTTGAAATTGTGGCAAAATATAAAACTGGCTAGAGTCCTAACTCTAAAATCTTTAACATCAATCAAGTAATTTAATAAAAATTTTACCATATTTTAATATAAAAATGTTCATGAACAAAACTAAATACCCAGTACACAACATTTTTGCTGCAATTCTGTGGTAGAAAAATTATAAATTTGTCCCAAATATTTTCTAACTTCTTGGTTTGCATGCTCTTGTATATTTCTGAATTACTCTATTACAGATTCATTTCATTCACTTCTAATGAATACAGAAAGCGATGGGATGTTACATCTGCAATTAGGTTACAAAGAACTCTGGCAGTCTTGCTCTTCCTTTTACTTTCACTTTCTCACTTGTATGGAAGCCAGATGACTTGTGAGCTTCTCTGTGGAGAGGCAAATGTGGCAAGGAACTAATATTCTCTGCTGGTACCCAGTGAAGACCTAAGTTCTGCTAACAATTCTGCTTGGAAGTGAGACTCCAGACAAAATCTCAGCCCCAGCCCCAATTTTTGCAGCCTTGTGAGAGACTTTGAGACAGAGCTAAGCTGTGATCAGATTCCTTCTCCCAGGAAAACTATAACAAACATTTGCTGTTTTAGGCCAATAAGTTTTTGCGCAGTTTGCTACACAACAATAGATAACTGGTATAAACCCCAACAGTAATAATATTTCCATATCTGCAGTTGATGCATCAATTCAAGATAAATGACTGTGATGTTTCATAGCATTATCTTACACTAATTTATTTGCATTCTTACCATGGCACATAGTTCATGATCAATAGCACTGATACTCACTAAAAATATTATCGTTACTGAAAAACATATTACTTAAACTTGAAATGAAGAAGGACAAAGTTGTTTCTCCTATTAGGTGATGATTTTCTTCTGAAATATAATGTTTATGCATAACATTTAAAGGGCCAAGTCAGCATGTTTAACAACTGATACTAAACTTAATTAGAGAGTTCAAATGACTGTCATCTATGTTCAAATATTTAATGGTGGTCTTGTTCCCTAATTTGATGTGTTTAAATAATTAATTAAGACAGTACATATTATTATGTGACAATAACAGTAGTAAATTGTAAAAATTTCAACAGAATACCAATAAAAGATAATAATTATCATGTATACAGCTCTCTTACATTTTTAATGTCTTTATATTTTAGAAGGGACACTTTTTCTTATGAATTTAACGAGAAATAGTAAAATTCACATTTTTAGATTTAGAAGAGATGTATCATCTACTTACTAGCACCTCCCTTTTTAGTTTTACAAATAAGGATTTAAGTCTACAGACTCATGGCTTATGTGCTTCCAATTCAGTGCATGGCTTTTAATGTATCTTTTATTATCTGTCCCAGTAAGTCTCAGTAGTTGAGAACCCTATCATATTTTTGGTAGAAAAGCAAAAGGGATTGAGAAAATAATATTTGTCAAGCATTACTTACCATACATACATAAAAAGATATATACTCATGTAGCTTGAAATTAACTTTTAAAAAAGTATTGGACAAATATTTATTCGAAAACTTACTGGAAAAAAATGGTACATTTACTATATGCCAGACACTGTTGTAAGTACTTTACAAAATTAACTCATTTACTTCTCACAATACCCCTGTGAGATATATACAAATATGATGCACAGTTTGTAGATAAAGACAGACACAGAGAATTTAAATAATTTGTGAAAGTTTGCCCAGTTATTATATGGCAGACACAAACTTTGAGCCTGGCAATCTGGCTCAATAACCATAACCTTGACGACTATACTATATTCCTCATTCTTAAGGCCACTAATTTCAATGCAACTCATATGATTTTTTGAATAAACTTAAGGATCAAATAAGCTAACAATTTCTTTATTATTATTATTTTTTTAAATTTTACTTTAAGTTCCAGGATACATGTGCAGAACATGCAGGTTTGTTACATAGGCATACGTGTGCCATGGTGGTTTGCTGCACCTACTGACCCATCTTCTAAGTTCCTTCCCTTTGCCCCCAACCCTGCAACAGGCCCTGGTGTGTGTTGTTCCCCTCTCTGTGTTCATATGTCCTCATTGTTCAACTCCCACTTATAAGTGAGAACATACCATGTTTGGTTTTCTGTTCATGTGTTAGTTTGCTGAGGATGATGGCTTCCAGCTTCATCCATGTCCCTGCAAAGGACATGATCTCATTCCTTTTTATGGCTGCATATTATTCCATGGTGTATATGTACCACATTTCATTTATCCATTCCATCATTGATGGGCATTTGGGTTGGTTCCATGACTTTGCTATTGTAAATAGTGTTGCAATAAACATACATGTGCATGTGTCTTTATAGTAGAATGATTTATATTCTTTTGGATATATGTCCGGTAATGGGATTGCTGGATCAAATAGTATTTCTGGTTCTAGATCCTTGAGGAATTACCATACTGTGTTCCACAATGGTTGAACTAATTTACATTCCCACCAAAAGGGTAAAAGTGTTTCTGTTTCTCCACAGCCTTGCCAGCATCTATTGTTTCTTGACTTTTTAATAATAACCATCCCAATTGGCGTGAGATGGTATCTCATTGTGGTTTTGATTTGCATTTCTCTGATGATCAGTGATGTTGAACTTTTTCTCATGTTTGCTGGCAGAGTAAATGTCTTCTTTTGAGAAGTGGTTTGTTCATATCCTTTGACCACTTTTTGATAGGGTTGTTTTTTTCTTGTAAATTTGTTTAAGTTCCTTGGAAATTATGGATATTAGACCTTTGTCAGATGGGTAGATTGCAAAAATTTTCTCCCATTCTGTAGGTTGGCTTTTCACTCTGATGATAATTTCTTTTGCTGTGCAGAAGCCCTTTAGTTTAATTAGATCCCGTTTGTTAATTTTGGCTTTTGTTGCGATTGCTTTTGGCATTTTCATATGAAGTCTTTGTCCGTGCCTATGTCCTGAATGGTATTCATTTGTTTTATTTTTTTACTATATTGTATTATGTGCTCTGGCTATAATCCAGCAACTCAGAATTTCAATTTTCTGAATATAGGCTTAAAATATCTTACTTTTTATGTTTATATGCCTTTTGTTAAAATTCATAAAACCTTAAAATATCAACAATAAAAAAGAAAAATGCACTTTACAAACACAATTTAAAAAACTGGATAAATTGTCTTGTATTTTAGTTTTTCTGGGCCCCTGATTAAAACAATACAATTTGGGATTTTTTTCCGCAAGTATTAGGGAACAATTAACCCTAATGTAAAGCAGTCACTATGAATGTACATGGGAAAAAATGATTCAATATTTATCCTAGATAAATACAATGTTCTACTTGGTATATAAGACATATTTTTAATGTTATTTGATGCAAACGTTTGTTATGGTAGTGATCATAGGTTTAAGTTATTTTCTTTTAAATATGTAAAACTGAGACCTTTGTCCTTTAAGATGTTAGTGCTAAATTAAAAAAAAATCGTACTTGAATGGCTAAGGAAGGAATGTTTTCAGTGAAATCTGGATTCTTCTCAGACTAAAATATTTCACAGAGAATAGAGCTGCTAGTGAAAGTCTAATGTGAACACATGACATTTAATTTCTATCAAAGTTTTAATAGTCTAAGTAAAATGTGGCTATGAGTAAAATAATAAAATACAAGTGGAATGGCATGACAATAGTGCCCTACTGGGACTCAGGCAGCAGCAGTGGAAGGGGATGTTTCAAGAGCATCTGTCTCTTTGGCAGAATTCAAAGGCAGCTGCTCTGGTTACTTTCGTAATGCTCATGAGATTTCCATTTGATTATAGAAGCAATGTCTGCTCTCTGTTGCAGGCCTGGAGTCATCTGCATTTGCCTTACCTGTGATGCTGAGTTATTTGTTTAATTGCTTTTGATGAGAAAAAATAAATGCTTCTTGAGAAAAAGCTTTGAAAAGGTTTAGCAAGCTATTATAATTTAAAACCAGCTTTGCCTGCGTATATCCTTTTTCAAATCTCATTCTTATTTGTATTCCCAGTATGATGGATGACAACAGTTGCAAGCTTATAGTATCACTGTTCTTATCATGCCACGGTCTCTTGTAAATGTTGTTCTGTTTTTTTGAGGTGACCTATTATATCTCTCTTTGCTGCCCAATTATTTTCATATAAGGGACTGATAAGGTAAGAACGTACCTGCTATTTTTCTTTCCATGAGTATTTGTTCCTTTTTACAGATACTTGAAAACTTGGGACTTTCTTATCCTACCAATATGAAATAATTGCCAGTATGCTTACCTCTGAAAGTGAGATTGTAAGAATCTGTTTACATGCACCTTAAATATTTGTACAAGTCAACTGTACACAAATTACGGAGCCTGTAAACCTGGCTGGGATTGTTATTTTGTCATTTTTTAGCTGATGTCTTGGGCAATATACTTATCATTTCCAAGTCTCACTTTCTCCCTCTGTAAAATATTGAGATAAGATAACACATATTTTGAGAAGGTATAATGCACAGATACACATTAAAGTTTCTACAGAAAGAAAATATGTGTATTGATCTGCTGAAATTAGCTATATCCTTGGGGACATTAAAGAAATACAACTAACTACTAGGTGATGAAAACCTCATTTAAATGGTTTATTTTTTAAAGCACATTTCCTATCAATATATCTCAATCCAGTTATCTACAATAAATGACTTTGGAAATATAATCTCTTGAAATATGTGTTTTGTCTTGGATTCACAATTTTTATGTGACAAAAGGGAAAAATACAGGACAGAATACAATTTATAAATAAAAGTCAATACAACTCATCAGGATTATAAACAGAACATTATTAAAGAGAGAGATCAGAAAGTTAGTTATGGAAATTGAAAGAGCAGGATGACACATGGGTACAGAGGTTAAGTGGAAATTATGCAGCCAAAATTTAAAAGAAACACACAAGGTATGTTTGAAAATGCAAGATTGTTATGGCAATTCAAAGTGCCAAGAAGAGTACAATCAGTGAACTCATTATATTATGTAAATTAAAGCATAAAGCATTTAAAAAGCTTCTAAAACTAGTTTACTTTCAAAGAATGTAAGAGGTGGTTACTAGAGGATTATATGAAATGACGTGATAAACGCATAAAATATTCAGAGTTATCACATCCTTGAAATTAGCAGCTGTGTTGAGTATTTCTTATTTATTCTTCCAAAGCTATTTCTTACCCTCGTTTTCTCTACTCTGTGCCTGGGAGCACAAACCTCTCTTGATTGAATAATTAGATTTCCCTTGCCCATTTCCTGTTGGGTCTAGAGAATATCAGACGATGGGGAGACAGTGAGGAGAGAACATGCTATTTCCCCAGCTCCTCTCCAACCGTGCTATGAGGTGGTAGGGTTTTTTTTGTTTTTGTTTTTTCCCCTTGACCTCATCCCTCATCTTCTGTGCAGCCACAATATTTTGAGCACTTACCTACAAAATAAGAGAAAGTATTCACCCTCAACTTGTCTCTACTCCTTAACTTTCTCGATGCTAGTAAACTACTGCAATCCTACAACCCTCTGAATCCTACCACTCACCCAGATTCTGTCTACTCTCCTCTCTCTCTCCCACTTCACCCAGGCTTGCCACAATCATGATTTTTGTCACAATCCTTTCTTCTCTAGATTAATGATTCAGGCTTTTGATTCCTCTCTGTACTCTGTTTGTGTCTGACCCACATGTTCTCCATATAGTGACCTATTTTTGTTTTTTCTTTTGCATTTGTTTTGAAGATAAAGGAGCTTTTATTGGATTTTAATATCTCCATTTATTAAAAGCAACTCTGATATTTGCAGAAAAAATGATCAAAACTTGTTCTTAAACTTGCTTCTGGTGATTTGATTCTCATCTCATGAGAAATACCGCAAAATGTATTCACAGGCTGTTTCTAGTGGGATGGTGTGGTGGGAAAAGAATTTGAGTATTTGAGGCACTCGGTCTTACATTTCTGATTCAACTAGGACAGCTTCATTTTTATCTGCTTTATACATGATTTGTATTGAAGAAAAGATGTGAAAATGTTGGGAAACCATCATTGTATTATTTTTCCTAACAAAGATTCTCTTTATTGCAAATTCAATATAATCATGCTTACTACATAATATCCTAATAGACAAAAGCATAAAACATGCTCCTTGCCCCCAGAATCTAACATTATTCTGGAAATTATTTTGGTTTACTCATTTTCTAGTGCTAGGCCTGTTGTCTTTTCTCTGATGAGCAGGTTGAGAAGATCCAATTACAAGTCAACTTCCCCATCAAATTGCACAATTAAAAGTAATATAAGTGTTATTAATTTACTAAATGTATTCTTAATAGATGACACGAACATATAATTTTCAAAAATGTTCCCAAAAGCCACAGAAGGAATTGATTTTGTGGCTAAAACTCTACAGGTAGTCCAAGTGAGCTGATTTTTTAATGCCTCCTTTCTGATTATAGAATCAGAAATGTGTATGTTTGTTGGTTTGTATATTGAAATTTGGGGTAAGAAAAGCTCCAGGCTAGAAACATTAGTTATAGATAATACTAATCGGCTGGAATTTTAGATTTTTGCATACTTTTGATTTTTGCAAGCCTTTTGATTCTTGTGTGCTCTCCCTGCTCATGTTAGAAAGCAGACAGCACTAATACTTGCAATTTTGTCCCCCAAACTGGTAGTTTTTACTTTTTTAACTATTGTATTCTTTTATGTTGAGTCCAAGGAAGTCAGCTGCACTGCCACTTCAGACAGTCACAATCAAATCAATTAAGGGCAGCACTCAATTTGAAATCTATTTGCCATCTTATTTCAACTTTAAAATTTTTGAGTAAATATTTGTCCTGTCACTTGAACTACATGGATTCTGAGTCACCTTCTGCTAATAATAGCTAAGGTCAAGAAGAATTTTCTCATTTGTAATATCTGCATGCCCACCTGGTGTTCAGTCTTGCCATCTTTTACTAGGACAGAAAAGCTGGAGAAAAAGAAAGATTCCAAAAGATACCCATCTTCTGTGGCCTGTGTTATTTCCGAGATACGTTCCTTTCAGTCAGCACCAGAGTGAACATACCTTGTTTCTGTGGCAACCAGCTGCTTTTGGTTAAGTTATTTCTACTATTTCTAATTTTCATTAGAAACTCCATGTTAGTAATTACTTACTAAATTAAACCTCTGTATTTAGTATCTTCCGAGTCTGAGTCCTCTTATTTTCTAAATTTGTTGCTTTCTGCTTTTAAGCAATTTTAAATACAATTTTACCTAATAACTCGAGAAAATTTTAAACCAACAGTAGACAATTTTTCTGGATCTCTTTTTATCTTCAGAAAAATAAAATAATAAAAATAATTAAAAACAAAATTCTATTAAAAGGCCAATATACTGTGCAATGGTACAAATATAGTTGATAAATTGATTGAAAAATTAATATAAAGTCAATGTTTTACTGGAAATAAAGATGTTCAAAGCGTGTTTTTTATTTACTTTCATTAAGCAATTCCATTAGCTCCTACCCTATTTTAGAGTAAAGTATCAACTGCCCTTTATGTGATATAACTAGATTTCTTGGTTACTTACTTGTTGGTTAGTGACTGAAGTTTTCAGATATCAGTTTGAAAATTTTTTATTCTTTTTGGGAAACACAAGTGTTAGCCAACTAAAAATTTGTGAATATTAAATTGTACCTAATATAAATATTTAATAATATACATAAGCTATGTATTTTAAAATATAGACAAATCATGCATATGAACTACTTTTTATTCAAATGATTGATGAAGAGAAAGCAAAAGATAGTAATCAATGAAATTTATTAAATTTAGTCTTTATGGGTCTTTAATTTCTCTTGGGTATATCCCCAGAAGAGGAATTGCTGGATCATATGGTAATTCTATTTTAAATTTCTATAGGAACCTCCATACTGTTTTGCACAATGGCCATGCCAACTTACAGTTCCACCAAGAGTGTACAAAAATTCCCTTTTCTCCACATCCTGCAAAAATGAAATTACCTATTAAAGATATTTGAATGTTCATGTTCATTGAGACAATAGCCAAGATATGGAAACAACTGACGTGTCTATTGACAGACAGATAAAGAAATTGTGATATATTATATATGTATATATATAATCTAATATATAATGAAATATTATTCACCCTTTAAAAAAGAGATCCTGCCATTTGCTACAACATGGATGAAACTAACATCATTATACTAAGTGAAATACCCAAAGAAATAAAAATACTACATGATCTCATTATATATGGAATCTAAAAAAAAATAAAGTCAACTGCTCAAAAGAAAATTAAACAGTGGTTACCAGGAGTGGGGGGTGAAGGGAGGAGAAAAACAGGATGATGTTAGTCAAAAGATACGAAGTAGCAGATATGTAGAATAAACAAGTATGGAGATTTAATCTACAGTTAATAATATTGTATTCAAGATTTTTGCTAAAAGAGTCTATTTCACATGCTTTTGCCACACACACACACAAACACACACGCAAGTGTAACTATGTGAGATGATGGTATATTATTTTGCTTGACTATTGTAACCATTTCACTACCTATATCAAAACATCATGTTGTATTCCCTTAATATATGCAATAAAATATAAAACATTAACTCCTTCTTGGAATCTTTGTTTTACGAATCTCAGAATTAACAGATTTGAAATTATCAGCAGTCTCCCTCTATCTCTATTTTATTTTTGTTACCATAAATGATCATAATTTTTAATATCATGACTTTTTAACTCAATGTTTAGAAATCAAAATGTCCAATTGTAGACCTGGCTTGGTGGCTCACACTTGTAATCGCAGTGCTTGGGGGGCCAAGGTGGGAGGAGGGCTTGAGGCCAGCAGTGTTCAAGACCAGCCTGGACAGCATAGCAAGACTCCATCTGTACTTCTTTTTTTTTTTTTTAATTAGCCAGATATGGTGGTACAAACCTGTAGTTCTACTACTAGGTAGGCTGAAGCAGAATGATCCCTTGAGCCCCTGAGTTTGCAGCTGCAGTGAGCCATGATCACACCACTGCACTCCTGTCTGGGCAACAGTGCAAGACCCTGTCTATAAAAATAATAAATAAAAAATAAATAAAAATTCCCAATTTCATTTGAATGTTTACTTAAAAAATTCAGCAAATATGTATTTCAATTAGCAAGACAAGAATTCAAGTGCAACAGATTTATGCAAGTGCAGGATCAGATCCTTCATTTAAAATTCGATATTTTGATCTTCATGGAATTATTTGCCTTAAAATTGATTTTTACTATTATTGAGTTAAAATATTTATCCTGAATATTGAGCTTTTATACACCCTAACTTCCTTCCTTCTTCAGTGCTAACTCATATTACTCTATCATAGTCTTATTTATTACCAAGATTCCTTAACAAATTTGACATATTCACTTCATATTATTTTAGAGTTTGCAGCTAAAATTGAAGAGGATTTATGAATCCATGAAAATACATTTTAAAGACAATTTTTCATTCTGGTCAGCATCAAATTTTTCGAAACAACATATTGTGGCTTTTCTTCGGATAACCTCCTATTAAAATGAAATCAGAGTAAACAAAAAGAAAATAAATTGTCCTTCATGAGTACTCTAAATATGTAATTGGAAGTTATTTCTATCTGATGCATTTTGCTTAAAGAGAAACCTCATTTAGTTGTATAAAAGTTGCATTTTTATCTAGGATGAACTTTTCAAAATCAACAAAAATCTAAATATCAAGTCAATTTTATATTATAACACCACTGATGTTTATAAGAGAAATATTGCTTTAAAAGTATTACCTGTAATTAAACCTAACATTTTCTAGTGTGTTCTTCATTTTAAAAGGCTACTTCCCTATTCTGTTGCATATTTGACCAGGCTTCCCATAAGTGTGGCAATAGACATAAAGTAATGAGAGTTTAATATGTAATAAATTATGTGATGGGTTTATCCGTCCTGCTGGGGTGATGGTGAGAGAAAAGAAAAGCAAAAAATTTTACTATAAATAAATATTTATATCTTGGATTTGAAGGTTTATATTTGTGGTTAGAAATATATAATTACTAAAAGACCATGCATAATATGCCTGTTAGTTTTTACAAGTCTGAATATTATGTGATGTAATTTCAATGTTATTTCATGCCATATATTGCTCGGGTTTACTGAGTAATTCCTATGTACATTGGTATATTTGTAGCATTTTTAATCCTTGAATATATGTTTTCAAATATTTTACATTTATAGCTGGAAGGATTCCATGGGCAAAGCCAATGAGTGGAAAACAATTATATCAAATAAAGAATGATTGAACTCTGTTTCTTTGAGGTAAGGTTTGGTATATTTGATTCAGTCATAGGAAATCATTTAATACTTAAGTGAGCTATACGAGTGAAAGTATGTCTCTTTAGCATCTGGCTTTAATAACTCTTATACGAAATTATGTGTTCATGTGCTTTGCTTCAGTGTTAATATAAATGAAGGGAATTAACTTGGTGTGAATATACTTCACAACATGTTATGCTACAGGAAATAAAGCCAAATATACAAGTAGAATTAGTAATTAAAATTAGGCATATACTAATTATCATGGCATGAATAAGTATATCTACCTTCTTATTGACAACCATCATTGAAGATAGTACTGAGAATAAGCAAGAAAAGGTTATTTTGTAATTCAAGACAAATGTAGTTTCACCGAAAGCCTCAATAACAAACTGTGATTTTTAGTTTGTGTGTATATGTCTGTATGTTTATGTTGGTTTTCACAGGAGACAGAAGTGAAAGTAGTGACCTGCCTATACTAACATCTAATGCCACTAAGGACCAACCCTTTATACATGATAAATCTTGCGTTTCACAATGTCGTTACTACATACTAACCCCCTAAGTAGCAACTGCTGCTCCAACTGCTGGCATTCATAAGCCAAATTAATGCCTCAGCAGAATGATCAATTACTATAGAATTAGAAATTTTGGTGTTCCTTATCATAGTCAAATCCAGTATGTTTAATATCCTAACTCCACAGTTGTCTTCCATCATCATCTCTTTGACACTGCCTTGAAAAAAGCCACAGTAGATAGGTATCATGTGATACATTGTTTTATATATATATATATACACACACACACACATATATACACACACATATATAATATAATATAAATATATAATATACATAATAAACAAGTCTAGAGATTTAATCTACAGTTAATAATATTGTATTATATTCAAGACATGTAAGTATATATAATATATACAACATATAAATTCTATATATAATACATGAAATTCTGTAGTTTTAAAAATGAAGTCTAGACGCAAGACCAAGTACATATAGAAATATAATAAATTAGACATTTTTATAATATATAACACTTATATTATTAACAAATATCAAAAGTATATCCCTGCATCATTTTAGGTAGTACAAAATCATGCCTGATTGACTGAAAATACGGATTTAAAAAATAAACTACATAAATATGAATAGAATAAACATGTAATTGAAATATATACAGTCTTAGAGAAGAGAATGACTCAAGAAGTAGAAAGCATAAATAAGAAACTGATATATTTTAAAGAGAAAAATTTAAATACTACTACAAGTTAATAAACACATTTAAATAATTAAAATTTGAATGACAATGATTTGAAGAATTCAAAATATAACCTAAATAATTAACACCTAGGATGCATAATTAGTTTAATACCAATATAAAAGCAAGAACATCACAAAATGAAAAACATAAAATGTTCAATAAAAGTAAATCTCAGTATGAATCAAATAAATGTACTGTTAAAACAATAACAGAGCATTTTCCTTGTTAGTAAAGATTTAAGGGGAACGAAAGCAAGCAGGTAGGAAAGTGGTGAAATTGAATTCCTTGCAATTATCTGTGAAAATATAAGTTTAGTAATAATTCTCAATAGACTTTACATATATACATATACAATTTCATCTAAAGATTGCTTTTCTAGAAATGGGTCTTGTTAGAAATACTGTTTAAATATATAGCTAAAATAAGCTTAACTAAATTTTATTTTAATATTAAGAGGTTGGACGCGGTGGCTCATGCCTGTAATCCCAGCACTTTGGGAGGCCGAGGCGGGCAGATCATGAGGTCAGGAGATCGAGACCATCCTGGCTAACATGGTGAAACCTCGTCTCTACTAAAAATTACAAAAAATTACCTGGGCGTGGTGGCGGGCGCCTGTAGTCCCAGCTACTCGGGAGGCTGAGGCAGGAGAATGGCGTGAACCCGGGAGGCAGAGCTTGCAGTGAGCCGAGATTGCGCCACTGAACTCCAGCCTGGGCGACAGAGCAAGATTCCGTCTCAAAAAAAAAAAAAAAAAAAAAAAAAAAAAAAAAGGAGAGAGATGAACATACATGTAAACAATTAACGGCCAAATCAATTAGATGATTACATAATAGTATGGGGTTCTTAAAAGGTGGGCTGCTATTATAAGACATAGAAGGGTGTATAGTGAGCAGCCATGAATAATGAACATGTTTTCTATAATGAAGAGAATAGTAATGTAAACTAAAACAAGTGTAGTGATTTTTACTTCGAAAAAAAATCTCCACTTTCATCCACATCACATGTATTATGAATGACCTTCATGGCATGATGCCATAGCACACATACAATAGTGTCCATTTATATATCTACCATGAAAAAGATCAGTTATCATGGACAATATCCATCTTTTTGGTAAAACAAAAGAAAAATCAAATGAAGTAATCTATAAAGATTAAAACATGAATGGCTACATATTTCATAAAAAGCTAAATTGTACTTTGCTGAAAATGCCTCTTAGGTAATAATAAACTTCTGGTTGATGCATTTATTAGTATTTTTATTGCTTCTTAATAAATCATGGTGCAAGAATTTCAAATTCTTACAAAGTAATGTGATGGAACAAATTACTGGAAAATAAAACAATAATAGAACCATGACAACAAAACAAATGTCTTGCTATTTTTTTTTATTTTGGTGCAAAATATAGCTTAATTGAGTTGCTTTCTGAACACTTAACCCATAAGGTGTGTGATTACTATAATCAGTAGTGCTTACAGAGATTCATGAGCACAGCAAAGAGAGAAATAGGTTTTGAACAATGGGTGCACAAAATGAATGCTTCACGAAGAATCCATGCCTTGTAAAACATTGGCTGCTTCCTGCCCTATCTCTAACCTTGAAAAAGTCAAAGCAGGTGCTGTTAATCTTCTGCCAAATCCTACTTTCCTTCCTCTGGCTCTTGCTGGATGAAATGAGAGAACATGGAGGGTAGAGGCAGTCTCCATGCATCAAGAGCTAGCGATGTTAAGAAATAGAATGAAAACAAAGGCATACCACTGCCCAGTACTCTGCTTTGCTAGTAAAATGTAGTGAATGTAATGGTCCATTACCTGCCAAATAAAATTATTCCCAAATGGAGCTACGTGTCATTTATATGGGAAATTATGTAATAAAATAAGTGCTCAAGCAATAAGAGTAATCAGCTGGAGAATTACGTTCAAAACCTATCAAAGGAGAGATAAAATATGGACATAAAACAAGTGGGAAAAATCAGCACAAAATATTTATTTGTCACTAATGGTTTGGGATATTCTGATCACTTTTGGCTACATATTCTGCTTGTACCTTTACAGAGATAGAATGAATCATACCAAATATTGTGACCTTTTTACATTGTGGGTTTACTATTCAATCATCTTTAGAATATTATGAACCATTACATTCAAATAAAATATTCATGAACATTCAAAGTAAAAATCAGAGTCAGCATTCTGAATAGTAACTATATTCCCAGATGTGACAATATATCTTCTGTGATATAGTCAAATAAGGAGAAATAATTTTGCTCACATATCTCCATGCATGATTTTCTGGCACACAGAATCTTGAGAAATTCAAAATCTAAGTCATATGGACTTGACTGGATTCTTTGTTAAAACCTCCTGGAGTTTTCTTTTACTTAGAGATTATTAGCTTATGGTCATTTCAGGTGCAGGATAAGACTTCTCTCAACCATATTCTATTGGTCTACCATGTAAAATATTATCACAAATATTTCAAGACAATTAAGACAATTAGTGGAGAAAACTATGAAAGTGTAATCAGTCTCTGCATGCTTTTATTAATAAAGTGAAACCCAACTTTGGTAGAAAATCAAAATTGTGATATTTTTACAGATTTAGTGAAAGTACATAATAATGTTTTGTTTTGTAAGTGAAAAGCTTTCATCTGGAACACATTAAAGAATAGTCCAGAAACTGAACCATTACCATTTACTAAAGTAAATGTAGAGTTTCAAAGATTTTCACCAAAGAAAGAGAAAAAAAATAGTGGAAATAATAAAATCAAATTTATTTAGAAAGTAAAAAAACAGAGATATGGAAAAAAGAACCACTGTATAAATGTGACTAAGAATACTGAAACAATAATATTATACTAAATGTGTACCAAGCCCTCTTGTAAACAATGCAAAACTCAAAGAGGAATAAAATCTGATTCTTTTTGTCAAAGAGCAAAAATAGAGTTAAATCCATGTATTTTCCACAAAACTCTATCTAACTGGGAAATATGTACATACATATGTAAGTTATAAGATGAAAACCATGCCATCTCTATTTTTGAATAGAAGAACCTAGAAGCATCACTTTTATGCCTATTTTCAAACAAGCTCAATAATGTAGAGAGGAAGTATCCTTCAACGCTGCCTTTCTTCTTTCTGCAGTCTTCTGGCATGTACTGAAATCAACAAAAGCTTCAATGGCAGAAGAACATCGACAGATACGTAGGTGACCTGAGAGGGACTGACACAAATAGAATAAGTATTGCACAATGAGAGTGGGAATTGCTGTCCTCGTGACAGGCTAGACAAATTGGAGGAGGTTTTGATGCATATTAGTACAAGATAGCTTTAAGTTGTATGTTGAATTTATGATTCTCAATAAGAGAGTGGGAGGCTAGATAGACATGTAATAGATTTGATTTGGGTAGAACTTAGTTCTAAATGCAATGCCACATCACTCTAGATTTATTATTATTTTTTTCCATTCTGAATTTCTAAACATATTGAATTTTTTTATTATCCAGATCAGTGGATGGTAGAATTGACATAGATGCAGAAATTTCAAGAAATGCAAATTTTCTTATATTTAGCTTTAGTGTGTGATTTTGTTTCAGCCCTAGCTAAACATTTCTTAATTGTATATATTTTAGGCAACATTCAAATTATTTGATTCTCACTGAAAATACATAAATCACCAAGAGTAGACATGAAGTCTCCTGAGAGGCAGGTGAAGTCAGTTGTTAATATGTTTAGGGTACTTTATATATTGATTTTTAGGGCGGAATAGAGAGCATTCGCTTTTACCACTAATATCATCACATACTCCATTTATATGCCAGGTGCAAAAATATTAATCACATCAACAATATTTTTCAAATTATACATTTTTAAAAGTTAAATCCTATATTGGCCTCTGTACCTGACCAGCCTGAACTCCCAGCAGAAAGTACAGATTGAACATCCTTAACGTGAAAGTCCATTCTGAATTGCTCTGAAATCTGAAACTTTTTGAGCATTGACATGACACCTCAAATGGAAAATTTCACCCTTGACCTCTTGTGATGGGCTGTAGTCAAAGTCCAGTCAAAACTTGGTTTCATGCATAAAATTATTAAAATATTGTATAAAATTTCCTTCAGGTTATGAGTATTTTTGAATTTAAAAATATATAAGAAATATAATTTTATATATATGAAAATATTCCAAAATGTGAAAACAATCTAAAGTCCCAATCACTCTAGTCCTAAGCTTTTCAGATAATAGATACTCAACCTGTAACTTAATAAGTTAAGCTACATCAATAACACAGGCTAGTATGAACCTATTAAAAATTGTATGTATGAGATAAATTATATGTGTGGAATAATAAGAAATATTTATTACTAAAGCATAAACTGAATAATAAAATGTAATATTCAAATATAGCTGCAACCATATAAAGATCTCTGTGGTATACATGAACAGGCATGAAAAGGAACTTAATAAATAAAATAAAGCTAAACCAATTAGCCAGCGTAGTGGCGGGAGCCTGTAATCCCAGCTACTGGGGATGCTGAGGCAGGAGAATGGCTTAAACCTGGGAGGCAGAGGTTGCAGTGAGCTGAGATTCTGCTGTTGCACTCCAGCCTGGGCAACAGAGGGAGACTCTGTCTCAAAAAATTATAATAATAAAAGCTAAACCACAGAATTATAGTCAATATATCAGCTTTTCATTAAATGTTTACCCCCTTTGTGATTTTTTTATATTCATAATAATGTCTTACATATTAAATTTCAATAATAGTAAACATTTACCCAGATATTAATGAACTAATATATGTGTCCTTATATCCACAAACTTTTATGTTGCATAACTTCAAAATATATTTAATTACACTTAAATATATTTATATAAGTACAGAAAATAGTATAATTGAGTAAAATCATAATTCAATTTTGATCAAAAGAAACATAAAGGTAATATGACTGATACAAAACTTATTCATTGACTATTCCTGTGTTCGATACAATATTCTAAAAGGGAGATTTGTTGGTTAAGTACAATCTCTTGGGTCTTTCTAAAATGAGTCAGAAGATGAAGACATATTTTTCTTTTGTGGCTATAAGGCATAACTAAAGATTCATTTATTCATTCCTTCATTCCTTCCTTTTATTTCTCTGTCCATTCATCCATTTATTATTCAATCCTTCATTCATTCAACAGATATTTGTGCATGAGAATTACATCCAAGGATAAACAGATTATCATATAAACAAACATTACTGGCATTTATTTAATCTATAAAACCAGTGAGGTACAAAAAAAAAAAAAGAGAAAAGAAAAAAAAAAAAACCCAAAAAGCTACCACATAATTACATTTCATTCTAAATAACATTATATTTGAAAGTATCAGGGGAACTCTTTATGTCCTGAGGAAAAGCATATCTAGAAATGTAAATAAAAATTCTTAATTTATCAACATAATATTCATATGTCACTTTTTAAAAAAATAAAAGGCATACTTGTTTTTTACTGTAAAAAGTGCCAGGAAAAGGAGCAACATACTTTAGAAATATTTTACCTGTAGCGGGTATATTATCACTAGCTTAGAGTTTTAACTCCAATTTGTTTCTTATAGTTCTGTAGGTCAGAAGTCTCACAGGGTTCTCACTGGGCTAAAGTCAGAGTCAGAGGTTTGCGTTCCTTTCTGAAGTTATCAAGTGAGACTCCATTTCCTTGAGTTTTAGATTCTAGAGGCCTCCTACATTCTTTGGCCAGGGTCCCTTTCCTCTATCTTGAAAGCTAGCAATGTTGCCTCCCTCTGACCTTTTTTCTATTTCATACTTCCCTCTAACCACAGCTTGGAAAGGTTCTCTACTTTTAATAAGCCATGTGATTAAAGGTGGCCCACATAGATAATCCAGGCTATGCTCCTTTTCTCAAGGTCAGTAAACTTAATCAGATCTTCAAGTCCTTTCTTCCTGCCTAACGTAATATATTTACAGCTTGCAAGGATTAGGGTGTAGACCTCTTTGAGGGAGGACATATTCTGCCTCCCACAAGGACAATACTGAAGAATTGGAATGATGGCTTGGTATTTGCAAAAATAGTAATGTTCATCTTGATCTGAATATGTTCCTGACCACCAGAGAAGAGGCTCAAGGAGGAATAGAAGACTTCTTTTCACTCATGAGACTGGCTAATAGAGTCTACTGTATTTTAACAAACATCTGTTTTTCCATAAGCCTTCAGATATAGTAGCCATCAATTCCTACTTGTTTATTTTCAAAATGATCCTCTATCTCATGAGTGTGGTTATGAATACAAATCAACTTTATCTGTAAAAGTTAACATTTTGTTAAATTAATGTCTGCCTGAGGAAAAATCTTTCCCTCAAAATCTGGTAAAAGAGAAGTTATTTCTTTATATTGAAAGCTTTAATTTTAAAAAGTAATAAATATTCCTTAATTTTAAAATGTACTGAATTCTCTATATGAATTGGAAAGGCACTAGCAATTATTTCCCTCTACAGATTACTTTGGAAGTGCTGTGTGTGTGCCATGTATTCCAGCAGCCCCTCTTATCTGTTTCGTAAGGAGGGCATGCTGCAACTCTGGTCTGCCACGTTTGGATGTGCAAATTACGTATTACCCCCCTCCCCAGGGATTCCATTTATACAGACTTCATAAATTAGTGTATTTAGTTGCCATAATATTGGTCAAATTAACAAAAAAGTATTTGGAGTGATATTATACTACAACAATTTTTTTCACAGAAAAAGAGAAGACTCCTTTTTAGACTTCGTCAAAATTCAAAAGTAGATGATGATGTGACTTCATAATCTGGGAGTGGTATCAGAAAACAAATATGCTGGTATCTAAAGAGTTACAGTAAAAATAAATGGCTTAGACAACTCTTCTGAAACCAATGATGTTTCAACTAATTGTTTACCATAGATCTGTTTGTTTAGCTTTGCCTACTGTTTTTCCTTCAGGCTTCTCTCTCTTTTCTATTTACAGGAATTATCGTCCTGAACTCTTTGGCACTTCTTCTTTCTCCACTCCACCCAGCAGGAAAAAATACTGCTCTGTTTTCAGATGGGGATAATTGATTAAAAATCCTGAATCCTCTTCACTGTGACTAGGAGCAGATGAGAAAGAAAGGAAAGCAGAGACAGAGGAGGGGAGAAAGAGAAATCCAACCTTTCTATTTGGTTGGATTTTACATTTTCCAATTTGAGGGGGTTGGAAGGAATGGGGGGAAAGAGAGAAAGTAAGCCCATTTTAGCCCTTGGAGTACTTGTGACTTTCAACCTAGTGTGATGGTTAATAATAAGTGTCAACGTGATTGGATTGAAGGATGCAAAGTATTGTTTCTGGGTGTGCCTGTGAGGGTGTTGTCAAAGGAGATTAACATTTGAATCAGGGGACTGTGAGAGGCAAACACACTCTTAATCTGTGTGGGCACCATCGCCTCAGCTGCAGCACAGGCAGAAGAAAGTGGAACGGGCTGACTTGCGGAGTCTTCCGGCCTTCATCTTTCTCCTTTGCTGAATGCTTCCTGCCCTTGAACATCAGACCCCAGATTCTTTGGCCTTTGGACTCATGGACTTAAGTGGTTTGCCTAGGGCTATTTGTCCTTCAGCCACAGACTGAAGGCTGCACTGTCAGTTTCCCTACTTTTGAGATTTTGGGGCTGGGACTGATCCACTACTGACTTCCTTTCTCCTCAACTTGCAGACGGCCTATTGTGGGACTTTACCTTGTGACCACGTGAGTCAGTTCCCTTTAATAAACTCTCTTTCATATATACATATATCCTATTAGTTCTGTTCCGCTAGAGAACCCTGACTAAATCACCTAGCTTTTATATGTAATCACAAAATCACCATCATTTCTCCTAATTTAGCTCTTGCTTTTGGCTACTGGCTGAGAATACCCTCAGATTTTCCATTAACAACCTAGCTCTCTAAATGTTCAGCCAGGCTGGGCGCGGTGGTTCACGCCTATAATCCCAGCACTTTGGGAGGTGGGTGCGGGTGGATCACTTGAGGTCAGGAGGTCAAGACCAGCCTGGCCAACATGGTGAAACCCCGTCTCTAGTAAAAATACAAAAATTAGCCGGATGTGGTGGCGCATGCCTGTAATCCCAGCTACTCAGAAGGCTGAGGCAGGAGAATCACTTGAATCGCAGAGGCGGAGGCTTCAGTGAGCTGAAATCGTGCCACTGTACTCCCTTCTGGGTGAAAGAGCAAGACTCCATCTCAAAATAAATAAATAAGTAAATGTTCATCCAGTTTCTCTGCTTTTCCTCCACTTACTTTAGGTGACATATGCATGCTTTTATATATCCTCCCATTTATGCAGGAAATTCTATATTGTCTCAGTATCATTACTACAGCAATTCTCTCTGACTTACCCTATATGACAAGCTTTCATACTTGACTGTATCAGTTCCATCATTTGCAGGTATTTGTACCCTCTTGAAATAAACATGCTCCTGATTAATAAATGTTCTTGTCGCTCCATTCTCCACTTTTGCCAACCAACTACTGCCCCATTTCTGCATTCACCTCTGCAGCAAACTTCCTCAGATGAATATACTCACATTTCCAATGCTTCTCTTTTGTTTCTCATAAGTGTACTCCAATTAGGCTTTCTACTAAAGCCTACTCTACTAAAATTGGTCTTATCAATGGCTCTGATGATCTCACATTGCAAAATCAAAAGGATAGCTCTTAGTCCTCATGCTAAAAAAATCTACCAGCCATGTTTGAAACTATTGATCACTCTCTCCTCTTTTTTATATTTGTTTATTTGACAAGTAAAAATTATAATAAAAATTATTTACATTTATGGTGTCAACATCCTGTTTTGATGTATGTATATGTTACAGGATGACTAAATCAGGCTAACTAACATATTTATTAACTCACATACCATATCATTGGAAGCAGAAAGTAGAATGGTGGTTACGAGGGGATAAGGGGGATTGTGTTGATTGGGAAGATGTTGATCAAAGAATGCAAAATTTCAGTTAGGCAGGGCAAATTGGTCCAGGAGATCTGGTGTAGAAATACAATATGGTGACTATAATTAATGATGTATTATACACTTGAAAATTGCTAAGAGAGTAGATTTTAAGTGTTCCCACCACTCCCTTCTCTTTAATATACTTTCTTAACTTGGCTTTCAGAATACCATGGCTTTCTTCCTACCCTACCCATGGGTCTTTCCCAGTCCCTTTGATTTTTATTCTTTTCTCTTCAACCTTTTTATTTTGTATAACCTTGATCCTCTTGCTTTGAATATAATTTATTGAAGATACCATTTAGTTATATGCTTTTTAATACAAATACCTGGTGATAATTCCAAAATTAATATCCCAGCTAGATATCTTTTCTGAATCTAGTCTCTTGCTTATCCTGCTCAAAAGTGTCTCTTGATGGTTAAAATTTGAAAGCTATCATCAATAAAAGTGAATTCATGATGTCTTCCTTAAAACTTGGAGTCCCTATCACTTGACAATCTTAGAAATGCCACTCCACTCTTCTGTTTTCTCAGGAAAAAGAATTTGGGATCACCTTTCATTCTTCATACCCAAACAAATAATCAATTGTGCTGGATTTGTTAAAAAACATGCATGTATCACAATTTTCTGTAAGCTGATGTTAGATAAGTCAAATTCAAATGGCTTTTTTAATTGTGGCAAGAGGGCAGAAAACATGACTATTTGGTTCACCACTGTGCAAATAGTACCTGAAATGAATGTTCTGGATACAGAACCCAAAAGCAATGAGAAAAAAAAGGGAAATACTTACTCTAGGGTGAGGGAGTAAAGTCAAACCTAAGACTTAATGATCAGTAAAAGAGAACTTTTTCCCAAATGTATCTGTCATATTCACAAATTATCATTAAATATTTTAGAACAATTTTTGTAACCAAAAGTTCCTAGATATCATGCTTGTTTTTATTAAGTCAGATTTTAAAAATGTGTAATTCAATTTAACCTAATTTTCATTCTATAGTAGGCCTTACCCTAGCATCTTGCACAATGTTTAGGGATCAGAGCATGAAAAGAGTTGCATGTACTTTTTTCTTCTGCTAGGACATTTTTAGAGTACCCCTAATGCAGTGTTAAAACTTTTTCTTATACTTTTTGTCATTTTATTGGAAGGAAACCACCATGGATATTACTTTGACCACTGTTAAAGAAATAATTATTCTGACACTAAAATTATCAGGGAGACTTTATTCAGGATTACTGCAATAAGTGTCAAGACTATTGCAGTAAGGAAGAAAGGTTAGTTCAACTTGAATAAATAAAGCAAAGATAGCTAAGGATTCATAGCAAATGAGCAGAAGGGAGGAGTCAGTGAATGGGAAATTACTAAGAGAAGATATCAAGGTAGGGGAATTCTTGCTAAACAGACTTAACAGGATTCTTGATATTAACAGGATTCTTCACCTACAGCAACTTGTAGACAGAAAATCTGCCCAATTCCCGTTTTCTCTCCCCTCCCATGTTGATTCAATTTTTAAGTGTGGTTTCTCTATCAAACCCCTCACTGAACACAGACCAAAGATGATCAAATACCAAGAGTGGGGATGAGGAATTTAATGAGATATTGAGTATAATCAGATATAAAGGATGGGGGGATTCTTTCCAAACTGGCTTACAGGAGATTCTTGCTAAAACTGGGCTAGTCGGCCCACAGACAATGTATAATGACAAGACCTAGTTGAAAACAGGGATCAGACCAGCCTGTCTAAATTTGATCAAGGAGAAAGTCTTTGTCAGCACCACCATTTATCAAAGATTTTAGGGCTTCTTGATGTCCTACTGCTTTTATTGTTTCATAACATTATGATTGACCAAAATTATCCGAAGAGTGTGGTGCCAATAGCAGTTCTATACCCAAACCACTGTGTGATACACTACTTCTATCTTCCAACCTGAACATATCTCTCCAGGTAAAACATCCATGAGAGTTTCCAAACTCATTCCTTCATCTATTTGTTTTGCTATCTCTAGTTATATCCCTGAAATTCACTTTGCAGTGTTACTCTTTGTTATCTCTTTGATGACTCCATACTTCAGTTTCTACCTTGTACTTTTCTAAGAGGCTAGATTTTATACCCCAATATCACATGGAAATGTGTTTATGTCATGTGTTCTCAGTAGGAAGATACTTCATAAAGTCTATCTTATTTTAGTTCCAAGGCCTCTCACGTGTCTCAGAAGAGTATCTCGACCAAACTGTTAGAGTCACATGATATTTTATTTCATTTAACTTAAAAGTGTTATTAATTATAGTAATATTTTTTAATTCTTTGAATATCAATTGATTATTTTTTGTTTTATTTACTTTGTAGAAATCTTCTGTTTAATTGACTGTTCAATATAACATGTTTATCAATTTTTAAAGTTAATTATAAAAATAGTGGGTTTTTTTGTCCCTGATAGTGTGATGTCATAAATTTCTCTCTTGTCCTCCCAAGTTATAATTCTGAAGTATTTTACCAGCAATCTCAATGCCACTCTGGTTTTTTTAAAAAAACTGTACTGGAAGAGGAAGCAAATTTTGAATCTAATAAGTCAAGCCTGTTGTGCAATCTGGATATTTTTTTTTTTCTAATGGTTCATTCTTCAATGTTCCTATAGCAACTTGTGGACAGAAAATCTGTGCCCAGCTCCCATGTTCTCTCCACTCCCATGTTGATTCAATCTTTAAGTGTGCTTTCTCTATCAAACTCCTCACTGAACACTCAGTTCTTATAAAGACCAAAAGTATTTTCTGAACCATAAATCATATGTTGAAGACCTTGACACTTACTCCAGTTTCTTCTGGATTCTTCTTCCTACACAATAAAATCTTGTTAATATTCTAAATTAATTTTCTCTGGTTCTTGCAATATTATGGAATACATAATGGATCACAGTGTTACTGCTCACCAGGCTATGCTTCCCTTAGCCTATAACACACTGTTATGTAAGGAACTACATCATCTATCAAATGTAATTTTCTTGAAGACAGGGTACTCTTGTATAACAAAACTCAGCAGAGAAGAAATAGAAAACCTAAATATTCCTACAAATATTTTTTAAATGGAATCCATATTTTAAAACCTTGAAAAGAGAAAACTTAAGACCCAGATATTTTCACTGGCAAATTCTACTGAACATTAAAAGAAGAAATAACACCAATTCTATACATCCCTTCCAGAAAATAGAAAAGGAGTGTTATGGTTAATTTTATGTGCCACTTGACAGGGCTAAGGAATGCCCAAGATAGCAGCTAGAACATTATTTCTGGTGTGTCTGTGAGGGTACATCCAGCAGAGATTAGCATTTAAATCAGTAACTGTGTAAAGAAAATCATTCTCACCAATGTGGGTGGACATTATCCAACCCATTGTGGGCCCAAATAGAACCAAAATGAAAAGAATGAGCAAATTTTCTCTCTCTTCTTAAGCTGAGACGTCCATCTTCTTCTTCTGCCCTTAGATATCAATGCTCCTAGTTCTCTGGCCTTCAGACTCAGACCAGGAATTGCACCATCACCTCCCAACACCCACCCCACAGGCTTTAGGACTTGGACTGAATTATGCCACCATCTTTCATGGTTCTCCAGCTTGCAGATGGCAGATCATGCAGATCATGGGACTTCTCAGTCTCCATAATCATGTGATCCAATTTCTATAAAATATACACACATACATATATCACATATATCTTCTCAGTTCTGTTTCTTTGGAGAATCCAGACTAGAGAAAGAAGGGAATATTTACTTGTACTAAAATGTGAGACAGCCAGTAAAAGAAAAGACCAATATTTATTTTGAAGATAGATGCAAAAATCTACAATGAATTATTTTCAAATTAAATATATCAACATATAAAAAGAATACTACATCAAACATAACCTAGTGATATTTATTCCAGAAATACAAAGTTGGGTCAACATTCAAAATTCAATCTATAGCTCATCATATTAACAAAATAAAGAAGATATACAGCTGGGTATGGTGGCTCACTCCTGTAATCCCAGCACTTTGGGAGGCCGACACCTGCGGATGACTTGAAGCTAGGAGTTGGAGACCAGCCTGCCCAACATGGCGGAACGCTGTCTCTACTAAAAATACAAAAATTATCCAGTTGTGGTGGTCCCAGATATAGTCCTAGCTACTCGAGGGTTTGAGGTGGGAAAATCACTTGAACCCAGGAGGTGGAGGCTGCAGTGAGCTGAGATCACGGCACTGCACTCCAGCCTGGGTGACAGAGTGAGACTCCATCCCAAAAAAAAAAAAAAAAAAGGTCTGTTAAAATACAACAACACATTCTCCTCTCCTGGGCCCCTGTGTCCAGCAGGCTGCCCTGAGAAGGCAAGGAAAAGAAGGCTGAGCACAATAGAAGGTAGGTGAGGTCTGCACTGCCACCAATTGTACTGCAAAAGAGCATACAGTTTGACCTGGCTTTTTCCAGTTTCCCACCGGATCCAGCCAGATGCCAGAAACAGGTAAATTGTAAGAGAGTGGACAGAAGAGAAAACATCTGATCAACTAATAAAACATTGTCAAGTATGTGCCAACTACTTTGAGACCTCTTATGATCTATAGAACTAGTGCTTATAGGATAGTTATTTAAGATAATGTAATACCAACAATAGTTGATCTTAGTCATTTAAACAATCTAAATGACAGGGAAAATGAATAAAAGAATTGAGTGAAGATGAAATCAGAACACATAAAGCAGAAAATGTTCACAACATTGAAGAGGAAAATGCACACACACATATACACACACACACACATGCGCACACACACACACACACACACACACACACACAGAAACCAGTAACAGCAATGCTCAGAACCCCAGTGCAGAGAAGGGGATGAAGAACAGATTAGAACATTTTACCTCTAATCTTTGACAAGAAGGAAAACAAAAAAATACATAAAGTCTCTATTTGAAGTTTTGATTCTCATGGGAAAGCTAAACATAAAGTCTTTATTTGAAATTTTGATTCTTAAGGGAAAGCTAAACATTCCTTCTGGGGTGACGAAACCCCAGAAGGTAATTTTACTCCTGATGACTGTCAAGCACTGCTGGAGTGCCAGATAAATTCTGGTGAAGAGGTCCGAAGACAGCACTCTGAGACAACAGTGGCTAACACAACACACTGTTCTGTTTGGAAACACAGTAGAATCATATGCTAGAGATCTGTGAGAGCTGTATTAGGGAAGAAACTCTAAGAGAAGTGAGAATTTCACACTTCCTTGTCATTATCACTCTTTGTCAGTTTGTGTTGCTATAAAGGAATACTTGAGGCTGGGTAACTTATAAAGAAAAGAGGATTATTTGGCCTATGGTTCTGCAGGCTGTACAAGAAGCATGGCACCACCATCTGTGTCTGGCGAGGGACTCAGCCTGTTTCCACTCAGGATGGAAGGAAAAGGGGAGCTGGTGCATGCAGAGATAACATGACTGGAAAAAGAGAGGGGAGGGAGGTCCCAGGTTCCTTTCAACAAGAAGCTGTTGTAGAAACTAAGACAGCAAGAACTCACACATTACACAAGGACGGCACTACATGATTCATGAGAGATTTACCCCATGACCCCAACACCCCCTGTTGGTCCCCACCTTTAACATAGGGCATCACATTTTAACATGACATTTGGAGGGTCAAATATCCAAACACAGCCATCACTGACAATGTAGTGGACATATCAGGGGAAGAGTGCCCACTTGTGTTGGAGAGGTTTGTTTATGAATCGCATAACCTGAGAGAGGAATCTGTGGGCTTCCTGCCTTATGAAGCTGAAGCAGAAATTTTGGCTGTGAAATTTCACACTACCATAACTGAGAAATGGGGACTAAATATGGAGTATTATTGTCATGGCCAAGTTTACATTGTGTACAATGGATTCTCTTCCAAAATGAAAGTTGTTTCTCCTAGACTTTTAGAAAAATATCCTCAAGGTATCTACCCGCCCTGCCTTTCCTGTGCCTTAAATATGTGATTGACAAAATCAATGCCTATTATGGGTTTATCTGTTGCATTAGGAACAACTGCAGAAGTTTCTTCATTTTTTCCATCAATCACAACTGCTTTTAGGAGTTGACAGTGTCATTTCTGCTCTTTTTCAAAACAGTGGAGAAAAGGGTAAATTACTAAAGGAAATCTGGTATTCCCATTGAACAGGCAGGCATGATGCTTTTGAAATTTTAGTGGACCTCATGCTAGCACTTCTTTATGTTTAAATGATATAAATGATGATGCAATATTAGATGAGATGACTGAGTATCCAGCCAAGAATTTGTCCTCTGTAGTGCAGCAACAGATTTTGATTTCGTTGTTACCATTGTTATTAAAAAAAGTCCTTTACATGAACCCTTTGAAGAAATCTCCAGGGTCACACCTCTGATATCGTCTTTGTAGGCAGTAGTTTGACTGCAGTACTACATTCGTTCAATGAAGTGATGGAAGATATTGAAGTCTATCATTATTTTTAGTTTGAGGAAGCCACAGATTTGGTAACCAAACTTGATAGTCAAATAAAACTCCCTGGGAAATTCCATAGAGCTTAGCAAGGTAACATGGCACCTCAACTGACCTCTGAGAGTTTTTATAAAGAAACCCTAAGTGTTCCAACTGTGGAGCACATTTTTCAGAAACTGAAAGATATATTCTCAGAAGAGTACCTCAAAGATATGTTCTCAGAACAGTACCTCAGAACTATGATATGCTTATTTCTGGTACCTTCAGTCATAGGACAGCTTAAATTCAGTACATCTGAGGAACACCATGCTGACAAGTACAGAAGTCACTTACTCAGTCCAGACATGTTCTCAGCTGAGCTTCCTTGTTGAAGAGTCATATGGAAACACAGAGTAAAGATATAGGACTTCTGTCCCCCATGTATGAAGCATTCCACCTGCCTGACATCTTTTTTTCCTAATATATATGGATCTTTAAAGGACCTGTGTATTCTTTCTGTGACGAAGATTGAGAATAAGTGCTATGAAAATCTATGAAAGTGTCTGAAAGCATACTTAAACACTTTGATGGAACAAAGGTTGAGTAACTCAGCTTTACTTAACAAAACTTTTGATATAAAACACACCAGACTTAATTGGGAGTACATATATCAAACTCTATACAACTAACAGCTTCCTGTGGATAATTCAGAAGCCAGTGAAAATGCCTAAGAGACTTTTAAAATATGTCTTCTTTTATATTTGATGTTTGGAAGAAAAGCTGTAAGGCATATCTTTGCCTATAGGCTTTCCATTGAGTACCTTAGCCATTAATGATCTATGTATTTAAAAGGCCCTTGTTTTAACTCTCATGCTTTGAAGACCAATCTGTTCTTCCAGAATATAGTATGGAAAGTGCTGTGTTTCACTTTCGTGTGATCCCTGCTAGCTTCACTCTGGAATTGTTTAGGTTAATCCATTTTAGACATAACATTTATTTCCACTGCACATCCAGTTATTGGGTATTGAATTATCAATTCTTTTAAGAAATAAATTTTGAGGAGTTGTGGCAAGACAAAATACATATCATAAAATATTACAGTGAAATCCACAATTGGCTTTTGACTAGTAGAAGTTTTAAATATGTTGTTCATAATCTATAATAAACAGTTAAAGAAATTACCAGAGAAAGACACTTACAAAGCTCACCAAACCAGGATTTCAGTGTGGATTTTGTCTTTATCAAATGAACTTTAAGGAACAAGTTTACAATTAAAGTTTAAATGGAAGAGTCCACCATTGCTAAGTTTTCAACATATGCTGGCTAAACAGCTTATGGAGATGTAGGCTCAACAAAGGAATGTAAACAGCAACAACAAGATGTGGGACAAAAATGGCAGACTCTTCCATTCAAACTCCAGTTGTAAACTTCTTGTTGCTATTTACATTCTTTTGTTGAGGCCATATCATAAACTTTTTAGTCAGTATATGTTGAAAATATAGGTTTCATGGTCAAGGCAGAATCAGAGGCCATGGATACGTATATCTGACGTGTCTGTTTTCTTCCATTTTTTTTGTCATAACTATATCTAATGCCTCATCTTGATTCATAAGCCAAACCTGGAAAACCTGTAAAAATAGGTGTTTTATGTTTTATCTGGAAAAAATACAGAAAATACTTCCGTATTAAAAAAATAAATAAATTTAGTACAGTTTATTTTAATCTAAATAAAATGTAAATTTTGTCAGAAAATTTGGCAAAATGAATAAAAGGTCTCTATAAAAATGAACAAATCCTAAAGCAAACATTGTATTTGTGATGAAAGATTGAATGCGTTCTAAGACTGGGAACAAGGCAAGGATGTCTACTGTCAATGATCCCATTAAGAAAAGTAAATAAAAGTCTAGCCAATTGAAAAAGAAGAAATACAATTTCCTTATTCACAATATCTTTAAAACTATAAAATATTAATGAAAAAATACCAAGGAAAACCTAAATAAGTGGAAATGTATCATGTTCACATATTGCAAAAGCATAACCACAATATCAATTTTCCTAATTTATAAAACTTATCTATATCTTCACTGCAATTCTAACCAAGTTTCAGAAAGCCTTATTGGAGGTATCAACAAGCTGATTCTAAAATTTATATTGAAAGTCAAATAAACTACAGTAACAAAAAGAATTCTGGAAAAAAAGGTAAAAGTTGGAGGATATACATTAACCAACTTTAGGAATAACTATAAAGGTACAGTAATCAAAATAATTTTCTCATAAAAAAATCTTAAATGCATAAATCCATGACTTTATATTACAGACATGGAGTCTTGGAATGTTTCCAAGACTGGCTTCAAACTCCTGGGCTCAACAATCCTCCTGCCTTAGTCTCCTGAAGAGCTGGGACTATAGGCATGTGCCACTTCACCTAGCTTTAGTCAACTGAGTTTTGTAAGTGGTGCAAAGGCAATTCAATAGAGAAAGCGTTTTTTTAATCAAATAGTATCAGAACAAATGGACATCCAAATTTAAAAAAAAAAAACCCTGATTCTCTCAACAAACCGCCAAAAGCACCAAACTTATCAAGTGGTATACATTAAATACATCCGGTTTTAATTATGTCAATCATACCTCAGTTACATAATTTGAAAAATCAAAAGACTAATAAAAAATGTTAAATAAAACTTGCATAAATGAGTCATAGATATGAAAGAAAAACTATAAAATTTTAGAGAAGAAGATCTTGGAGAAAAACTTTACAATCTTAGATTAGGCAAAAAAAAAAAAGCCTTAGACATGGCAACAAAAAATAGATATCTAAAAGAAAAATATTGATAACTGGACTTTATCACAATTAAAACTTTTGCTCAGTGAAAGACACTAGCAAGAGAATAAACAGACAATCTACAGACTGGGAGAAAATATTTGCCATTGCATATCTTATATCCAGAATATACAAAAACATTCTCAAAACTCACTATGAAGAACATAAACAAGTCAGTTAAAAAAATGGACAAGTCTTTAGCCGACACTTGACCAAAAATATGTAAATGGTAAGCACATGAAAAATGCAGATGGAAAATAAGTACATGAAAATATATTTAACATAATCCATTTGAAAAATGCAAATTAAAACTATAATGAGATACTACTACACAATTGTTAAAATAAATTTATAAAAGCTTACAATATCAAGTGCTTTCGAGGATGCAGAGCAACCGCAACTCTCATACATTGCTGGTGGGAAAGCAAAATTGTATAGCTGCACTGGAAGTTTGAGGATTTCTTGCAAAGTTACACATACACTTACCATACGGCCCAGCAATTCTACTTCTAAATAAAGAAGTTGTGTTGGTTAATATTAAGTGTCAACTTGATTTCATTGAAGGATGCAAAGTATCGTTCATGGGTGTGTCTGTGAAGGTGTTGTCAAAAGAGATTAACATTTGAGTCAGTGGACTGGGAGATGCAGACTCACCCTCAGTGTGGGTGGGCATCATACAATCAACTGCCAGCACCACTAGAATAAAGCAGGCAGAAGAAGAGGGGAGAAGCTGACTTGCTGAATCTTCTGGTCTTCGTCTTTCTCCCCGTGCTGGATGCTTCCTGCCCTCAAACATCAGACTCCAAGTTCTTTGGCTTTTGGACCCTTGGACTTACATCAGTGGCTCTCAGGCCTTCTGCCAAAGACTTAAGGCTGCACTGTCGTCTTCCCTGTTTTTGAGGTTTTGGGACTCAGACTGAGTCACTACTTGCTTCCTTGCTCCTCAACTTGTATATGGCCTGTTGTGTGAATTCACCTTGTTATCCTATGGGTCAAATCTCCTTAGTAAACTCCCTTTCATATATGCATATATTCTATTAGTTCTATCCCTCCAGAGAATCTGAATACATGTTCCAAAAATAGACTGTAAACAAGGTATCTACCATCTTTATTTGTAATCATCTTAAAACTGGAAACCATCAAAATGCCCTTTAATAGGTGAATGGATAAACAAACTGGTCCATTCATATAATGGAAGGCTACTCAAAAATGAAAAGCAATGGATGCTCAGAAATGAAAGTTTTGGATAATATATAACACATGAATGAATCTGAAAGGCATTATGCTGAGTGACTAAAGCCAGTATCAAAAAGTTATGTTCTGTGTAGTTCCATCTCAAATAACATTATAAAGAAGATTAAACTATAGGAACAGAGAAAATATATTGATAGTTACCAAAGATTAACTCAGAGGAGAGTGACTGACTACGAAATTACAGCAAGAAAGAATTTTTGGAGATGAGGGAACTATTCCCTATACTGACCATGTTGGTATTATTAAATCCAATCAATAAATCTAAAGAAACCCACAAAAAGACACACCAAAAATAAGATAATTTTACTGTATGCTAATAAAAAATGTATGTTCTACATACATGAGGACATTAAGATGCTCTGCTTGTTATATTCCTCAGTCAGTACATTTAGAAAGAGTAGCCACCATCTCTAAACATTTCCAGTTCCCATGTGAAGGCAGAGATTCAAAAAAACAGGAAAAAAAAAATGAACCATTATTTAATGCTTCAGCCGGAATGGTATACATGCCATTTCTGCTTATATGTTCTTAAGAAAAATCTCACATAGCCATATCTAGCTCTGACGTGTTGGGAAGTATAATACAACTTTGTCACTGCAAGAAAAGCTGGATAATTAACAGCATTAATCATGACTATGCTTGCTAATTAGTTTATAAAATCCTTAGTGGAAGGGCTAAAGGCAGATATTCTATTGCACTCTATTATTCCCCAAAATGTATTTCCTTTACTTTGCCTCTATTTCAAAATGGTAATGCAGATATATCTGGCCATTTGCCAGAATGCAAATATACATTAATACTATTTGTAAGCAGAATTGGTACTTTGGGATGAGAAGGAAATGTTTGGTCATGGCCCACAATGACATTAAAATAATCATTGGTCTGGGATAGGAACAATCTCAACCTAGCCATAAAATCTCCTCTTTTATTAACTAAAAATGAGTATTCCTACATTATCAGCTATAACACAGAACTACTGATATAATAAAAGTGAAAATAATTAGAAAAAATTAAATACTATTCAGTTATGGAGGTTAATCAATATTTTATATTATCACATAATTATAATGATAAAATCTTAAAATGAGTGGTGTTTGAAAAGTTATAAGTAATTTTATTTATATAAATTCATAATAATAGATACATTTTTTCTTTATAAGTAGAAAAAAATAGATTATTCAAAAAAAATTTTTGAAGATTTCAACTCCTAAGCCTGCCTAAAGTTTCCCTGATAGCCTTAAAGAAATACCTTTTCAACTGGATATAATAAAAATTAACTTTTTGATAATGCATATTCATTTTCCATTGATATTTACCAATTAGTTATTTTTGGCTTCAGAATAATAGTATTTAATATCTGTAATCTAAAAAAAAGTCAATCTCTTTTCCTCTTTCCTATTCTAATGTCTTGTGGTTTTATAAATAATTTCATAGTAAATGCAATTGAGAGATTACAAAGCGATGTGGGAGAAACACACATATCATGGAATTGCTTGTCCTTTAGAAGTAACAATTGAAAGAGATCACAAAAATTTATAAGAACTTTTTTTATAGAACTTAATTTTCTTGTTAAACCTCACATACAAATAAAACATTTTAAAAGTGATCTCCCTGTAGGCTTTGAACAAACTAGCATTACAGAAAATTTACAAAAGTCTTTCTTTGTATATACTAACACCATGTAATTGCACTGGACAACAAGGGGTGATGAGTTTTCTCAAGTACTATATAAAACCACTGACCAGAAACACAATAGCAAAACATAGCTTTGCATTAAATAATGTTTCTTTTATGTCTTTTTCTTTCTCTGCAAGATTTATTTATTAGAGTATGGCAGTATTTGCTTTATAAAATGTTGCTCTCCTGTTTCCAAAATAAAGCTTTAAATAAGATCCAATAGAAAATCAGTTGCTTGAATAAGAGTCCCAGACAATGTTTTGCTTTACTCTTGTTTATCTGCTGTCACCATGGTGTATACTACTAAAATAAGAATCATCCATCAACATGAAATAACCAACTAATATTAATAATGCCTGTCATATTGGTCAATTATGCTTTTTTTATTAAAGATCAAAATCACCCAGTTTAAAGATTATAGAAAGCATGCAATTCACAAGGAACAAATTCCAAATAAATCACTTAAAGACGTTTGTTCTGTATCATCGCTTGAAAATATTAGAGGCAAAAAACTCCTAAGTCCTTTAGGAAAAAGACCAGAAGAATGATTATGTGTGCTGGTTAATGAACAATTTTAATCCCTGTTCTTTGCTTTATGTTGAGCTACTTGGTTCTGCTAGTATCATCATGTTCCCCAGCAATAACACCAACTCTAGCAGCTGATTTCAAATCCTTACGTCTCTCTCACATTCTGACCCCTACCACCATTGGCGGAACATTATAGCTTACTCAGGCTAAGCTTTATGGCTATCAGCTCACATGACTCATAAACACTACTGATGAAATTCCAACAGTGAGCCAAGCACAGCAGAGCTCATAGCCTCAAAAGTCAAAAATAGTACCAGCCAAAACTTGCAGGAAATTGCTGCAATCAAGATTAGAAATAATGCTCTTTACCTATGAACTAAACTGATTGCACAGCATGTGCTTCATCTTAAAAATACAGATGAATTTTAAACATATCTCATAAACAGACATTTTGGTATTTTCATTCAAAGTACTCAACCACTTTCTATGTAGGCCTCCTCTATATGTTCCTATAAACTCTTGACAAAATATTTCATTAGATCTCAGCCTTACACCTACGAAATGTGGACAAATGATAATCCCTTAAATTCCTTCTAGCATTAATATTCTTTAAGTCTATGGCTTTTTATTGTTAAAGTTGTGGGGTGAGAATTCAGTCCAACCTCCAGTTATTCAAAGTATAGTAAGATAAAAGTATAACTAGATAAGTCCTTTATTTATCATGAACCATGAATTATATAAAATTGTATAGAAATTAGGAAAAAGATAAAAACTATAATGTAGATGATACAGTTTACTTACTTTTATTGCAATAAACTAAAGAAATTTTGATGAACAACTGGCACAGATCTATAACCATGGCCAGACAGAATGGCTTAAGACTAATAATTCTTTCCACCAATACCACCAAAAAATTATCATTTTGGGTAGCTTTCATTCAGTTTTTACCTAATTTAACAACAAAACAAACCTACTAATTAATGAGTCAAAGAATATACTTTATAACTGTTTCATCTTGAAGTTTTGACAAGATACCACATAGTTCAAATTTTGTGGACGTTCCTCCTTTACCGTCTTACTCCCCATCCCCTTCACCCTTCCACCTTTCCACCCTCCCACCTTTCCTCTCTCTCTCCATCTCTCTTTATTTCTTTAATTCACTATTAGAGATTAGAAATGACCAAATTCTCCATGAAGGTATTGAGCAATGTCTGTTTTACATAACAGTTTGCATTCAACTCTTGGCACACAAAATAGGTATTGAATACATATTTGCTGAGTGAGTGAAGAACCTACTACCTACTTCTCTGCCAGTATTTTTAAAAAGAAACAAACAAAAGCTTTAGACTGTTTATCAATATGGTTTCAACTCACCCCTATGTGGGAAAAAAATACATTTTTATTTAGGGGTATGTAATTATTGGGTCTTTCAAATTGCAGAAGTTCTTTTTATAAAGCCTATTTCTAACTCAGCTTATTATTAAAGAACTTTTTTTCATTTAAATAAAACATTGAACATTTGTACCCTACATCTTGCCAAATGTAGGATTTCACTAATGCTCAACAATTACAAAAATTCAGGTATAAACCTCAATGTTTATAAAATGCCATCTAAATATACGTTGTGATCTTGCCTTTTATCAAAGGACAAAAGCTCGGATTGTGGGTTGAGTTTGACCAACAGATATTTTGTTTGTTTTAAATTACACATTGTTTTAATTTTTTTAAGCTAACATTCAAAAATTGGGAAAGTTTACATAAATTCCTTTTTTGTGTGTCATTATAAAATTTGACATTGGACCCTCATTTTCATATTAGGAACTATTATCCAACTTAGGCGATTATAGTTCCTTCCTTAGGTAGGTAAAAATAAGACAGGGAGAGGGAGAGAGAGAGAGAGAGGGATGGAAGGAGGAAGAAAAAAACAAGAACCCTTTCAATAAGCTATACTTTTCTAAACTGTGAATTTCTTCTATATTAGTAGCTATACTAGCCTTCTTTCTTAGTTATCTGTATTTGTATTTTCTCCTTACAAATAAAATCACCTAAAATAGCTAGTGATTTATAAGTCCATTGCATTTAAAAAATAAACCAAATCTTCAAAGTCAACTATTTCTGTTCTCTTTTATTAATGTTTCAAATTTTAATCTCTATTTTATCTCTATTCCAGCTAGAATGCCTGGATGTAAACCCTAGCTCCCACATACTAGATATTTTACTTTGTCAAGTTATTCTTTATGCCCTTTCTTCTAAATAAAAAGAGAATGATTATAATAGTGCTTACTTTAAATGGCTACTAAGCATATTCAATCAGTGATAACTCATAAAGAACTTAGTTCAATCATGGCATGACTTTTACTGTGACTGAGATGACAATCACTCACAATGTCTTGAACAGAGGGATGTTATGACCGGACTTAAAATTTTTGAAAGATCACTCTGTCTACTTAGTTGATAATAGTCAGGAGACACAATCAGGAAAGTAAGATTATAGCTTAGAAGGCAATTACAATACACAAGGAGAGAGAAAATGGCTGCCTGGTTAATGGTTCAGGGCTAACATTGGATGTGTTGAAAGTATGCAGATGCTTAATATTTTGAAGTTAGATCCAACACTGTTGATGATGGATTAGATGTAGAAATGTTAGAAATGAGAACAGTTGAAGATAAGTCATTCAAATATTACACATAAATATCAGGAGAAAAACCACCATTTTCCCAGAAATTTGTCTCACTTTAGCCAGTATTGGCCACTGATGAATTTTAGTTATTTTGGAAACTCAGGTAGTTGAAGTACATGTTTGTTTCATGTAAAGTAACCCTTTGCTAAATAGGCATGTCAGATATAAATGGAAGATAGGTCATTAGCTAGTAATATCCAGACTTGAATTTCAATGGATATACTGGGGATTAAAATAGTACCTGATTCAACTTACCAACATCATTGAAGTCCTAAGCTAACTCCTCACCAAAATTTTCTTTCTGCAGCTAAACCAAACTTACAAAGCTCTTTATTTAGGCATATATTCACAAATATGATACCCTATGCTTAGAATATATCTTCTACCATTTCTACTTTGTTTCCACATTCACCTTTGGCATCTTGATCTCTACCCATGGCCTCTTCCTTACATTATCTGGACCCAGTAACTATCTGATGTGCTGTGAAGTCATCTTAAGTCTAAATCTTTTTTAACATTCATATTGGATTCCAGAAATTGTTTTTGATTCTTACTAAGAGGAAATTTCATGATGAGTGAGATTAAGGCTTTACATTGTCTTCACC